>NC_000015.10:28731419-29034449 GCF_000001405.40 Homo sapiens | reverse complement strand
TGGCTGGCCTTCTGGTACCTTGGAGGGAGCCTCTACATCCTTGGAATCTCCAAGTGATAGGAGTGTCCTTGTTATTCGTGGTGCGTTCCAAAGTTTATGCAAAAGAGATGACTCAGGATGGAGGTTGGTGATGCCAGAGAGGCCAACTAGCTACTAGAGGGTTGGGGCTTTGAGACAGGAGACACGGGCTACCAGCCTGACTTCTGGGAAGGCTAGATATTGAGCTCAACCACATGGCCAACAATTTAATCAATTCACTGATTCAATTCATCATGCATCATACCTACATAAAGAATCCCAAATAAAAACTCTAGACATTGAAGCTCAGGTGAGGTTCCTTTTTTGGCAATACTCTTTGATTACTGTCACACTTGGATGCTGGGAGGATAATGCATCTCTGAGGACGCCAAAGCTTTGCATCTGGAAGCCTCCCAGACTTCACCCTAGGTGTCCCTTCTTCTTTTTTTTTTTTTTTTTTTTTTTTTGAGATGGAGTCTCACTCTGTCGCCCAGGCTGGAGTGCAGTGGTGCCATCTCAGCTCACTGCAAGCTCCACCTCCTGGGTTAACGCCATTCTCCTGCCTCAGCTTCCCGAGTAGCTGGGACTACAGGCGCCCGCCACCACGCTCGGCTAATTTTTTAAAAATATTTTTAGTAGAGACGGGGTTTCACCGTTATTAGCCAGGATGGTCTCGATCTCCTGACCTCGTGATCCAGCTGCCTCGGCCTTCCAAAGTGCTGGAATTACAGGCGTGAGCCACCGCGCCCAGCCAGGTGTTCCTTCTTTTGTCTGGTTCTGGGTTGTAAATTTTTGCTATAATGAAACTGTCATTGTTAAGTATAATGGTGTTCTGAGTTCTGTGAGTCATTCTAGCAAATTATCTAATTTAAGACTGGTCATGGGAACCCCTGACCAGCTGGTAAGAAGTAAGGATGGGCCTGAGGACCCCTGAATTTGGGGCTGGTGTCAGAAGTGAGGGCAGTCTTGTGGAAGACTGTGCCCATAACCTCTCGCTTGGCTGACTTTGGAGAGTTGAGGAAGCAGGTTTTGAATCAGGGGTTTAAGGCACAGGGAACTATTAATACATGGTAGGAGAAGAAGATGGGTAAGACCATTCCTGTTGTGGACAGAGAGGTCTTACCACATAAACCAAGGAAAGGGAATGTCAAGAAGAGGTGTCAGGTGCAGAAAGGACATCAAAGAGGAGAGGGCTGGGCAGCAGACGTGGGCCTTGTCTAACCCTGATCCCAGATCGTCCTTCTGGAGATGTCTAGTGCAGACCTTCTCCACCTGCAGCACATGCACAGATCACCTAGGCATCTGGCTGGTATGCCAATTCTCGTTCAGAGGCTGGGGTGGGGCCCACAGTGCAACCTCAGAGGGGCCAGCCCTGAGTGATGCAGCTTGGATAAGGATGGCAAACGCTCCCATTCCTCAGCACACAAGAAAGCCCAGATCTCACCACAGAGCCATCTCGCCACAGCTGTGGGCAGAGTCCATGCTCCCCATGCTGCAGCTGGCCAATCAGTGTGTCTGTCTGACCTGTCCACATGTACTGTCCGCCTTCTGTGTGATTTCCACAGCAGGGGTGGAGCAGCCCACAAAGAAAGGATCCGGGATCTGGTCTCAGAGGCAACAGCCCCAGAGGCACAGAACCCAATGAGATGAAAAGTACTGAGTGCCACAGTCTTGTAGGAACTGGATCTCAGAAAACTGAACAGGGCTGGGCAGTGCTACTAACATAAAGGCATATTTTGGCATGGGGCTGTGCTTTGGGGATGGAGGGTCCAGGAGACACATGACTTCTGACTCTGAGGCTGTCCCAACTCAGAAGTTAGTGAGATAGCCAAATAGATCACCAGATGAAAAAACTACAGTATTAGGAATTTTCAGAGAAAGAGAACCAACAGGATATATAAAAAGAGATTTATTTCAAGGAATTGGCTCACATGACTGCAGAGGCTGGCAAATCTGAAATCTGCAGGGCAGGCCGGCAGGCTGGGAACTCCAGGAGGAGTTGACATTCCAGTCTTGAGTCACAAGGGGGTCTGGGGGCCGACCTTCCCCTTCGGGGAACCTCAGCCTTTGGTCTTAAGGCCTTCAACTGATCGAATTAGGCCCATCCAAATATGAAGGACAGTCTGCTTTACTCAAGGTCTACTATGTTCATCTTACCCAAAAATTACCTTCCCAGCAACATCCAGACTGGTGTTTGAGCAAATCAACTGGGCACCAGAGCTGGGCAAAGTTAACACACAAAACTAACCATCATGACTACACAGGAATGACTCTGCCTCTTTGACACACACCAGCCACAGGCTGGGGAGACAGGGGCAAAAAAGACAAAGTCCCTTTTCTCATGGAGGTGTCACCTCTTCCTATCCTGCCCAGAGTTACACACTCTTCTTCTAGACAGCCCTTCCAAGGAGAGCCCCTCTGCTACATTAACTCTCACCCCTGGCCATGAAATTCTGTGGTTAACACCACCTTCCTTTTCTCAGTATCAAGACAGCATCCTGTGCATGGCCTGCACTTCACCCTCAACTTTCTTGGGGTGGTTGTGAGAGGTGAAGCCAGCTGAACTTCCTGGGTTGAGTGGGGACTTGGAGAACTTTTCTGTCTTACAAGAGGATTGTAAAATGCATCAGCGCTCTGTAGCTAGCAAGTGGATTGTAAAATGCACCAATTAGCACTCTGTAAAAAAGCACCAATCAGCACTCTGTAGCTAGCAAGAGGATTGTAAAATGCACCAATCAGCACTCTGTAAAACACACCAATCAGCAATCTGTAACATGCACCAATCAGCAGGATCCTAAAAGTAGCCAATGGCAGGGAGGATTGAAAAGGGCATTTTGCCAGAGGCTAAGGCAGAGAATCACTTGAACCGGGGAGGCAGAGGTTGCAGTGGGCCAAGATTGCGCCACTGCACTCCAGCCTGGGCAACAAGAGCAAAACTCCATCTCAAAAAAAAAAGATAAATTGGGGTACACAGAGAGACCCCAGGGGCACACAACAGGCACAGAAGGAAGAACACATGCAGGGGCATCAAGGCCAAGGAGAGACGGCCCGAGGAGGCCAGCCCTGCTGACACCTTGATCTTGGACTCCCAGCCTCCAGAACTGTGAGGCAATACATTTCTATGGATTCCGACACCAAGTCTGTGTTTTGTTACCGCAGCCTGAGCAAATGAATGCAGTGCTCTTTATACTCTCTTTTAGTCCATCTGTTGAAAAACATAGATTTTCAGATTATTTTAGAAAATTAAGCCATGAGTTGCTTAGTCTCTTCTGATGACACCTGAAAAAAATGGCACGAAGACTGCTAAAAATAAAAGTATAGGAAAAGATACACCAGACAAGTGCTAATAAAAAGAAGGCTCATATGGCAATATTAATCAGACAAAATGAATGTAAACAACAAAGTATGCAAAGGCATAAAAGGAAAAATTCCCATTAATAACAAAAATAATCCACCAAGAGCATCATGTACCTTTATAAACTTCACAACATAGCTTCAAAATATAAACCAAGCAAATAATGATAAAAGGTGAAATTAATAGCCACATTCATATTGAGAGATTAAAATCAAATTAACCAGACAAAAATGAGATGGGATATAAAAATTTAAATAACAATAAGATTTATTTAGAACCCCGTACCTAACAAATAGAGAAGGCGGAGGTTTTACACACACACACACACACACACACACACACACACATACTCACATGGGTTTAACCAAAACTGCCTATGTAGCATTAGGCCACAAAAGAAATGTGACATTCTACAAAGAATCTGTACTGGCTACACCCACTGACTACAATGGGACAATTAGAAAGGAATGACAAAAAGGTTGTGTCAGTTATCAATTCATTGCCTCCCAATTCTGAATGTACCCCTCAATATGTTCTCTGAATAAACAGAATTCCCTTAAGCGTTTCTCCTTTATTTTATTATTATTATTATTATTTATTTATTTTTATTTTTTTGAGACGGAGTCTGGCTCTGTGGCCCAGGCTAGAGTGCAGTGGGGCCATCTCGGCTCACTGCAAGCTCCGCCTCCCGGGTTCACGCCATTCTCCTGCCTCAGCCTCCCGAGTAGCTGGGACTATAGGCACCCGCCATCACGCCCGGCTAATTTTTTTAAGTATTTTTAGTAGAGACGGGGTTTCACCATGTTAGCCAGGATGATCTCTATCCCCCGATTTCGTGATCCGCCTGCCTCTGCCTTCCAAAGTGCTGGGATTACAGGCGTGAGCCACCGGGCCCGGTCATGTTTCTCCTTTAGAGTGAGCACATTAAGCTTTCTGGGCAGAGGGTGATGGAGCAACATTGCTGGAGGAAAACGGTTCCCGCAGTTCCCGGCTCAGGCCACAGAGGCACCTAGTTCTTCTGCAACCCTGCAGCCTTGTTGGGGCCACACCTGTTGGGCCTCGAACCCAGAGCTCCACATGGCCAGCCACCTCTGGACTCCCTCGACAAACCCCATGTAGCCCGCGTGGTCTGGAGAGTCCTGCGTTGAGCAATCGTTCCTTCTGCATGTCCGGCACCTCTGGACGTGCTGGTGCCCGAACTCACACCGCAGGCCCAGCCTCAAGCCACTGCTCCCCAGCCTGTACTCCAGAGGGTGGCCTATTGTGACCAACAGCATCTCTAGACCAGTGCTGGACTGCCTGAACCAGCGGCTGTCCCTGCTCTCCACTGCTGAACCACACCTTCCCTAACAAGCTGGTCCTTCCCTGGGGCTTTCCCAGGTCTGCCCCTGCTTAGGTCCCCCTCCCTCCACCCCCACGATACCACACAGAACTTCCACCTCTTAACAGCTACTCTCTCATCATACCTAATAATTCTATTAAATATGATGCTCCCCCTGGGGTTCCCATCTCCTGAGTGGACCCAGACTGCTACAAAGATAGTTAAAGAACAAAAACAAAACAAAATATGACATGCCTGGGAAATTCTTAAACATTAAATAACTGAGGCTTAGAAAGCATTCAAAATGTAAATGATGTATTTTTAGACATGAACAAAAAATTAGATATCACAACTAGGGGATATGGCCAAATTAGTACTCATTAGGAAATATACACATTTACTACAGAGGGGTTTTTTTTTTTTGGTAGAAAAGTGGGTTAATGTCATCTGATCTTCAACAGACCTGACAAAAACAAGCAATGGGGAAAGGATTCCCTGTTTGTAAGTGGTGCTGGAAGAAGTGGCTAGCTATATGCAAAAAATTGAAACTGGACCCCTTCCTTACACCTCATACAAAAATTAACTCAAGATGGATTAAAGACTTAAATGTAAAACCCAAAACTATAAAAACCCTAGAAGAAAATCTAGACAATACCATTCAGGACATAGGCACCAGCAAAGATTTCATTATGAAATCGCCAAAAGCAACTGCATCAAAAGCAAAAATTGACAAATGGGAACTAATTAAACTAAAGAGCTTCTGCACAGCAAAAGAAACTATCATCACAGCAAACAGGCAACCCACAGAGTGGGAGAAAATTTTTGCAATCTAGCCACCTGGCAAAGGTCTAGTATCAAGAATCTACAAGGAACTTAAATTTACAAGAAAAAAAACCCAAACAACCCCATTAAAAAGCAGGCAAAGAACATGAACAGACACTTCTCAAAAGAAGAGATTTATGTGGCCATCAAACATATGAAAAAAAGCTCAACATCACTGATCATTAGAGAAATGCAAATCAAAACCACAATGAGATACCACCTCATGCCAGTCAGGATGGTGATTATTAAAAAGTCAAGAAACAACAAATGCTGGCGAGGTTTCGGGGAAATAGGAATGCTTGTATACTGTTGGTGGGAATGCAAGTTAGTTCAACCACTGTGGAAGACAGTGTGGTGACTCCTCAAAGATCTATAACCAGAAATACCATTTGACCCAGTGATCCCATTACTGGTTTATAGGCTCAAAGGAAAATAAATCATTCTGTTACAAAGATACATGCACCCCTATGTTCACTGCAGCACTATTCACAATAGCAAAGACATGGAATCAACCCAAATGCCCATCAATGAAAGACTGGATAAAGAAACTGTGGTACATATATACATACCATGGAATACTATGCAGCCATACAAAGGAATGACATCATATCCTTTGCAGAAACATGGATGGAACTGGAAGCCATTATCCTCAGCAAACTGACAAAGGAACAGAAAACCAAACATCACATGTTCTCACTTATAAGTGGGAGCTGAACACTGAGAAAACATGGACACAGGGAGGGGAACAACAAACACTGGGGCCTGTCAGGGGTGGGATCGGGGGAGGGAGAACATTAGGAAAAACAGCTTATGCATGTGGGGCTTAATACCTCGGTGATGGGTTGATAGGTGCAGCAAACCACCATGGCACACGTTTACCGGCCTAACAAACCTGCTGCACATCCTGCACATGTACCCCAAAACTTAAAAATTAAATTAAAAAAAAAAACGAAAAGAGTGTTAATGTATAAAATAAGTCTAAGAAATAAAAGTGAAAATCAAAATGAAGGAATTAGAAAAATATAAGACTAGGCCGGGCACGGTGGCTCACGCCTGTAATCCCAGCACTTTGGGAGGCTTCAAGGTGGGCGGATCATGAGGTCAGGAGATCGAGACCATCCTGGCTAACACGGTGAAACCCCATCTCTACGAAAAATACAAAAAATTAGCCAGGCGTGGTGGCAGGCGCCTGTAGTCCCAGCTACTCGGTGGGCTGAGGCAGGAGAATGCGGGAACCCGGGAGGCGGAGGCTGCAGTGAGCTGAGATCACACCACTGCACTCCAGCCTGGGCAACAGAGCAAGACTGCCTCAAAAAGAAAAAAAAAGAAAAAAAAGATAAAAGACTAAAAAAAATTAAGACAGTAATTAATTGAAAGTTGGCCCAGTATAAAAAGAATACATATCATAAGACAAATCAAGAAAAAGAAAGAAAACACAAACATTAGAACTGAAAAGCCCATAATTACAGATGCAGAAAAATTTATAAAATTATGAGAATACTTTTCAGAACTTTATGCCAATGAATTTGCAAATCTAACTGAATGAAATGTAAGATTTTCTAAGAAAATATAAATTACCACAATTGGCTCAATAAGTAGAAAAACTGAATAGCTATAGAAGATATTTTAAAATAACAAGGTAACCTAATAAAGGCCAGACCGAGATGAATTGACAAACACGTTTTATTACATTTTCAAGGAATAGATTACCATGATGTCACATCTCAAAAAAGAGATGGAAAGCTGAAGCAATTTATTTTATGAAAGGATAAGCACAAACTAGTCTCCAACATGAGAGAGGCAAAGATCTTACCTCAAACTTTAACAAATAGGTTCACTATTAGCATTAAAAACTAACACGTCATGACCAAAAATGGTTTATATCATAAAGGGGAAGATGGCACACCCTGAGAATGTATCATACCATTAAAATTGGCTATTGCCAACTTCTTATTCTGAAAATTAACAATTGAAGAGAAATAAGGATTTGGTTTTTTTTGTTCTTGTTTTTTTGAGACAGAGTCTTGCTCTGTCGCCCAGGCTGGAGTGCAGTGGCAGGATCTCGGCTCACTGCAAGCTCCGCCTCCTGGCTTCACACCATTCTCCTGCCTCAGCCTCATGAGTAGCTGGGAGTATGGGCGCCCAACACCATGCCCAGCTAATTTTTTTTTTTTCTGTATTTTCAGTAGAGACGGGGTTTCACCTTGTTAGATAGGATGGTCTTGATCTCCTGACCTCGTGATCCGCTCACCTCAGCCTCCCAAAGTGCTGGGATTACAGGCGTGAGCCACCATGCCCGGCCTGTTCTAACGATACTGTATTTCAGGGTGGTCTAACAGCTCCAGGTGATAAGGAAAATCTCTTCTTTACAGAAGAATAACAGCTAATAAATGAAAACAGTATGAGAGAATTGTGAAACCACCAATTTGCAACAACTAATGAATTAACTGATTCAGGCCAGGATCACCAATGGATAACAGAGGGTTAACTGGCCGTTCATATACATGGTGCCAAAGAACTAGCCACAGATTTCTTGTCAGTCTCAAGCATAAGAAACTTTATAAAAGAAGACTCAAGCTGTCACCAGCTGTAGGGTAAATGCACCTGACAGCGATAACTTGAACCTACCCTCAGAAGGACCCTGTATGGCAGATGCACCTGAGTGTGTGCTCTGAGCTGGGGAATCAGGTGTGGCCAACCCAGAGATTCGTTCCTTGTCTATGAGGAACATTTGAGCCCCTGGAACATCCTATGGAACACGGGCCATACAGGGCATTGAGGCCCTGAGTTTTGGGGTAAATGAAGGTTGCTGGGTAGGGGTCATTAAGAGGAGGGTGTTAAGTAGAAATGCTAAATAAACTGCATAAAGTTGGCAAGAAGTTGCAGCTTTCCTGCCCAGCCCACTGCCACAAGACTGCAGGAAGGCCGATATGTTATCCAGCCCGCCATCTCTGGGCCATTTCTTTTCTTTTTTTTTTTTTTTGAGTCGGAGTCTTGCTCTGTCGCCCAGGCTGGAGTGCAGTGGCACGATCTTGGCTCACTGCAACCTCTGCCTCCCGGGTTCAAGCAATTCTCCTGCCTCAGCCTCCCGAGTAGCTGGGATTACAGGCACCCACCACCACGCCTGGCTAATTTTTGTATTTTTGCAGAGATGGGGTTTCACCACGGTGGCCAGCCTGGCCTCGAACTCCTGACCTCAGGTGATCTGCCCGCCTCGGCCTCGCAAATTGCTGGGATTATAGGCGTGAGCCACCACGCCCAGCCCATCACTGGACCATCTCTGTACATAAGGCGGTTCTCTGGTCCAATCCACCACCATCCGTCTCCCCTGTATGCAGGCCCCTAATAAAATCCCAAGTCTTGGCCAGGCGCAGTGCCTCACGCCTGTAATCCCAGCACTCTGGGAGGCCGAGGCAGGCGGATCACAAGGTCAAGAGATCGAATCGAGACCATCCTGGCTAACACGGTGAAAACCTGTCTCTACTAAAAATTACAAAAAAATTAGCTGGGCAGGGTGGCACGTGCCTGTAGTCCCAGCTGCTCAGGAGGCTGAGACAGGAAAATTGCTTGAACCCAGGTGGCGGAGACTGCAGTGAGCTAAGATGGCGCCACTGCATGCCAGCCTGGGCGACAGAACAAGATTCCATCTCAAAAAAAAAAAAAAAAAAAATCCCAATTCTTGTTTCCTGGCTCTGGGTCTCTTCTTCAGCCTTGAACCTGGTGCTTTCCCCTTTTGAGGTTAACAGAAGTTCAGCACAGCATCTTATTAATAAATGGTAACTAGTCAGATCAGTTGCTAATGAGACAACCACGTATTACATGTGAATTGTGACATGCTGCAATAGAATGCATACACCACCGCTTATGAAGTATTCTTGCCAAGAACTTTTAGTCTGAATCTAAACATGCTTTGGTGGGTTGGATTTAATCATTCAGCAAATACCCCTTCCTCCTCCATGGGACAAGCACACTGCCCACTCCATTGATACTCGACAGTGGAATGGGAACCGTCCACCTGCAAGCCCCAAGGCTATACCTCAGGCCATCTCCTGCTTCCATCCGCTCCTCCTGTGTTCCTCTGACTCACCATGGGCAACACGAGCCCCATGCAGCCCCTACCCTCTAGTTTGGGTCTCAGAATAAACATGTCAGGCAGAGCTACCCCAGCAGACCTGCAACCTGAACAAACCTGCCCTTTTGCTGACCCTGCCTACAAACAGGAAGAAAAATTCTCGTCCTATGAGATTCTGCTGTTGTTTCACAGCAAAAACACACAAGCCTTTGGACTGAAATTCCCATTTACAAGAAGCGCAAGAGCTAGAGAGAAAAGTTAAATGCTAGCCCAGAAAGCAATCAGACGAACGCTGAAGATGGGATTTGATGCAGGACAGCTGGTCCACGTGAGTCTCTGCAATAGAGAGGTGTAATGGAACAAAAAGGAAGAGGGTGCATTCCAGTTAGAGAAGGAGTGGAGACATCAGGGCCCACAGTGCTGTCTCCGCAGTGACCAGGCCCTGGTAAAGAAACCAGCTGTAGAGGACATTCTGGTAACAACTGGAGAGTGTTTACCATAGACTGGGTATTAAATGTTATCAATGAATTACTGTGAATGCTGTTACTATGATAATGGTCTCGTGGAAATGTAGGAAGATGTGCTTATTTTTAAAGTGCACGCTGAACTTATATGGCCAAATAATGATGGCTACAACTTTTAAAACTTCAGCAAAAAAGGCCGGGCACAGTGGCTTGTGCCTATAATTCTAGCACTTTGGGAGGCTGAGGTGGGTGGGTCACTTGAGGTCAGCAGTTCGAGACCAGCCTGGCTAACATGGTGAAACCCCGTCTCTACTAAAAATACAAAAATTAGCCAGGCATGGTGGCATGCACCTGTAATCCCAGCTACTCAGGAGGCTGAGGCAGAAGAATCGCTTGAACTTGGGAGGTGGAGGTTGCAGTGAGCCGAGATCATGCCACTGTACTCCAGCCTGGGCAACAGAGCGAGACTGTATCTCAAAAAAAAAAAAAAAATCGACAAAAAGGAAAGAAGTAGCAAATATAATAAAATGCTAACAACAAATCTAAGCAAATATGGCAATGGATATGTTGTGTTTATTATACTTTTTTCTCTTTTATTGTGAATTAGAAAATGTTTACTTCCATGAAAAAGGTATAAAATGGGGCCAAGTGTGGTGGCTCATGCCTATAATCCCAGCACTTTGGGAGGCTGAGGCAGGTGGATCACTTGAGGTCAGGAGTTCAAGACCAGCCTGGCCAACATGGCAAAACTCCATCTCTACTAAAAATACAAAAATTAGTCAAGCATGGGGGCGGACGCCTGTATTCACAGTTACTCGGGAGGCTGAGGCAGGAGAATCGCTTGAACCTCGGAGACAGAGGTTGCAGTGAGCCAAGATCGCGCCACTACACTCCAGCCTAGGCAACAGAGCAAGACTCTGTCTCAAAAAAAAAAAAAAAAAAAAAAAAAAAAAAAAGGAAAAAGGTATAATGGCCATCAAATTCGACAACCCATTCCTGATTTAAAATAAACCTTAAAAGGTAGACCAAGAAGCAAACTCCCTTAACTTGATAAAGGATATTTATCAGCCAAGTGCAGCAAAACATCTCATTTTATAGTGACGCCATAAAAGTATCCCCTGTAAATTTAGGGACAAGATTAGGAAGGCTGCTATCACTGTCACCTTTCAGTCTGGGGCTGGTTACCCTACCTAGAAGTACAAACACAAAGAGACATCTCAAGAGGTGTACAGTTTGAGAAGGAAGAGGGGAAGAAGGAGGCATTTTTTTCAGACAATATTCCTGTCTTTATAGAAAACCAAGAGAATCAACGGACGAATTATTAGGACTAAGAAAAAGGTTTAGCAAGGTGGCCAGGTATGAGTTTAACACATAAATCAATGGCTCTCCTAAGCACCAGCAACAACCAAATAGAAAATGTAATAATAAAAAATATTTCATACACAATAGCAACAAAACTATAAAGCATATAGGGAAAGAACATAACAAAAGTGTACAAAACTTTCAAGAAAAAAATACACTACATTCCCAGATAAAAACAAATAATACTGCATTTTAATATAGTAAATATTTCAATTTTAAGTATTTTAATTTGGTCCAAATCAACTTAGAAAGTCAGTGCAATTCCAAAAGAACCTCCAATGAGAATAATAAAATTCAGATGGCAGAGGAAACAATTGCAGAAACACTCTAGAAGAACAATGAAGGATATAAAACCATAGAATTTTTTATTCCACGAGAGTATACAAATAGACCAGCAGAAGACAGTCCAGAACAACTCATCATCTATAATGATTTACCATATGATAAAGGTAACATGTCAAATCAGCTGGTGGGGGGAATGGGTTATAAACTTTGCAACTCATTTTTTAAAAGCTATATATATATCCCTGAGTTACGCTATTCACAAAAATAAATTTCAAGGGGACTAAAGACTTATTGTAAAATAGGTGACTCTAAAATGTTAGATACTCAGTATAAGGAAGCCCTTCTTAAATAAGACAATAAAAAATCATCAAGGAAAAGACCAATCGGGGAAATGCAAAACACACTATTACCTGTAAGAATGGCTAGTATCAAAAGGATGAAAGATAAGAAGCGTTGGTGAGAATGTGCAGAAAAGAAAATCCTTGTGCACTGTTGATAGGAATACAAATTGGTATCACTATTATGGAAAATAGTATGGAGGTTCCTCAAAAAATTAAAAATAGAACTTCCGAATGATCCAGCAATCCTACTGCTGGGCATACATCCAAAGGAACTGAAATCGGTATTTCAGAGAGAAGTCTGCACTCCCACGCTCACTGCGGCATTATTCACAATACCCAAGATATGTGAATAATCTAAATGTCCTTTGAGGGATGAACAGATAAAGAAAACATGGTATACACTTACAATGGAGTGTTATTCGGCTTTTAAAAAGAAGGAAATCCTGCCATGTACAGCCACACGGATGAAACTGGAGGACATTAAGTGAAATAGGCCAGGCACAGAAAGATAAATACCGCATGATCTCACTTATATTCAGAATCTTAAAAAGTCAACTCATAGAAGCAGAGAGTAGAATGGGGGTTTCCAGGAGCTGGGGGTAGGGGAAGTGGAAAGATGCTGGGCCGAGGGTACACGGTATCAGCTGTCCGAGCTGAGTAAGTTCTGGAGATTTACTATAAAGCACAGTGCCTACAGCTAACAACACTGTATTGTACAGTTAAAAATCTGCTGAGAAGGTGGATCTTCTGTTGAGTTTCTCATCACAAATCATCATCATCGTAATAAAGTAGGCAGGAGGAAACGTGAGCAGGTGATGGATCTGTTTACGGCACACGCTGTGGCAATGGTTTCATGGGGGTTGGCTTCGCTCTAAACTCACAAAGTTGTACATTAAATATGTACAGCTTTTTGGAGTGCAGTGGCATGATCTTGGCTCACTGCAACCTGTGGCTCCTGGGTTCAAGTGATTCTCCTGCCTCAGCCTCCCGAGTAGCTGGCACTACAGGCGCGCGCCACCATGCCCAGCTAATTTTTGTATTTTTAGTAGAGACGGGGTTTCACCATGTTGGCCAGGCTGGTCTCAACTCCTGACCTCAGGTGATCCGCCCGCCTTGGCTTCCCAAAGTGCTGGGATTACAGGCATGAGCCACTGTGCCTGGCCCCCATCCTCTTTTTTTTATTTTTTAAATCTCTTCTCCCACCATAAAATTAATTCCTTTCATATTTTTTGGTCAGTCAGAATTGGGAAAGTCCCACACTCTCCTATTCTCCTATTACCTTAACATCCCAAGCTTCCTTTCCTTTTTGGTCTTTATGAATATATTTATATGGAAAGAATTAAGATAAACAAAACGGATTTCCCCATTCTCTCACTTCCCCATCTTGTCTTCCTAGACCCCACAGAGTTAAAACTTGGGACTCTCCCGACCCCCCAGAACGCTTATATATTGTCTGAGGTTCGTGCCGCAGTAACAGACACAGTATTGAATTGCACATACAAATGTTTGCTGGGTATATTCACTGTAAATTTTATTTAATCTGGTTTTTTGTTTGTTTGGGGGTTATTTGGGAGGAGGTCGTTTTGTCTTTTGTTTTTTGAGATGGAGTCTCACTCTTGTTGCCCAGGCTGGAGTGCAATGGCATGATCTCAGCTCATTGCAACCTCTGCCTCCCGGGTTCAAGCAATTCTCCTGCCCCAGCCTCCCGAGTAGCTGGGATTACAGGTACATGCCACCACACCCAGCTAATTTTTTTTTGTATTTTTAGTAGAGACCGGGTTTCACCATGTTGGTCAGGCTGGTCTCAAACTCCTGACCTCAGGTGATCCACCCCTCTCGGCCTCTCAAAGTGCTGGGATTACGGGCGTGAGCCACAGCACCCGGCCGGTTTTGTTTTTAAATATATTTTTTAAAAAAGTCACTGGAAAAAAAAAATGTGTACAGCTTTTATATGGCAATCTTACCTCAACAGACTGGTTTTTTAAAAAAGAAATAAGTTTCATAATACTAAGAAAAAGGAAAAGAATGCAAATTTACTTTCTACATTTTCTTATAATCCCTAAATAAAGTGAATTATTTAGCTACAACAATAAACAATGTTTAAACCTGGATGAGAAAAAAAAAAAACACCTAAAACAGAAGACAACAGACTGGAAGAAAATAGTCGAAGTAAATGTATCAAAGAATGAGCATCCAGGATGTATTAAACCTTTTTTTGCTTGTATACCCACACACCCAAACACTCACATGAACGTGTGACCTTCCTAGATATCAATAAGAAAAAGACGAATAACCCCATGGGAAACTGAGCAAAAATTACAAAAGGGAAATTGACCAAAGAGAAAATACATGTGCCAGTAAACACAGGCAAATATACTTGACTTCACAAATAATCCAGGAAATGAAAAAATAAAATGGAGATTTTCTCCCTATCACATCTGCAAAGTTATAATGTCGGGAACTGATGACACTGCAGGGACCAAACCACTCTGTAGCCATTTGGGAAGGGAACCTGACAGTATCTGGTAAACTGCAGAATGCAGATGACAGCCAGCACTTCTGCTTCTTGCTCTCTCCCCTAGAGAAGCATTAACCCACCAGCATCACTGTTTGTGACAGCAAACATTAGGAAACAACCTAAATGTTCATCAGTAGGAAAGTGTTCATTAAACAGTATCTAGTACTGTACACACGGTCCCTGGAAGCCTCTGCAGCAGTTAAAGCAAATGAGGCAGGTCTCTAAGATAGACCTGTGTGTACAGTCATGTGGTTCTCCACAATACCATGTTCTGAACAACTCCGGCAGCAGAACAATGCACAGATACCTTCTATGTGCATAAAAACAAAACACAGCCATCTACATCTACACATGCATAAATGCTTATATAAGATAATGAAGGAAAACACACTAACCACAGAGTGGTTCTCTAGGGAGAGGAAGGTTGTAGATGCAGCCAAGGGAGAACTCTGCTTTATCTCTGATGTCTGAATTTTCTTCCCGAATGCACTCCTGTGTTGCACAATTCTTCAGATGATTTACAAAGAAAATGCAAATAATTTCTCCCTAAATATAATATCCTTAATCAAAAATAAGTGACAATAAGTAACACACCAACAGGGAATGCAAAAGGCCACCTTCCTCCTTCGAAGAATGGCCGTGTGAGGCCCAGCCCCACAGAACAGGAGGGGGAAAGGGAGAGACACGCATAGGCAGGCAACCCCCTCCTGGGCCCTCACTCCAAGAGCACAAGTCACCAGGGGTGAGGGGCCGGCCTGCAGCATGACCTGTCCTCTGCTTACTTTTTTCCCTTTCCAGCCCTGGCCTTAGCCAGTCTGCAGGTTTAGGGGCAAACCTGATCCCTACAGCGTGGGAGAAGGTTATACCATAAACTCTGAGAGTCAATTTGCTTCCTATGCCCCAGTCTCTACTGCCTCACAACACACATCAGCCCATTTCCTCTCCTGCTTGGCAGAGATGGTCAGGATCCTCATGTCCCAGTTAAAGAAGCCAAAACTCCAAGAGAAGGTGTGGCAGGTGCAAGGTCACTGGCAGCAAGTGGGGGCCCAGGTTCCGGCCACCTCTCTCAGGTACAGAGTATCGCTCACTGGCCTCCTGGTGTTGCCCCTCCAACTACAGGTTCCTCCTCCTTATGGAGCTACCATATCCTGTCACTCCAGGACTCCACTGTTTTCTCAGAGCTTGGGAGAGGAACAGTTGGCTTCATGAGAGCCCAAGAGCCAAGTTACCTGGCCTCAAAGCTTCCCTGGCAGCTCCAGCTCCATCCCTAGCCAGGGGCTGCTCAGTGGCCACACCTGCCACCAGGTGGCCCCTCCTGGATCCTGCTCTGCACAGCTGCCCTTCCCATGCTTCCTGTCCCAGCCCTGATGACTTGTCTGGCAGAAGGACTGCTGGCCCCTCCCCGGGAAGCCAGTTCATCCTTCTTGCTCATAGGTCCCTGAAACTTCATTCACTGAAGTCTCTGTAGGGATATATAATTCCTCCCAATCTGCAATTTGCCAGAGGTACAGAAAAAGAATCATATGGATGCAATCAAAGTCTTCCAGGCACCCGGCACAGTAAAACGCAGAGTGGTTTCGCTGCACGGTAATTATACCAACTCTCCAGAGGCCCGGCACTGTCACCCAAGACTATACAACGCTCAGCCCTGCTTGCACATTAGAATTGCTGAGGAGGGAAAATCTGTATTTCTACCTACCGATCTCTATCAATATCTTTATTTATCAACCTATCAATATGCAGACCCCAATCTAACAGATCTTCATCCAATGGCCCTGAGACTGTCCCCCGGGAGAGGTAGTTTTTAATGCTTCCAGGTGATGCTAATGTGCAGCCACGTTGCAGACACTCCAGTCAATTTTCAGTGCTTCACTTCTCAATGCGAATTAACAACCACGGCTCACAGATCTGGGAGGAAGGTCTCAAACAGGAAGAAGAAAATCCAGGCAAGCAAGTACAAGGACAGCAAAGGAAAAAAGATAGTGAAGGAAACAGAAGTAATTGTCAAAAAAGAAACAAAATAACAAATTAATACCTTTAAATAAATAGAAGAAGATATTGCCGCAGAAACACAAAGATACAGTGCTACAAAATAAGAAATGACGAAAGAATAGAAAGAGCCCTCAGAGAGCCAAAGTAAGAGCAAGCATAAACATTTCAATATGGGTATTTAAAGTCGTTGAACTATCCCAGAAAACAGAACGGAAAGAAAAGAAGATGGTGCCGGGCACATTGGCGCATGCCTGTAATCCCAGCACTTTGGGAGGCCAGGGTGGACGGATCACTTGAGGTCAGGAGTTCAAGACCAGCCTGGCCAACATGGTGAAATTGCTGTCTCTACTAAAAACACAAAAATTAGCCGGGCGCAGTGGCGGGCTCCTGTAATCCCAGCTACTCTGGACGCTGAGGCAGGAGAATTGCTTGAACCTAGGAGGTGGAGGTTGCAGTGGGCAACAGAGAGAGATTCCATCTCAAAAAAAAAAAAAAAAAAAAAGAAAGAAAGAAAAGAAGATGGAAAAATATGAAAGAAAAGAGAGACTTCAAAGATAGAATGAATAGGTCAAAAATCAGATAGATGGGAATTCCAGAAAGAGAGGAAAGAGAGAAAAGAGAAAATGGAGAAATTAAAATAGAGAAAATAAGAGGAAACCTCCCAGAAGTGCGTGCAGCAAGCTCCGGGTGCATCTGGCCTTGGTTCTGACCCTCTTCCCACCACAGCCCTTCAGATGCCCCACACCAGGGAGCAAGGACCTCAAGCTGCAAAGCCTCCTATCCTCAAGCAGGCAGGTACCACTCTATGCACAAACACCCACCGAATCAGGGGTACCCGGGACCCAACCCTCCTTCCTCCAAAGCGCTGCCTGCCTGTCATCATTATTGTCTTTTCACGGACTGAACTTACACAGTTATTTTGATCAGCTTTCTTAGAAACAAAAATATAAATCACCAAATGTATTTAATAAGCATCATTTGATGAAAGGAACAGGTTAAAATCTGAAGATAAAAAAGGAAGAAAGAAGGAATAGAAAGAGACAAAATGCAGGGAGAGAGAAACGGAGACAGAGGAGCAAAGGAGAAGCAGGCAAAGAAGGAAGGGAGGGGAAAGAAAAGCCCAGACACCATCAGAGGAGACACCTGCACCCAGTAACACACTGACAGGGGGTGACACATGGACAGAAAAAAAGAGCAGCCATTTCTCTTTCCCCGCCAGGCTCACTGCCTGAGTTGCAAGGTGCACAAAATAATGACTCCCTTCTGAAAAGCCAGCCAGCTATTCCCAGTTTTCCCCTGGCTCTTGATTTCTAACCTTCCCTCCTAATAATCCAGGCCTGCACGTGTGCAGCACACTTCCAGTGTCACTTAGTCCCCACACTCCTGCAAGTCAGAGGCTGGGACTGTTGTCTCCATACTGTGAGGCCTTCCCTGACTCACCAAAGGTCCCACAGAGAACATCAGGACCAGGAAGTGAGGGGTCTTCCCATAAAAATAATAAGCGTGAATTTGTGCTTCCTTGTGACATGCATGCTCATTAAGCTCTGTTGCTTTGTCTATCAAAGGGGATAACAAAAGCTTACCTTGTTTCTGTGTTGACCAGAGGTAGATATGTTTGTTTGTCTGCTTGTTTGTTTGTTTTTTGAGACTGAGTCTCACTCTGTCTCCAGGCTGGAGTGCAGTGGCGCCATATCAGCTCACTGCAACCTTCGACTCCCTGGTTCATGTGATTCTCCTGTCTCAGCCTCCCAAGTAGCTGGGATCACAGGCATGCGCCACAATGCCCAGCTAATTTTTGTGTTTGTAGTAGAGACAGGGTTTCACCATGTTGGCCAGGATGGTCTCGATCTCTTGACCTTGTGATCCGCCCGCCTTGGCCTCCCAAAGTGCTGGGATTACAAGCGTGAGCCACCGCGCCCGGCCAACCATAAGTAGATATGTTAACCCAGTTCCTGCACATACACGCACAGTTCCTCACAATAATTCTGGGAAGTGGGGGGCCAGGGGGCAGTGGCCAAAACCAAGGCCCAGCACTGCAAGGATCTGCCCCGGGTCACATGGCTGGTGGCCAGGGTCCCTGCCTCCTGGCCCAGAGCGACTTCCTCCGAACTCCCTTCACTCTTGTCCCCCCACAAACCTGGCTCATGATCTGCTATTTGGATGCAGTTGTCACTGAGCAAGCAAGTTTCCAAACAGTGAGTGGATTTTCAAAAATCCTATTAGCATATGAGCAAGAAATCCCAAGTGCCTGACGAACACTTTATCATTTTTTAAAATGTATTCACTCAACTAACAATGATTTTTCTTCTTCCTGACTTGATAATAAGTTCTCCACTAACAATGATCTCCAGGATCTGTTTTCTAAAAGATTCTCTCCCTCTTATCATCTGCCAGCTGACCAAACTGGTGAGTGTGGCTCCTGGGGGACAGCAGGCAAACCACAGACAGGAGAGGAGCTGCCCCCTTGGGATGGGATTTACCAACTGAGACTGTCAACCCCAGGAGAGCTGGGCACATTTTTTTTGTCTCTTAACACTGGAATTTTATTCTACTACAGATGCTGTAAAGAAATAAATGAAGGACCCCAGGCACTCATTGACAGTGTGCTCACTCTGCAACTGCCCTGGACAACATCCACTCTGGAAAAGACAGCTTGATGGCTGATTCTCCAAGAGCATGCCTCTCAGCTCCAACAGCACTCAGAAACAGGTATGCTGGGCCAAGCAACGTGGATCCCATTCATTTCTCCTTATTTCCCTTGACAATCATAGCAGTCATATAAACATCAGCAAGACAGAAAGCGCTATTCTTCAGGCACAAATCCTAGAATATCAAAGGTGGCTTCAGCTCATCTGCAACACAACCTCATTAGAAACCAAAAAAAAAGTCCACATCCAACACCTACACTGTAGACTGATTTGGGCAATACAGAAATGGAGTCGCCTTCAAGGTGATTTTGAAGGAAATGGAGAAAAAGAGAGGTGACAGGAAAAAACACATGTAGATGTTTCTTAAAGACTTAAATAATGTCCAGGCCTGGTGCCATGTACCTGTAGGCCCAGCTACTCAGGAGACAGGCAGGAGGATCACTTGAGCTCAGGAGTCCAAGGCTGCAGTGAGCTATGATGGCACCACTGCACTCCAGCCTGGATAACAAAGTGAGACCCTGTCTCTTTAAAAAAAAAAAAAAAAAAACAGTCAAATGATGACTGAGTAATCTGCAGACGGGTGAGCTCAGATCTGATTCTAAAACAAGGTTTTAGAACAGCTCTGTTCAACAGAAATTTCTGCAATGATAGAAGTGTTCTATCTGCACTGCCCAATATGGCAGGTATTGAACACTTGAAACATGGTTAGTCCAATAGAGAAACTGCATTTTTTGTCTGCTTCATTTTAATTCATTTAAATTAAATTTAAATGGCAAGTAGCTGCCACTATGGACAGTGCAGTTCTAAAATGCATTTATTAAAGGATTGTTTTGGGATCACATCTAAGAAAAGTGGTAATTATTAGAGCTATAAATGAATTCGGTAAGAATAAGTTTGTGAAATTAGCCTCACTTCTTTCTCCGATATAGAATCTGCAAAGGCAGTTAAGGGAGATCTGGAAGAGAGTATACCTGGACTTTAGCAAGGCAGGATTTTGGCAGGTCCTTCCCAATGTTCTTGTGGATCATCTGAAATATGTGAGCTGCATGCAGCGAAGTGAGATGGAATAGGAGCTACCTGCATGAGCACAATAAGCAGGCATCGATTCAGGGAAAACTGTCAGTCTGTGGGGATTCTCCAATGATCTGGCTCTTTTCAACCCTGGATGATGATAAAGCACAAGGCAGCTCTTCAGAACTGTAGATGACACAAAACTGGGATGCAGACTTGAAGGGGATGTAAAAATATCAAGTCAAGTTCAGGGATGGCAGCAGTAAAGTTTAGCAAAAGCATACACAAAGATCTTACATATCCTGCTTGATTGAGAAAGGTAACGCTTTCACTGCCAAATATGCTAATGTGAATCACAAACTTCATCTCTGAAGCAATCTTCTTACACAAGTCCATTATTAACCATATAGGGAGGCTTAATTTCTTTAAGGCCTAACTAGAAATCTGCACCAGTAATTACACTGTCCCATTAGACTGAAAAGCCTGTTTTACATAGTTCACTCCAATTGCTCCTTTCATCAAGCGCTTTTATGATGAATACTGTCTTCCAAGGTCATTATTTATTTCCTTACCTTAAAGAGAGGGTGGAAGCCAATTCTTTGCTAAAGCCCTTGTGACTAAGGGCATAAATGAATGAAATGCAAAGAATGACTCATTTTCGGCCGGGGGCGGTGGCTCACGCCTGTAATCCCAGCACTTTGGGAGGCCGAGGTGGGTGGATCACGAGGTCAGGACATCAAGACCATCTTGGCTAACACGGTGAAACCCCGTCTCTACTTAAAAAATACAAAAAATTGGCCAGGCGCGGTGGCGGGCGCCTGTAGTCCCAGCTACTTGGGAGGCTGAGGCAGGAGAATGGCGTGAACCCGTGAGGCGGAGCTCGCAGCAAGCCGAGATCATGCCACTGCAGTCCGGCCTGGGCGAAAGAGCAAGACTCTGTCTCAAAAAAAAAAAAAAAAAAAAAAAAGAATGACTCATTTTCCTATATGACATAACATCTTCGTTACTCAGGATAGTTGCTGTATGGGTGCAAAGCATCAGATATTAAAATACCATGAGGCACCATCAACTATGACATAGTAGAAGAAGTAAAAAAAAATATTATGTCTGAAGAATTCCACCGCCTGCTATGATGCACTAGCTTGTGTCAGACTAATCCTCTCACCAAGAACAACTAGAAACTCTTGACGAAATTTTTTTAAATGATCTCTGTGGAAGCATCAGAGAGTCCAAGGCAGCTAGGACTTGAGGGGCTGAGATCATGACAAGTAGATAATTACCCAGAAATAAGCTCAGCATTCTGTGCTGCTTTTCTCGTCAAGGCATTTGGGGATTTGTGAGTGATGGAAGCCAAAAGGTTAAAAACACACACAGGAAGAAAGTAGTGGTTAAGAGGCAATAGGCCTAAGCAGAACTTTCAGTAGTCTCAGAGGACTGGGGAAATAAGAAATTGCAATTTATGGCTAATAAGGCAACAAGAACTTGAGGGTCCAAATTGGTAGAGTTGAAACACAGAGGGGTGAGTCCACTATCTTAGGAAAGGGCAAAAGCTGGAACTATCTGAACAACAAAATTAATAATGCAATACTGGTTTATAGCCCAAAGTATACAATGAATATCCATGAGTCCATACAAATATAAATAAATGAATGAGAAAATAAATGAGTGAGAACAGACCAATCTCCCTGTGCAGAATTGCAAATAATTTGTGTAGATACTGTTCCCTCATGGAGATGGTGCATAACACTCAGACGATTGAGGGTAACATCAGCAGTGATAAATTATGTAGCCCTGATTTGATAGGATAAGAATGGCACTTTTTCAGATGGGATCTTCTGCCCCAAAGCCCATAGCCCCTATTGAACCATGAGAAAAATGCCAAGCACACTCAAATTTAAAGATATTCTATAGAATACCTGACCACTACTCTTCAAAATTGTCAAGGTCATCAGAAACAAGGAAAGTCAGAGGAACTGTCACAGTCTAAAAGAACCTAAAGCGACATAATAACTGAACTCAAAGCAGTCTCCTAATAGAATCCTGGAACAGCAAAAGGACATTTGATAAAAACTAAGAAAATGTGAATGAAGTATGGACTTCAGTTAATAATAATGCATTGGCACTGGTTCATTAATTGTAACAAATGTACCATACTAATGTGAGATGTTAACAACAGGGAAAAGTAGGTACAGGATGTATGGGAACTCTCTACTATCTTCGCAACATCTCTGTGAATCTAAAACTATTCTAAAGCAGTAAGTTAAAAAAGAAAGTTTATATACCTATATTGGTAATTAGACAAACTAGATTTTACGAAAAGCAGCATTCTTATGGAAAAGAAAGAATTCATAATTAAAAAGGGCAACCTACTAGGAATAAATTCTAAATTTATATGTATCTAGTTAAATGCACTCAAAATTTATAAAGGGAGAATTGACAGGACTATAATAAGACAAATCTAAAGTATTAGACATTATGAAATTTATGTCTATTAGACACAGACATTATGAGCAGCTGGATAATTTAACACACTTCTTTCAGTAAATGATATAACAAAGAAGTAAAAATAAGAATGGAAATATAAGATTTGAACACCACAATTACCCATTTTTCCTCATGAATATATCGAAAGTACTGAACTGAGGAACTACACACAAGGGCACATGGGATAGTCTGTCAAAATTAATCATATGGTGGACAAGTCTAAAGCCAGTGTAAACAAATTTCAAAATGTTAACATTGTAAATAATCTGTTCCTGACTACGGGGTAAGCAAGCTAGAAATAAATAACAAAAATATAACCAGAAAATATGGAGGCATTTGGAAATCAACTACTTTAAAATAACCCACATTTCAAAGGAGAAATTTTAAAAAGTGAACAGATTTTGAACTAATTAATAATAAAAATACAACGTATCCAAAAATGGTGCTGGACAGCCAGCCATGTTCACAGCAGCACTATTCATCATGGCCAAGGAATAAAAGCAACCCAATGTCTATCGATGGATGATGGATAAACAAAATGTGGTCTATTCATACCACATAATATTATTCAGCCTTAAAAAGGGAGAAAATCTTATCACACAACCCAGCACAGATGAACCTTGAGGACACTGTACTAAGCAAAATAAGCCAGTCACAAAAAGACAGAAACTGTAGGATTCCACTTGAGGTACCTAGAGTAGTCGGAAAGTAGAATGGTGGCTCCCAGAGGCTGGGGCAAGGAGAATGAGAAGTTGCTGTTTAATGGGTATAGATGTTCAGATTCGCAAGATGAAAAAGTTCTAGAGATCTGCTTCACAACATTATGAATTTACTTAACACTACCGAACTGTACACTTAAAAATGGTTAAGATGGTAAATTTTATGCTGTGTTTTTTTACTACAATTTTTAAAAATAGTGGATTACAGCTAAAGCAGGCTTAATAGGCTATTTATAACCCTAAAATCATATATTAGAAAACAAGAATGGCTGGAAAAAATAAATATGCTGTTGTTTTCATGTTCTTAGGTATGCATAGATTTCCTAAACAGGGCACAAAAAGCATTAACCTTAAAGGAAAAGATTGATAATCTGGGCCTTCTCATCAAAAGATACCACTGAACGTGAGAAAGTGTGAGAAAATATTTGTAATATGTACATCTAGCAAAGGTCTCAGGTACTAACTATATAAAGAACTCCCGGCCGGGTGTGGTGGCTCGCACCTGTAATCCCAGCACTTTGGGAGGCCGAGTTGGGCGGATCACGAGGTCAGGAGATCGAGACTATCCTGGCTAACACGGTGAAACCCCGTCTCTACTAAAAAATACAAAAAATTAGCCGGGCTGGTGGCGGGCGCCTGTAGTCCTACCTACTTGGGAGGCTGAGGCAGGAGAAGGGCGTGAACCCACGAGGCGAAGCTTACAGTGAGCTGAGATCGCACCACTGCACTCAAGCCTGGGCGACAGAGCGAGACTCCATCTCATAAAACAAAAAAAGAACTCCTACAAAGCACTAAGAAAGAAAATGCAACAGAAAAATGAGCAAAAACTTGCACAAAAACTTCAAGAGAAGGTTTCGAAAAGCACAAGACAAGTATTCGAAAGAGATATTCAACAGTCTTCAGTGAACTGAAAATCATACCAGAGGATCCCACCATGCATCCACTAAAAATCAAATTAAAATGACTAACACCACCAGTTATGAGCAAGGATGTGGAGCAAATGAAACTCCTATTTGCAGGTGGGAGTGTAATTGGGTACAATCACGTCAGAAAAAGGACTGGCAGTGTTCACTAAAATAGAAACATACCCAGACCCTGTGACCTACCCATTCCAATCCTGGATGTACCCTCAATAGAAATGCAATCATGTGTACAACAAATGTGTAACAGTGTTCCCAGCAGCAATCATGACCCAAAACTAGAAAAGATGCAAATGTCCATCAAACATAGAATGGATGAATTATTTGTATTTTTACAATGCTCTGTAACAGTGAGTCAATGAACTACTGTCACACCACCTGTGAGTGACTCTCACAAACATAATGTTGCATAAAATAAGCTGACATAAAACAGTATATATTGTAGAAATTCATTTATTTAAAAAAAAATTCAAACATTTGCAAAAATAACATTTGGTGCTAGGATTCTGATTACCTTTAGGTGGTGGTGGTAGTGGTCGGGGGTGGGTTATGGCTGGGAGAGGACCCTAGGGGAGATTCTTGGGTTGTGGTGATGTTTTGTTTCCTAGTCTGGATGGTAGTTTCATGGATGTGTTCACTTTGAAAATATTCATGGTAATAAACACTTAGGATTTTTGTACTTTTCTGTTTATATTACACTTGAATTAAGAAGCTTATTTTAAAATAAGTGGCTTATCATTTGCACACTGTTCAATTCAAAACAGACTTCAAAAAGGTGACTGTCCAAAGCTTCCTCCCACTTTAGTCTCCATGAACAACTCCAGGTGCGCGTTCTGAGGGTGTGGATTGTTACAGTGAGGGGAGGGGGTGCAATGTGCTATGAGACTAGAAAAGGCACCATATCTTGGGCAGGGGCTCGTCTTTTTAGAGTCTTTCCTCAGATTCTGCTTTGAACCCCAAGCTCTGCCTGCTGTCATGGTACTGTAAACACTGCCCTAACTTCTGTGAGTCAGATTTTCTGATGCCTTCTCAGTAGGATACTTTGGTGCACTAGGGGATCCAAGGCTCTTGGGGAGGATCCCCATGTTAGTATCACATTCCATAGTCCAGCATCTGGGAGGAAGAGCCTGCCGGCTTCTCTCCCCTGCACATACACACCCTCTGTCCTGGTTAACTCACACTAGAGAACAGCTTCCCACCTGGCCATACTGAAAGAACAGAAACATAGTTTCAATTACCTTTGTCAGAGAGAACAGGAGAGGTGAGGGAATGGAAACCAACTCCCAGAGAATGGTGGGAAGGCAGACACTCAGGGGCACGAATGACTGTGGGTAGAATTCATATGTATGGAGTGTCCCTGTGACTGGCTCTGTGCTTTTATTTTTTTATTTGTTTTTTGTTGTTGTTCTGAGATGGGATCTCGCTCTGTTACCTAGGCTGGAATGCAGTGATATGATCACAGCTCACTGCAGCCTCGAACTTCCAGGCTCAAAGGACCCTCCCACTTCAGCCTCCTGAGTAGCTAGGACACCTAGCTAATCTGTTATTTTAATTCTATGTAGAGATGGGAGTCTCCCAGTGTTGCCCAGGCTGGTCTCGAACTCCTGGACTCAAGTGATCCTGCCATCTATGCTTTCAATAACAACATTCAGTGTGTGTTTTACTAGATATGGTGTTGAGTCCTTTCCGTTGTAAGAAAAAAAAATTGTGGTAAAATACACGTAACATAAATTTACCATTGGAAGCCTTTTTAAGAATACAGCTTAGTGACACTAAGTACATTCACACTGCTGTGCTACCATCATGACCATCCATCTCCAGAACTCTTTTCACTTTGTAAAACTGAACCTCTGTCCTAATTAAACACTAACCCCCTTCCCTCTCCTTCTAGCCCCTGGCAACCACCATTCTACTTTCTGTCTCCATGAATTTGACTATTCTGAGTACCTCATGTCAGTGGAACCACACAGGATCTGTGCTATTCTATCTGGCTTCCTTCATTTAGCATAATGACCTCAAGGTTCAAGGTTCATCCATGTTATAGCATGTGTCAGAATTTCCTTCCTTTTCAAGGCAAAATAATATTCCATTCTATGTATACACCACATTTTGTTGATCCATTCATCTGCCAATGGACTCCTGGGTTGCTTCCACCCCTTGACTATTGTGAATCATGCTGCATGAACATGAATGTACAGATATTTCCTTGAGCCCCTGCTTTTACTTCCCTTGGGCATATGCCCAGAAGTGAAACCACGCCTAGATTCCACGGCAATTCTATTTTCAATTTTTTGAGGAACTGTCATACTGTTTTCCGACGGGCTGCACCATTTACATTCCCACCTAAAGTGCACAAGGGTTCCAATTCTGCCACATCCTCACAGACACTTATTTTCTGTTTTGTTTTGTTTTGTAATAGCCGGCCTAATAGATATGAGGTGGTATCTTGTGATTTCGACTTGCAATTCTCTAACGATTTGTGATGCTGAGCATGTTTTTCTGTGTTTACTGGCCATGTGTCTATCTTCTGTGGAGAAATGTTTATTCAAGCCCTTTGTTCGTTTGTTAATCAGGTGGCTTCTTTTTATGTTAAATTCTAAGAATTCTTCACACATTCTGGCTATTAACCCTTTATCAGATGTATGAATTACAAAGATTTCCGTCCATTCCTTGGGTTGCCTTTTCACTGCTGACTGTGTCCTTTGAGGAAGTTTTTATATTAGATGAAGTCCAACTTACCTATCTTTTCCTGTTGCTGCCTGTGCCTTTGGTGTCACATCCAAGAAGTCACTACCAAATCCAATGTCATGAAGTTGTGCACCTGTTTTCTTCTGAGTTTTATGGTCTCAGCTCTTATGTTCAGGTCTTTGATCTATTTTGAGTTGATTTTTGTATTCTCTTGTGTTGTTTTTATATTGTTTTCAGTTTTTCCAACACCATTTGAAGAAACTATCCTTTCCCCACTGAATGACCTTGAAATCCTTGTCAAAAAATCATTTGCCCATATATGTCAGGGTTTACTTGGGGGCTGTCTACTCAATTCCTTTCGTCTGTATGTCTGTCTTTATGCAACTACTACATTGTTTTGATGACTACAGCTTTGTAGCTAGTTTTGAAATTAGGAAGTGTGAGATCGCCAACTTTGTCCTTCTTTTTAAGATTGCTATTACTATTCAGGGTCCCTTGAGATTGCACAAGAATTTTAGGACGAATTTTCCTATTTCTACAAAAAGCATCATTGGGATTTTGATAGGGATTGCAATGAATCTGTAGATTGCTTTGGATATGACATAGTTTGGCTATGTCCCACGCCAAATCTTGCCCTCAACTGCAATAATCCTCACGTCAAGGGTGGGGCCAGGTAGCGATAACTGTATCATGGGGGTGGTTCCCCCACACTGTTCTTGTGGTAGTGAATAAATCTCATGAGATCTGATGGTTTTATAAATGAGAGTTCCCCTGCACAAGCTCTCTTGCCTGCTGCCATGTAAAACATGACTTTGCTCTTCCTTCATCTTCAACCATGATTGTCAGGCCTCCCCAGCCATGTGGAACTGTGAGTCCATTAAACCTCTTTCCTTTGTAAATTACCCAGTCTCGAGTATGTCTGTATTAGCAGCATGAGAATGGACTAATATAGGTAGTATTGACATCTTAACAATATTGTCTTCTAATCTAAAAACATTCCATGTCTTTCCATTTACTGGTGTCTTCTTTAATTTCTCTCAGCAATGTTCGGTAGTTTTCTGTGTACAATTTTTTTGCTTCCTTGGTTAATGGAATTTTTTTCTTAACTCCCCTTCCAGATTGCTCACTGTTAGTGTATAGAAATGCAACTGATATTTGTGTGTTGATTTTGGATCCTGCAACTTTACTGAATTCATGTATTAGTTATAACAGCTTTGTGTGTTTCGTGTGAAGTCTTTAAGGCCTTCTACATATTGCATAAGACCATGACATGTGAAAAGAGAGAAAATTTCACCTCTTCCTTTCCAATTTGGATGCCTCTGATTTCTTTTTCTTGCCAAATTGTTCTGGCTAGAATTTCTAGTACTATGTTAAATAGAAGTGGTGAAAGGGGGCATCCTTGTCTTGTTTCTGATCTTAAGAGGAAAAGCCTTTGCAATTTTTCACCACTGGGTATGCTGTTGGCTGGTGGCTTTGCCTGTATGGTCTTTATTATGTTGCGGTATTAAACTCTTTCTTTTCTAACTGTCAAAGCAATATTTATTTATTTATTTATTTATTTATTTTGAGACAGAGTCTCGCTCTGTTGCCCAGGTTGGAGTGCAGTGGCATGATCTCGGCTCACTGCAACCTCTGCCTCCTGGGTTTAAGTGATTCTCCTGCCTCAGCCTCCTGAGTAGCTGGGATTACAGGGGTCTGCCACCACGACAGGCAATTTTTGTATTTTTAGTAGAGATGGGGTTGCACCATGTTGGCCAGGATGGTCTTGAACTCCTGACCTCAAGTGATCCACCTGCCTTGGCCTCCCAAAGCACTGGAATTTGCTGGCGTGAGCCACTGCACCCGGCCAGCAGTTTTTATTTAAAAAGCAGCAAGAGCAGTGACTCACGCCTGTAATCCCAGCACTTTCGGAGGCCAAGGAGGGAGGACTGCCCGAGCTCAGGAGTTTAAGACCAGTCTGGGCAACACAATGAGACCCTGTCTCTAATTAAAAATTTAAAAATTAGCTGGGTGTGGTGGTGTGTGCCTGAGGTCCCAGCTACTCGGGAGACCAAGGTGGGAGGACCGCTTGAGCCCAGGAGGTTGAGGCTGCAGTGAGCTGAGATTGCAGCACTGCACTCCACGCTAGGCAACAGACAGAGGTGCTACCTCAAAAAAACAAAAAAAAAGGCACATTATTCCCATTGTCCAGATAAGGAAATCAAGGCTTAGAGAGATCAAGCAGTCTGCTCAGGGTAACACAGAGACAGTTAAGTGGTAGAGGCAGAATTCCGATGCAAGTCTGGGTAATTCTTAAGTGCTTAATTTCGGCCCCTATCTACGCCTTTGCTATTTAAGATGTGGCCTGAGGACCAGAAGCAACTGCACCACCTGGGGGGTTGTTAGAAACACAAAATCGCAGGATCCACCAAAAACCATGGAATCAGAATCTGCATTTAAACAAGGTCCCTGGCCGGGCGTGATGGCTCACGCCTGTAACCCCAGCACTTTGAGAGCCCAAGGCGGGTGGATCACCTGAGATCAGGAGTTTGAGACCAGCCTGGCCAACATGGAGAAACGCCATCTCTACTAAAAATACAAAAATTAGTCAGGCGTGGTGGCATGTGCCTATAATCCCAGCTACTCGGGAGGCTGAGGCAGGAGAATTGCTTGAACCCAGGAGGCGGAGGGTACGGTGAGCAGAGATCGTGCCACTGCACTCCAGCCTGGGCAACAAGAGTGATTCTCCGTCTCAAAAAATAAAAATAAAATAAATGAGATCCCCAGGAGATTCCGGCGCACACTGGAGTTCGAGCAGCCGTGCGTTATGCCAGTGGTCCTCAACTTTGATGTAGGTCAGAACCACCAAGAAGGCTAATAAAGAACACAGAGGCCCAGGATGGAGGAAGCAGAATATGACCTGCATTTGTATTTTTACCAAGTTCCCCAGGTGATCCTGATAGCAAACACAGTCTGAGAACCACGGTGCTACACCAATGTGGAAATGGCCTCTAGCTTTCAGGACTGAGAGTGCCACTAGGCTAAGCTAGGGCTGGGAATAGATTTCTGACAAAATTGTCCCCAGCACTGATTGTCTCTGGGGCATGGAGTGCAAAGAGGCAAAGAGCCCTCTGTCACAGGAAGGGGGCAACCAGGGGTAAGACCTTCACTTCCAAGACTGAGATCAGGAAGGAAGTCTGCTCAGAAGCCACATGGGGTCTCTCCAACCCTGAAAGGCCAGATTCTATCTAGAACTTGGCTTTTAGAAGGGATCCTAGACATATCCCAAGTCTCTAAGACAAAAGCCTGGGCCTCAGTCTCCCTCCAGCATCCCTGAGAGCAGGTGTGGAGCATGCTACAGCCACCAGCCCACTGTGACCCTGAGGTTAGTGGGAGACAGGAAGTGACAATGCTGCCACCCCACACATCTGCAGCACCAGCTTTTGGTCCTGGAGCCCCCACGTGTTATCAAGAGTGTGGTCTTTTTGAGGTACTGACTTGGCTAGGCAATCAGCCACTCTTCCAGACGTTGCTGTGAAAGTCTTCTGTCCATGTCATTAAAGTCCATAATGAGTTGACTTTTAGAAAGGAGATCATCCCAGACAATCTGTCTGGGTCTGGATCAATTTGTCAGGAGACCTTAAAAGTAGAGCCAAGGCTTCCTTCAGGAAGAAGAAATTCTGCCTGTGGACTGCAGCTGCAGCCATGCCTGGGAGTTCCAGCCTGCCCTTCCCCATGGCCTGCCCTGCGGGCTTCAGGCTTGCCTGGCCAGGTCCCAAAACCACGTGTGCAGATTCCTCACAATGTATCTCCTCATATCCATCCCTTACTGCTTCTCTGGCTCAACCTGACTAATAGACCAAGCCTTTCTCCTATCCATCCCCTACTGTTTCAGTGCACCACTGAAACTATTCCACCTCCATAGAGACTCCGCAGGTTGATGTCCTATCAGCCAGCTATGAGACCTGGAGCTAGTGGCTTAACTACTCTGAGCCTCTTTCCTCAAACAGCAAGAGTCTAGACTAATTGATGCACAGAAGGAACCCTCATGGTGGAAAAACATTCAGCACCTGCATTAGCTTTTGAAGCGCTATCTCCAGTAGCAGCAGATGTTCTTTGGAGGGTAGATTTGACTCATCTTAAGTAGATTGTGAAGCGAGTTTCTGAAGACAACCTTCATGCCATGAAAACGCTAGCCTGGTCATCTCTCTGTAGAGACTCTATGAGGAGCCTCTGGTGCACGGGCCTCCACCCCATGCCGCACCCTCCAAGGTCAACTATGGAAAGCACATATCCCTTCCTGTCAGCCCTCCAACAAAGACCTGCCAGGGCTTCTCCCAAGCCATCTACACAGGTCAAGCTGGCCTCTGCCACCTCTTCTACCTCACCCCCTAGCTCCTCCATCAAGCCAGATCAAACAATTCCATTCCCAGACCAGCCACGCTGCTTCCTCTGTCCACGCTTCAGTTATATATACACGCTTGTTTGCCTGGAACGCCCGTCTTCCCCCTCTCTCGCAGAAATGTATATTCATCCTTCGAGATGAAAGATCAACCCTCACTCCCTCCTGGACAACCCACTGGACTGATGAGTCCGCCCTCCCCAGGGTGCACTCTTCGTCTCCCTTGACATTCACAGTATGCGGCCACCAAGACGCCACCCTTTCCTGCAGTGGCTGATTCTCGAACTGAAGGTCAGGGGCTCTCTTTCCAGCCTCGCATTAACCCATGCCAAACATGCCTGTCTGCCACCATTCTGTTTTTCAACATAATCACTTTTAGATGAACAATGAATACAAATCCAACAACGGACAAAACACAGTGTACCCCACACGTGAGGCTCAGGAGGTAACTGGTGGTCTCTCCCTGCAGCCCCCCACTCGCTGACCCCCCGAGACCAGCACATGGCAAATGACGTGGACTTTCTTGTAATGAGGGTTTCTTATGAGATGGTAACAGCCACCACTGCTAGGAGTCCTCCCACCATCCAGGGTGGCATGCCATCACCCTTTCCTCTGCAGATGTATGAACTGATTGAAGGAGATTAAGCGATTTGCCCAAGAAAGGAGATTAGTTCACAGCAGCCCTAGACTGTATGGAAATGCAATTCTTTGCAGTATGCTCTGCTGCGATACAGGAGACCCCTGCTATGACTCTGGAAGACTTAGAAAACGTCTCCATGACATGTACATTGCTCATCAATTCATCCAAGCACACCTTGTGGTATGAGAGTTAAATTAGCATGTCCGTATGTGCCTAGCAGCACACATGGTAAAAGTAAGTCTGGGAAATGACAGGTTAAAAGAAATTTAAATTGTTCCTTTTCTTGCAGGACTTCTGAAGGCCTTTTATATGGTGCTTTGGGAGTGTCCAAGACGGGCAGTACACACAGCACTTCCCAACCTAATGTGACCGGGGACTATTATATTCAAGAACATCCGCTGGGAATCCTCAGAATATAGTTTGAGAATGCCAGCTTGCACACTAATGTCATTAATTAGAATTGGACATAATTAATTAGAGCTGAATATCATTAATCAAAAGTTACATACAGAAATGGCTAACTTCTCTTTCATCACACTAATTATGTTGGGCTCACAGTTCCTCGTGCTACTTTCTTAACCCATTTTCCATCTTTTAAAAAAAAGGGTGTTGATGAATTTTTTTCTCTTCTAAAGTACAACTTAAAACAAAAAAGAACTGGGTGTCAGAGCAGGAGCTTCCAATTTGAAAGCACACACCAAGTCTGCAAGCAAATAGTAACAGCCAGCTCCTTGTCCTCTCTTTGCCTCTTCCAGGGAAGGAAACCAGCAAGATGGGAAAACTCACATGTGCTACACATCCCCTCTTCATTATGTGGTTCATTCTCACAATCTACCCGCCCCCAACTCATGAGTCTCCACTTTGCAGATGGGAAGGTGAGCTTCTGAACATTTCTAAAGTCTAGAGGCAGTGGCTCATGCCTGTAATCCCAGCACTGCGGGAGGCCCACGTGGGAGGACCACTTGAGGCCAGGAGTTCGAGACCAGTCTGAACAATATGGTGAAATGCCCTCTCTACAAAAGATTTTAAAATTAGCTGGGCATGGTGGCACTCACCTGTAGTCCTAGCTACTCAGGGGGCTGAGGTGGGAAGATTGCTTGAGCCCAGTTCAAGGCTGCAGTGAGTTATGATCATGCCACTGCACTCCAGCCTGGGTGACAGAGTGAGACCCTGTCTCAAAAAAAATAAATAAATAAAAATAAAAATAAGAAACTAGAGCTATGTGATGACTACACACTTCTTGAGCATCCACTGTACATGAGGCACTGGGCTGGGCACTGGAGGATATGGGACAAGCAGGCCTGCAAATCCACAGAGACAGAAGCCAGGCAGGAGGGCTGTGGACTCAGATGTCCACCTAAGGTCCCAAAAAGTGAAGCCCATGAGCCTCGTCTGTGAAGATAAAGAGAAGCACCTGAGAGAGGAATCAGCCACACAGGCAGGGCCAGAAGGAGCCTCCCATGTGAAGGCAGCAGTTCAAGAGGCAGAGCCAGGTCAATGTGCAAAGCCTGGCTCATTCAGAAATCCTACTCATTTCACACAGGGAATGATGGCTTACACTTGTAATCCTAGCATTCTAGGGGCCAAGGAGTTCAAGACCAGCCTGGTCAACATGGCAAAATCCCACCTCTATAAAAACAATACATAAAAATAAGCTGGGTGTGGTGGCACATGCCTGTAGTCCCTGCTACTCAGGAGGCCAAGGAGGGAGGGTTGATTGAGCCCTGGAGGTCAGGGTTGCAGTGCGCCATGATCAGACCACTGCACTCCAGCCTGGGCAATAGAGCAAGACCCTGTCTCTAAATAAATCAATAAATCCCACCCATTTCAATGAAGAGACAAACAGAAGCACCTGTACAAGGGTGAGGCCAGGTAGTCAGCCAAGGTGGAGGATGAACCAGCAAGACGGGAGCAAGACGGCTGCATCAGAGGGACCCACAGCACAGAACACTGGGGTCCGTGTGCCTACATCCAGGGGTTTACCACAACTTCTTTTCTCCTCAACTTTGCAAATACATAGAAGTATAGAAAACAATGTAGCAAACCTCCATTCAGGCTTAACCATCGCTGTCAGTCCCATCCCCTCAAAGTCCCCCTTCTCAGGATCACTATCATTCACTATGCAGAACAAACTCTGATATCTTCTGTTCTAATCTGGTTCATATTTTTAGAAAACGCTGGTTGTGACCCACTTGTGATGGTTAATTTTATGTATCAACCTGACTGGGCCACAAGGTGCCCATGCGTCTGGTTAAACACTGTTTCTGGATAGTCTGTGAGGTGTTTCTGGAAGCGGTTACCATTGGAATTGGCAGACTGAGTAAAGCAGACGGCCCTCCTCAGTGTAGGTGGGCATCGTCCACTCCAGTGAGGACCTGCATAGAACAAAACAGCAGAGGAGGGTTGAATTCACTCTCTGCCTGACTGCTTGACTGGGACATTGGTCTTCTCTGCCCTCCATGCTGCTGGTTCTCAGGCCTTTCGGCCTGGACTGGAATCTGCACCAGTTCTCTGCTTTCCAGGCCTTTGCACTACAATACTGGCTTCCCTGGGTCTCCAGCTTGCAGATGGCAGATTGTGAGACTTCCCAGATGCCATATCATGCAAGCCAATACCTTATATCAATTGACCAATCAATCGATTGATCGATACATAAACTCTAAGATAAACTGATCCTATTGGTTCTGTTTTTGAGAGAACTGACTAATACAACACTGAATCCCTTTCATGAGCAGAATTGCTGGGTCATGGGGGATCCACATTTCAACCTTACTAGATAACACCTAATTGTTCTCTAAAGGGGTTTACTAACTTGCCCTTGATAAACAGGACATGAAGGCCCCCTTGCTTCACACTCTGGGCAACCCTTCGATTATCAGACTTTCTAATTTGCCAACATCTCATGGTCTCCCAGGCAGTTCCCAGATTAGGAGCAAGGCAGAGTTCATTTGTCTATTTGACATTTTCATTTTTTCTTCTTCATAGTATTTGCTCATTTTTCAATTCTATTGTCTTTTTAAAATTAATTTGAAAGAGTTCTTGATACAAACAGAATACAAATCTCTCACAGTAAATTCATCATGAATATTTATTCCAGCCTGTAGTTCTCTTAAAGAAGTTGCTAATACTGATGTTTGATTAATCCATCTTTTCTTTTATGATGTGTGTATGTTTCCCACCTCAAGAGCAGATAGAAAAAATCTTCTATGTATTTTAACATTTTTGTCTTTACATTTTGGCCTTTTTTTTTTTCTTTTTTTTTGAGATGGAGTCTCATTCTGTCACCCAGGCTGGAGTGCAGTGGCATGATCTCGCTCACTGCAACCTCCGCCCCCCAGGTTCAAGCAATTCTCCTGCCTCAGCCTCCCGAGTAGCTGGGATTATAGATGTCCGCCACCACACCCAGCTAATTTTTTATATTTTTAGTAGAGATGGGGTTTTGCCATGTTGGCCAGGCTCGTCTCGAACTCCCGACCTCAGGTGATCTGCCCACCTCGGCCTCCCAAAATGCTGGGATTACAGGTGTGAACCACCGTGCCCGGCATAGGCCTTTAATTCTATGGCCGTTTACTGGTACATGTGCTGTGAGGTAGGGATCTCACTTTATCTTTTCTCTTTTCCTATGTGGCCAACCAGCTGTCCTGCATCACATCCCACCTGGTCCATAACACACGTCTGCCACCTCCTGGCTTCCTATACATATGAGCACTTGCTCCTAGCCTTGCTACCCTGTCCCAGCCATTGCCGTGTCTCTCCCTGCACAAATGTCACACAGTCTTCATCATCCTGGCTCTCCATCAGGAACCTCACTGCTTGGGGGTCTCATGGCCTCCTCCCTTAGTGCTCTGGCTTTGTGTTTTCTCTTCATGTCTCATAGCTTGGAATTTCCATGCCTTTCTTTGGATCTTAGGTTTTAAAGAACACTTTGGGCTAGGTTTTACACAGCATTTATATGCATCCATACGGGGGTACATGCTAGTATCACATCAGCCCGTCATTTTCAGGACGTGATGTCTTCTAACTTAATATATGTTCTGAGACTTGCCGTGATTTAAATACAGCTTATTAATCTTTTCTGTGTTCCTTCAGGATAATCGCTGATTTTATATATTTCATTATGCACACATTTTATAGATCGAGGGCCTATAGGACGGTTATCATAGGATATAGTGAGGCCTAGAATTTAATTCTCAAAAAAAAAAAAAAAAGAAAAAGAAGAATAAGAAAAGAGCCTCAAACTTTTCCTGTAAGTGGAAGCACATTCACAAATTATCCTATGAAAAGACATCAGGCACATCACAGGGATTAGTATTCTGAAGCTACAGAATGATTCCATTCGCAGCAGAAAAATAAATAAACCCCGGCCCTTTCTTCTCTTTACAGATCTCCTCACAGAGACTCATTCTGGCATAATTGGCATTTAAAAATATCCATCTCCTTGCCGCCTTTCTCTCTGAGAAGGAATATGCTTTTCTGCTGGGAAGCTGCAGAGAATTGTGATGAGTATATTCACTTACATGATAGGCCTATTACACTGCAGATGGGTGAGAGCAATTGGGAAGAGAGCCCAGCACCTTCTCTATTGCAATTGATTTTGATCGTCTAATAGTATTTCAGGATACATAAAAATTCCAGTAGGTCTTTTCTAGACTCAGAAGAAAAAAATACCTTATACCTTACAGGCATAAATAGAACCACCCTATGACTCTAACAGAATGTAATGACACCCCAGGTTCCATAAGGAAAACGTCAAGAAGCCAATTTCACCGTGGACAGTCCCTAGAGGGTGGATGGGCTGAGGCAGCTGCTTAACCCTGGGCTCCCAGAAGACTGGAATTTTATGGAATCATGAGCTGTGTCTCCATAAGTAACATCTCCCTTCATAAGCTGTCCTTACTGCTGGTGATAATCAAAATCTCCAGCATTTTCAGAGCTGAGAGTGGATGATGTATCTAATGTCATTACGGCTGAAGTATGTTTACAACCCTAAGTAGAAAGTTAAATAGAGCAGAAAAGGCCTGTTGAGAGCACAAAAGTACATTCACAAACTTTGAAAACTGACAACTGAGAAAAATTTCAGTAAACACTCCAGCTTATGTCCAAACCCATTAATAATCACGCAGCTCTTCTACGTTTCACCCTGTTTCATGGACGAGGGCTGATTGTCCTGCATCTCTTAAATGCCTTGTGAATGTGCTCCCTCCACGGAGAGCCACCGTGTAATTCATCCAGGACATTTGTGACAAGAATGCTCCCCAACTGGATGCAAGGGAATTCCTGCCTCATCAGCAGAACAGGGATGGTGAGTGGTTACCACAATGTGGGAAAGATGCAGGGCAGAAAGTGAAATCAATAAAGCTGCCTTGCTTTACAAATAATGGCTTTTTGGGTGGCTTCAAATAGCCACACTTGTGGCCTTGTGCTGCCCTGGAAGAAAAACTGTGATTCTGAACCTGAGTCTTGACACTCCAGAATCCCGTCCTCACCCCTGCTGGTCTTCATCCGTCCCCTCACAACTGGCACAGAGATTCCACACTGGGACACACAAAGTGTTCCTTGCCTTGGTCAGGCAGGGGGGGTGTTCCCAAGGCCACCGCTGCCTTGCATGTAACACTCTGAACTGCCTCCCTGTCCAAGCTTACCACATGCTCCTTCCCAAGAATACATAAGAACCCCCAGAATCCATCAGAAGCTCAGGCCTGCTCTGGGCATCAGGACATGAAGACCATCCCTGGCTCTGCTTCTTTAACTCCAGCAACAATGCCCTCTGCTCCTCGTTCTCCAAACACGCCCCACCCTGTACACCAGTTTCCCTACAAAGCCGCTGCCTTGTGTGTCTCCAGCCACAGAAGAAGACAGCCAATTCATCTGCAGTGCAGAACCTGTCCCTTGCAAGTCTCCCCTGTGTGGAACACTCGGCTGGCACCAGGGCTCTGTTCCTACCAGTCCTACAGGGCAAGGGCAAGCCAGATGCTGACCATGGGGCAGTGTCTTCAGGGCTGCAATACTGCTCCATGCACAGGGAGGGAGGATGGACCACGCTCCATCCCTGGCAAGATGAGGAGGCCTCTTTTTATCAAAGTTAGATTTCTTCTGCTCAGCTTCCTGGTATCTCACAATGGCTGGTCCCTTCTCAAAGTAGACCAGCCACTGCCCACACTGGAGAGTGAAAGGTTCGAGTGCTACCTATTATTGCCGATATACATGTGTCTACTTTCGCTGTAACTAGGAACCTAGGTAGGGGTTACACAAATCAATGACTGAGTCTGGTGAGGACCATGGTTTACAGAAACACCAGTATAATGAGGAGAGGACAGATGGGGAGTGCGTGTCTTGCTGTGTTGTCATTGGGTGGTGGGCAGGTCGGTTCCGGGCAAGGTAAGTGCCAGAAGCGTCCCCAGTGTCCATCCACTCCTTGGCTGTGACTCAAACCCCAGCTTCAAACTCCCCAAGCTCACACACACAGGATCCCAGAAAACAAAGAGCCACGGCAGTTGCCAGCTCTGCCTGCAATGTAGCATTTTCCCTCCAGTGAAACGGTCCGCTCCCCACATGGCAAAAGCAAAACCTCATTCCATGCAACGCTGCCTTGTATTTCTTACCTAAAATGAGTGGTTTGGTAATGTCCCGAAAAATCTCCTGGTGATCAAATCTTTCTGGAATAAAGCAGAAGAAAACAGAGAAAATTACTTTCACTTCAGCAATGATACAGGTGCGCACATAGAGCTCCTTCAAGTATAAAAATGTAAATATGAGGCTTTGAATCACCTGTAAAAGTGGACAGATTATAATTCTAATGAGATAATCAGAAATTACCCTAAACAAATAATTAAAATGTTTCTTTAGCCATTCATCGCATAATTATTGCCTTAAGAACAATGTGTTGGGCAAATAAAGAGATGGCTTATGTACCATTCTGAAAGGAGAGACTCTCTGCATTTTAATGAGGCTCCTCAAAGCCCTCATGAATATGTATTTTCCCACAACAAAGCTTGACCCCACGGGTTTGCAGAGCTGGTGCTTCACGACACTTTCAGACTGCGGAGGGTGTGCATATGGGGGTGGGCGGGGAGAGGACTGCGATGAAAGTGAAGAGAGGAAGGAGGACCACCTCTCCTTTCCAATGCCCAGGGTCTCAGCCCACCTTCTCCTGGGCAAGATGGTTTCATGAAAAGAATGAGAAAGAGGCCACCAGGTCTCAGACTTCCCTGAATAGAGGAAGCTCTGCACAGGAAGGCTGAAGAGGAAGCTACTGCCAGCAGGCTCGGGGGTTTCAAGGCCAGGCCCTTGGGTTGGATCAGGAATTCAGGGCAAGGGCATTAGAAGGCTACGGGCAGGAAGCTGGGGTGGAACAGGAGGAGGGGTGTTCAATTGTCTGCAACATCACATCTGAATTCTGCCTCTCCCTCCATGTTGGCTACAGACAAAGTTACAAAGGGCTTTCTGTGTTCCTTTCAAAAAGGATAGTAATACAGCCTCCTCCCGGGGGCATCAGCTGTTGAGCCGGGCCAGGCTGCGAGCCCTTCACGAATGGCTGCGCTGCTGGACAGGGCACCTGCAATCTGGTCCTGGGGTCTGCAGTCGTAGGGAAGAGCCCCATTCACTGGGGAAGGAAACAGGACACAGGCAACACAGTGGCTTCGACTTCATCACAAAGGTTTAGTCTACTCAGCGTCTTCACTTCTCTAAGAAAGCGGCCAGTTGCTCTCACTTCCTAGGTAGACACCCCTAGCAGAGGGTTATAATTACGAAATTTCCTCCACCCAAAATGGCCCAGGGAAGATACTTCTGGTCCCCATGTAAAGGAGATGACCCAACGTCTCTGAGGAGGCTAAAGATGTTTCCATGTTGAACAAGCTACCCGTTAAGGGAGCTGCAGAGCCGTAACCTGCTTGCCTCTGCTCAGGGGAAACTGGCTGTTTGCACCGTTGTTCCATTTCTTTCCCAGGCTATGGTGCTTCTGTGGCTTTTCACGGCCTGTTCTGTGAAGCAACATGGTGCTTCACAGATCCTGGCCCTTTGCAAGGAGGCCTCTTTATCACACCCAAAGTGAGCACCACACAAAAAGCATGTCAATCACACACACGCTTTCCGCAGTGGAGTCAGCATGGGCTGCTTGCTTCCTGTGTGAACGTCAGAAAATCCCTTCACACCATCTCTGTCAGTTTCATCGTGTATAAAACTGGCCAATAACTACTTCAAAGGTGGCTGGGAAGGTGAATTGCAAGGGAACCTCTAGAATGTTGCCTGGAATCACATTAGCATCAAATAGTATTCCCTTCTTCACTCCTAAGCTCGCCATCTGCGGTCCTCCAAAAATAAGTAATTTCTGGGTGAGTTCATGAACTAAAGGTTAGTCCAGCAGCAAGAATCCTCCACTGGGAGTCCAGCAATGCGGCCTCAGTTCCTCACTCTGTTACAGGTTGGCTCTGTGACCCCAAGTGGATCAGTGAGAAAGTCAGGCCTGCCAGCCCCTGTCCTCTCCAGGCACCCTAAACTCCGGCTCTGGGCAGCTGTCACTTGACCAAGCCCTGCAGTCCAGCTTTTCCCACTTGCTCCTGGCCCAGAAGCGCCTCAGGAAACCCGGAGCCTGTCTCAGGACTGTTTCCCAGCCCTAGGAGACCTGCCCATCGCCCACCGCCTCCTTCCCAGAGTCTGCGAGTCTCCAGAAAGCCCAGAGCTCATCCATGTGCATCCCCCAGAAGCCCCACAGGCTTCACACTGACTTCCGACAAAGGCACAGAATCATCACACCGCCCAGGAGCAATAGCAGCACTGCACCTTATGTAAGGCCTTTCCATAAGAGGAAGCAGGCCCATGTCTTCACTCCATTTAGAACGGGTTTTGAGTGTCTATTTATAGGCATCACACACCCAGCCTTTGCGGAGGGTGGAGGAATCAGGCCTCTGGGCCCCTGTCCACCACCCTCATTTGCATTCTTTTCATGTTTCTTTTCTCTCATTTCCCAGCAGCATTTTCGCTCAAAAGCCAGGTCACCTACCACTTGGACCCAGCACCACTTTTCATTTTCTGCAGAGAAAAATATTCATTTTCGTTTCCATGCAGGAGTGTCCTGTCCTTGCCCTCTCCAGGGCCCCTGGCTAGCATTCACTAAAGCACGGCTGTGTGATTCGAGTGACCTATGTCTCCTGGACAGAGGGCTCCCCTGAAAGTCATGCCCAGCAAGGTCACGAGAGCCGGGAAGTCCCTGGGGGCAGCTGACTCTGAGTCGTAAGTGAGCCAGGCATATTTGGGGGGCGGGCTCCATCCCAGCAGGCAGAAGGAACACAGAGGATCAGACATGGCTTGGAAACCCTAGGCTTTTCCCACTGCCTGGCCATTCCTGCATCTGCCAAGCACATCACTCCATCCTCTTCCTGCCCCTCCAGGGGCAGTGAGGACCAGGCCACTTCCCCAGTCCCCCTCGGCTGTTTGTGATCAGACAGAAAGGCTGGGACCTGCTCTTTTCTCACCATTTTTGGAACAATTAAATCCTTCTCAATCTTCAGGCCGTAAATTAAGTACACAGGTCTCCCCATGATATCAAAACACTCTGCTCTCCAAGTGTAGCCATTCACAGGTCTTTATTTTTGTTTGGAGGATTGGGAGCTGGTTTATTCTGCAGCCCTGCAGCCCAGAGGGACACACAAATACAAGGCCAAAGAGTCTCAGGGGCTCCCTTCTTCTCCAGGGTGCAGGGCCTTCCTGAGCCCCCAGCCCTGGGAGCCAGTCCAGAAGGAGAGGCAGGCCTTGCCTAGACTAGCCCAGAATCCACAGCAGAACTCAGCCACAGAGAACACGTCCAGTACACAGCCTCAGCTGCCTGACTTCAAACACCACGCACGAGGTTTGCTTCTCTCATGAATATTTTGCTGAGGCTGTCGGCATTTAGTTTCAGGACTAATTAATTTTCTCACAGGATACCACTTCAACTGCCATCATAGGCTCTGTATTATTCTACGTGCAAATTTCTGGCAGTAAATTGGACTTGTGATCTAACCAAGCCTTTGAAATGCCATGCTTCCAGGGACTCTGGAATGAGCAGAAATGCTAAATATTCCTTAAAGAAGACGATTCATACATTTCCTGATTACCTTTGATTATTATGTCACAGGAGTTGGTGAGGGGGTCCAAGATCCAGAAGCGATCCTCAGGGACCCAAGGTGACCCAAATGGCTGGGGAGGGAGCCCGAGACAGGAAGCCGCTTAGGCTAAGAGAAACTTGACGGAACCCCAATAGGGCAGCTCATGTGAGCGTCCCCTCCAAAGCAGGGGACACCAGCCCTGGAGCCAGAAAGGCACATGAGTGGAAGAATGGGTGAAGGAACCCATCTCCCTAAGCATTTTCTTAGCAAAGCTAAGGCAACACTCACAACATCACAGACTCCCAGACCTGGAAGCTGTCCCGGGAAGGCACAATCACACTCCTTCCTCTAGCTGGCCCCAGAGCTATGGCTGCATTTCCCAGAGTGAAATGGGCAACGCTGCACTTGCTAAGGGGCTGGCACTCGGCACACAGGTTTGGGAAACTCTGGTGCACTGTGCCTGGGTTGTAGAGCAAGTGGAATCTGGTGAACAATAATAACCCGAAGGCAGTGACATACTTGTTGACAGGAGGCTCTGGCCACACTGAGCAGAGGCCCTGGGATGGGTTGGAAGGGGTCTGTGCTGAGCACCATGGTCAGCAGGATGGGGGAGGCATCAGGGTGCATCAAAGACAGAGCGTCGCCCCAGTGCCAGCTCGACCTGGCTCCTCCTGGTACCAGCCTAATGGCTGCAGCCCATACTGAAAGGCAGGTATCCCCCAGACTGATCAGCGCCATCTCATGAGGGAAAGCTTGTAATGGGGGTTCACACTCACATGGCCTTCGTGGGCTGGCTGGGCTGCCAGTGAACTCACCTGCAAGGGGCGGCCTCACAGTGGGGCCGGGCAGCTGGCAGAGCTCAACACCTGGCACAAGGTGAGCTCCGGCACAAGGTGAGCTCCGGCACAAGGACGCCTCCTGCGGCCCGGCCCTGTAGCTCAGCCAAGCTGCCGCAAGAGCAAGAGGGATGCAGTGAGATGGCGGTGTCCCCACAGCTGTGGCTGGAATCCCAGAACACCCAGGATGGGACTGGGGACATGGGGGATGGATGCGCCCCCAGACCAGGAGAGACGTTTTTACTGTGGGGCTTAGGGAGTTGTCTGTTGCTTCCTGATGGGACACACAGAGATGGTGCTGAGACAGGCAGAGGAGGGCCCTTGGGGTGGATACCAAAGTGCTCTTTACAAGTAAAATGTTTAAATTCTGAATAACTGAGTCCCTAGGCTGGCTGCAATGTAAAGGACTCCAATGCCATAACTCTTATTTATAAACACGAGCATGTATTATTTTTCTCCTGGGCAAGAAGCTGAGCCTTTAGAATAGAAAGCTCAAACCTCAAGACTCTCATTTGTGCAAATGTTTTGAGAACAAACTGGATTAAAAGTTAAGTCTTCAAGAGTCTAACTTCCAGAAACAATTGTTTTGTTTGGGAAGGTGGCCTGTAAACACGGCATTAAAATTACTTAGTAATAATGTACAAATTGCTATCATGAAAATGGTCACAGAGCTCTGTTCTTGGAAACTTACCTTGAAGTCTAGTACTGACGGGCCACATGTGATGAGTAACATTCTGCCCCCATGTCCTCACTTTTTATTCCAGATTTGAATTGGGAGACTCTTCATGGGTGATTAGTTCACCCACTGGGGACCAATTCTTTCAAGGAGACCACAGGGCTCACAAAGCCAAAGGCAGAGTTGGGAGTGCAGATATAGAGTATCTCAGCCTGTTTCCAGACTCACAGATGTTATCTAAAACCAAACTGGCTTTTAGAGCTCAGAAATTTGCCCTCAGGACAAATGTTCAATATATCTGACTTTATCGCTTTTTACACATTTGCTTTTATGTAAAGTTATCTGAGGCTCACTTAAATAAACCCAGGAGCTCCTTGCAGTGGGGCTGAGCTGACTTGTTCTTTTTTTTTTTTTTTTTTAAGACGGAGTTTCCGTTGCCCAGGCTGGAGTGCAGCTCACTGCAACCTCTCCCACCCCGGGTTCAAGCAATTCTCCCGCCTCAGCCTCCCGAGTAGCTGGGATTACAGGCATATGCCACCACAACAGGTTAATTTTTGTATTTTTAGTAAAGACGCAGTTTCGCCACGTTGGCCAGGCTGGTCTTGAACTCCTGACCTCAGGTGATCCACCCGCCTCAGCCTCCCAAAGTGCCCACCGCGCCCAGCGGAGCTAACTTCTTCTGTGTAGGGTTGACACTAAACGTGCCCTCTTCCCCCTGGCCTGTAATCTTCAGTAAGTCCGTCCTTGTGCAGCCCACAGCATCAGGTAGACAGGAACACAGTTCCCCGCGCCCTTCTCAGCAGGGCTCTGACACGGCTCTCCAGTGATTCTCGATACTAAACTGACCTTGTTTTCTGCAATTCCTTCCTGGCTTTGAGAAATCAGGGAACAGTGTGACACTGAGGTATTAAGAACTGGAACTTGGTGCCAAGACAGCCCACGTCCCAGGATGGACCCTGATGCCCACTGCAGGCCAGGATGAAGGGGAAGAGAAGGTCTGCAGGCAGCTTAGCCACGTCTACGTCTGACCCCAGGGAGTGCGGAGACAAGCAGAGGGTGTACACAGCCCGCCAAGGCCGCCTCTGCTGGCTTGCCTCCTCGTCATTGTTCTCTCCTAAGCAAATGAGGCTTCTATTTTTGCTGTGAGGAGCCTGATGCCTTCCAATTCCCAGGCACCCCCTGGAGCGGGGATGGGATTTCGTTTTCCGTTCAGGCAGCTCAGGGATGGAAGCAGGGCCACCCAGGAGACCGGGAGCCAGAGTGAAGCAGCATCTGCCAATCTTCTCAGACACATCTGAGCTCCAGCTCTGGCCATGGTGACGCCTGTGCATACAGCCCCGTGTGGCCACACAGGGCCCAGCACACTAGGTTGCATTAGTCTATCTTGTGCTTACTATGACAGGCACTAACTGATTCACAGATACGAACCTGCGCATCCTCCCAGGCCCACCGTGGGGAGCCATCATCCCATTTTGCAGATGAGGACACTGAGGCATACACAGACTAAGCCTAAGGCCACACAGGAAGTGTTGAAGCTGGGATTTAACCCTGGCAATGTGGCCCCAGAATCCACACTCTTAGCTTCTACATTATGTTAGAAGGAAGAAAAGAAAAAAGATATTTATGGTACATAAACTCAACAACGGATCAGATTGATCAATAAGAAAACAGAAAAAAAGGTGCAAAAGATATGGCCAGTCATTCACAGAATACCAAATATATGAAAAAATATATATGTGAAAATAGATACATGGAAAGATGTTAGCCTCACTGGCACGCAGGGAAATGCAAATTAATACCTCATGTAGACAGCACTTTCACGCATTAGACAAAAATGTAAAATGTCTGACAACACCAAGTGCTGTCAAGAAAAAGGAGAAGAGGAAACTCATACGCTGTCAGTGGGACCACTCATGAGGACACCCACACACTTTGGAATAAAATTTAGCTGTTTCTAGTACGTTTGAAGATTACTGTACTCTCTCCCATAGCAATTCCAATCCTTGCTAAATATACTGACAAATCCAGCTCACGTTCACAGAGAGACACATACCTGAGTACTCAAGACAACCTTGTTTGTAGCAGCAAGTCACAGGAACCCAACTAAGCATCCATCAATGGAGAACGACAAATAGTCTTATGTTTGTACAATGCAATACCACACAGCAGTGAAAATGCATGAAATACAGCCACCTGTTTTCACATGGATGAATCTCACAAACATAATGTTAAGCAAAAAAGGCACACTGGATGGGCGCGGTGGCTCAGGCCTGCAATCCTAGCATTTTGGGAGGCCAAGGTAGGCGGATCACTTGAGGCCAGGAGTTCGAGACCAGCCTGGCCAACATGGCGAAACCTCGTCTCTACCAAAAATACAAAAATTAGCTGTGTGCAGTGGCGGGCGCCTGTAATCCCAGCTACTCGGGAAGCTGAGGTAGGAGAATCGCTTGAACCCAGGAGGTGGAGCTTGCCGTGAGCCGAGATCACGCCACTGCACTCCAGCCTGGGCAACAGAGCAAGACTCCATCTCAAAAAAAAAAAAAGGCACACTACAGAAAAAAATACAAGGTGATATCATTTACATAACGCTTACAGACAAAATGCAGAACTAACAGGGATAGAAATACTTATACATGTACTAGGCCATAAACAAGGATCAAACTTCAACAGTAGTTACCTCTGTGTGAAAGACAAGATGCAACTGGGGAGGGGCTCTAGCTGCAATGGTGTTATGATGCTTTAAAATACATCCACAGGCTGGGCATGGTGGCTCATGCCTGTAATCCCAGCACTTTGGGAGGCTGAGGCGGGCAGACCACTTGAGGTCAGGAATTCGAGACCAGCCTGGCCAACATAGTGAAACCCTGCCTTATTAAAAATACCCAAATTAGCCAGGTGTGGTGGTGTGTGCCTGTAAATTCCAGCTACTTGGGAGGCTGAGGCAGAAGAATCACTTGAACCTGGCAGGCGGAGGTTGCGGTGAGCTGAGATCACATCACTGCACTCCAGCCTGGGTGACAGAGTGGTGAGACTCCATCTCAAAAAAAAAAAAAAAAGAATATATATATATATATATATATATCTCTCTCCACATATTCTTTGACACTCCCTTCAAAGAGTGGAACCTAATTCCTTTCTCTTTGAGTGTGGCCTGAATTTAGTGACTTGCTTCTAGTGAACAGACATAAGCAGAAATGACAGTGTATGACTAATGAGACCAGGTCATAAAAGGCACAGCGGCTTCCTCTCTACTCTCTCTATACTCTCTCTTGAATCACTGAGGCTGGGGGAATCCGCCTGCCATGTTGTGAGGACACTCAAGCAGCTCTGTGGAAAGGTCTATATGGCAAAGAACTGAGCCCTCTTGCCAGCCAACAGCCAGGTGAAGTCGATCTTGGACGTGGATCCTCCTGCCCCAGTCAAGCCTTCAGGTGCCCCAGCTCACATCTTTCCCCTCCACTAGAACCACCCAGCTCAGCTGCTTCCATATTCCTGGCCCACAGACTATGTGTGAGATAATAAATGTTTACTGTTTTATACCACTAAGTGTTGGCATAATATGTTACACAGAAATAGGTAACCAATATGGTAGTATTCTCTACCTTTAGCAGCTTGTGGATACCTAGCTGTTCATCACATTATTCTTGTTACATTTTTGTATGCTGCTACAGACTGAATGTTTGTGCCTGCCCTTCTCCAAATTCACATGTTAAAACCTAATGCCCAAAGTGATGCTATTAGACAGTGGGCCTTTGGGAGGTGATTAATGGGATTTGTGCCTTTGTAAAAGAGACTCCAGAGAACTCTCCTGAGCCTTCCACCAAGTGAGGATGTAGTGAGAAGATGGCCTTCTATGAACCAGGAAGCCCTCACCAGACAGCAAATCTGTTGGCGCCTTGATCTTAGACTTCCCACATCCAGAACTGTGAGAAATAAATGTCTGTTGTTTGTAAACCACCTAGTTTATGGTATTTTGTTACAGTAACCTAAACAGACTAAAATATATGCCAATTGTTTCCAAAGACTAACATAAAAATAAGAAGGGGACCAGGAGCAGTAGCTCATGCCTGTAATCCGAACACTCTGGGAGGCCAAGGCAGGCAGATCACCTGAGGTCAGGAGTTCAAGACCAGCCTGGCCAACATGGTGAAACCCCGTCTCTACTAAAAATACAAAAATTAGCCAGGCGTGGTGGCACACACCTGTAATCCCAGCTACTAGGGAGGCAGAGGTGACAGTGAGCCAAGATCATACCACTGCACTTCAGCTTGGACAACAGAGGGAAACTCTCAAAAAAAATTTTTTTAATAATTAAAATTTTAAAAAGAAAAGCAGAGTGGCCAACAGTAGTGACCTGCTAAGTACAGGCTGAGAAGTGGCGCTCCTTCTTACGGAACAGGCTGAGTGTTCCTACGAAACAGGCATCCACTGCAACACTCAAGAGTGCTGGATGACAGGAAGTGACCAGCCAGCGCTGGCACAGGAAACGCTGTCTGTCACATTAACCAACTAGTGAGTCCTACACCTGAATGGGCTCAGCACTTTAGTTAATGTTTGCAGATGTTGGGCAGTGACAAGCAAGGACGCAGAGTGGGCACATACTTTGTCCTTTTGGGTGATCGGGGAATGGCTTCTCTCCTCCAGGAGGCAGGAAACTTTGAGAAGCCTCCTCTATGGGCTGGAGAGCCGCCGGGAATTGTAACTGGGCAGGGGAAGAGGAGGCAGAAGGATTTACTGCATTACGATATTAATTTTAATTAAGGAGACTTTTTTAGGCCAAACAAGCATATGCTTGTGCCTGAGAGGCAGGGAGGGCACCACATCCCCCAGGAGGATCTTGCTGGAATGGAGGTGTCTGGCAAGCCCAGGGCAGCCACCTGCTCCGCCGCTCCTCCCAGGTCCTGAAGCCATCAGGAAGGACTGTTCAGAAGCCAGGGTCTGGCCACCAACACATCTGTCCTTCTTTGTCTTCTATCTCTCTCCTTCCTTCAGATTCCAGAAAGCAGAAGTGCGTTTCATAGAACGAACCAGCTGAGCTGGTCAGACAGAGTCAACCGGATCCAGTTAAAGCAGCAAGAACTCGTTACATCCAGGAGACCCCATCTGTACCAGTCTCGAAGATCCGCTGTGGAACTACTGAAGACCACTTATTTTAAATCCTTTCTAAGAGCAGAAATCCAAAATCTCAACATGTGCTATTTCCCTCAATTTACTCATTCCAAGAAAAACGAAGTCCAAAATCCATTTTAATTGAAACAACCCCTTTTCTGGCCATGATCTGACAACAGACATCACCGTAACACCTAATACACACATCCCACGCATGCTTTCCTTTTTGAAAAACAGTCAGCTGAGGTGGCAGAAGCACTTAGGCCTCCTTTCAGTGCTCTCTGACCTCGGCTTGTTAGGAAAATGACCACGAAAATCTGGACCCGATGTTGTTTGTTCTCATTATTCACTGCCCTCTGGCTGGTAGACAAAAAGTGCAAAGCATGAAGGGGCGTGTGGGGTGCTGGAGCCTGATCTGAAAGCATTGTGTGCCCTGGCCCAGAACATGCTGAGCCCGTGCCCCTGCAGTGCAGCCACAGAGCACAGCAGCCGTGCTCAGCCTCAGGGCCTCCCAGAACCCCACCTCCTCCTCTTCTCCCAGCCAGTCAGAGCCTGGCTCAGACAGACACAAGCCTGAAGGGTGTGATGTCACCAAACCTTCCTGCCACAGCCACCCAAGCTCAGCCTCAGGATCCAATGTGTACAGACTGGACAGAGGTCAGCTCAACCACTGAGGCAGAGGGAGCACCAATCCAAGCCGCTCTGCATCCCAGGCAGCTCCCCCAACCTCCAGAGACGGCAGTGGTTGGCGGAGGGGGAGAGAGGGAGAGAGAGAGAGAGAGAGAGAGAGCAGCTCCCCCCAACCCCCAGAGATGGCAGTGGGGGGAGAGAGAGAGAGAGAGAGAGAGATAGAGCAGCTCCCCCAACCTCCAGAGATGGCAGTGGGAGGGGGGAGAGAGAGCGAGCAGCTCCCCCAAACTCCAGAGATGGCAGTGGGGTGGGGGGGGAGAGAGATAGAGAGACAGAGCAGCTCTCCCAACCCCCAGAGATGGCAGTGGAGGGAGAGATAGGGATAGACAGAGAGAGATATACAGCAGCTCCCCCAGCACCCAGAGATGGCAGTGGGGGACACCCAGAGAGAGACAGAGAGACCCTGCCTCTCTTCTAATGAGTGGTAACCACAGCGCGCCCCTCCACTGGTCTGAGTTGGAAACGGGACCAGGAAGGATCCTGGCACTTGAGAGGAAACCACAGCAGAGAGACTGAGTCAGGGGGCTGGAAGCTGATACTGGCTCAGAACTGGGTGGCAGTATCAGCCACCCAGTGGCTAAGCCTAGGTTCTGTGACACTAAGCCTAGGTTCTCCCAGCTGTGAAATGGGGATAATTATAGTCCCCTATAAGCCTATGTCATGGGGTTGCTACGTGGCATAAATGAGGTGCCGGCAGGTACTCAGTGGGAAACACACACCGGCTCTTGTTCTAAAGCCCTCAGAGCCCTGCCTCCGCAGCTCCCCCTGCCCTCACTCCCCCAGCATGGCCCGGCACTCAGAGTCCCGAATAATAACGCCTCGAGAGCTTGCTTTCAACCCCACTGTGAGCCCCTCCAGGGCAGGACCCTACACCCAGACTAGCCTCCCCGATCCCAGAATCCCCCACCTTGCCACCTGTGCACCCCACAGCAGTGTAACTGATCAACCGAGGGCACGCCTCACACCAAAGTGTGAGTGTCTGCACGGCCTCTGGATACCTTCAGAGAGGACACTCATTAGCCCAGAGAAAGCCAGGTTCCTGGGGCAGGGCAGGGCAGGGCAGGGCAGAGGTCTTCTAGCACCACTTATACCTCAGCAGGACTCAAGCCCAGGGGTGGGGACCACAGAGTGGCCTGGGTGCTTGGGATCACAAATCCCATTAATCTACTCCTAAAACCCTTCCCGCAGATCCCATGGCCTAACCTTCCCCAGAGGTGGGTTTCTCGGGAGAAGGCAATGTTCTGTCTTGGGCTACTAAGGAGCGTACTCCACCCAGTGGGGGAAAGGGCCCATCTGCCCACAGAGCTGACCCCAGGCCAGGTCTCTCCAACCCACTCTGACAGTGACTTGGTGGATCCTCCTACACCGCGAGGTGGGTGGGTGGGGCCCATGAGCCGACAGCGCTCCTGGAGGCCACCTTGTTCACTACATTACATGCCTTGGGAGCTTCAGCATGCCACAACCAGCCTCGAAGAGAAAAGTCAAATTTGAATTTGGGGTTTTTCCGTATGCTGGGAGAGACTCTAGAAAATAATGTATTGGCAAATGCTGAAAAGAAACACAGAATTGTCACGCATGGGCCCAAAACTGAGTATCAGAACAGGACTCTGGTGTCCTCCTTGTCAAAACCAAAGCCAATTACTCTCCCGCCACACACACACCACAAATACATATCTTTTCGTCTGGAAAATGAAGGCAAGGAAATGAATTTCATTTTCAAAATCAGGTTCTACTCAGACAAGGACCACCTTACATGACGCCTCCCCAACGTGACGGCTGACTGAAGCACCCAGGGAGACGGCGGCTGGGCTGCAGGTGTTGAGGGAAATGTTTACACCTTCCCAACCTCAGAATTCATGCAGGTGACCCAAGCCCACTGAACAAGGAAGACAGTGATGCCTCTCCAGGGTCTGCACCAGGGGATCCCCCAGCTAACTCCATCAGTGGGGACATGAGTGGGCAATAGGCAGTGACTTCCTATTTCACCAAGTTACCTTCCACCCTGACACACTTGTGGCCTCCGTAGGTGCCAGGACCTCAACCCAAATGCAAGCCTACCTTTGGTTTTAATTATGCATTTATTTCATTTCTACATAGACATCACTACAACCTGGGGTCATCATGGAAGCTGGCCCGTTATTGCGATCTCTAATTCGCCTTCTATAGAGCAGGCTGGACACCAGCCCTGTAGGCAGCCCTGCCAGGTCCCCCAAGCTTGGGAAGAACACTTGCGCTGAAGACATCATCAACGTGTCCTTGAATTGGTCATGCTGGTCCAATGCCTCTTCCTAGTCTTGCTTTGTCATGACAAATTGCTGCTTTATTTTCTTCAGGTCCATCCTTATCAACCTATTTTCCAATGACTAGACTTTAAATAGGACATGAGGACTTCTGACAATCGAATATAAATCCTCCATTGCCAAAGCAGAAATATATATCATCAGAATATCTTCCCTGAACCAGCCTTAGGATGAAGCTGATAAAATACCAGGGAGGACTGAGGGAAAGAAACTGGACCTGTGCTAACAAGGTCAAGCTGCTAGATCAAACCTTGCCTGCAACCAGGTATTCTGGACTTTCCAATGACATAAGAAAAAGTTTATGTCACCATAGGATGGGTACTTAGTTACATCAAATGTCTTAATGGATAAGGAAACAGCCCAGTGAGATAACCTGACTTTATTAGCCCAAAGGGCAACAAAATTAAAGCCTAGTGACACTGCACTAAGTCCTGCCTTGTGTCAATATGTTGGGCTGAGTTCAACATGGCTTAAAATAAACACAAAATCCTTAACTCTTTATAAGTGTGGGGGGCGGGGAAGGCCCACTTTTCCTTATTTTTTGACTAATTTCAACCTTTATTTTACATTCAGGGAGTCCACGTGCAGGTTTGTTACCTGGGTATATTGTGTGATGCTAAGCTTTGGGGTATGATTAATCCCGTCATCCAGGTAACAAGCACAGTACCCAACAGTTAGTTTTCAACCCTTGCCCCGCTGTCACCCTCTGCCCTCTAGTAGTCCTTGGTGTCTACTGTTGCCATCTTTATGAGTACCTAATGTTTGACTCCCACTTATAAGTGAGAACATGTGGTATTCGGTTTTCTGTTTCTGTGTTAATTTGCTTAGGATAATGGCCTCCAGCTGCATCTATGTTGCTGTAAAGGACATGACTTTGTTCTTTTTTATGGCTCCATAGTATTCCATGGTGTATATGTACCATAATTTCTTTATCTAGTCCACTGCTGATGGGCACCTAGACTGATTATGTGTCTTTGCCCTTGTGAATACCACAGTGATGAACATACAAGTGCATGTGTCTTTTTGGTAGAGTGATTTATTTTCTTTTGGAAATATACTGAGGAATGGGATTGCTGGGTCAAATGTAGTTCTGTTTTAAGTCCTTTGAGAAATCTCCAAACTGCTTTCCAAGGTGGCTGAATAATTTACATTCCTACCAATAGTGTGTAAGAGTTCCCTTTTCCTCAGAGCCTTGCCAGCAACTGTTATTTTTTTTGCTTTTGAAAAATAGCCATTCTGACTGATGTGAGATGGTATCTCACTGTGGTACTGATTTGCATTCTTCTGATGATTAGTGATGTTGAGCATTTTTTCATATGCTTGTTGGCTTCTTACCTGTTTTCTTTTGAGAAGTGTCTGTTCATGTCCTTTGCCCAATTTTTAACGAGGTTATTTGGTTCTTGCTTGTTCAATTGTTTAAGCTCCTTGTAGAGTTGTGATATTAGACTTTTGTTGGATGCATAGTTTGTATTTTCTCCCATTCTGTAGGTTGTCTGTTTACTCTTTTGCTGTGCAGAAGCTCTTTAGTTAATTAGGTTCCACTTGTTGATTTTTGTTTTTGTTGCAATTGCTTTTGAGGACTTAGTCATAAATTCTTTCCCAAGGCCAATATCCAGAATGATGTTTCTCTAGGTTTTCTTCTAGGATTCTCATAGGTTGAATCTTTAATCCAACTGAGTTGATTTTTTACATGGTAAAAGGTAGGGATCCAGTTTCATTCTTCTGCATAAGGCTAGCCAGCTATCCCAGCACCATTTACTGAATAGGGAGTCCTCTCCCCATGGCTTATTTTTGGCAGCTTTGTCAAAGGGCAGATGGTTGTAGGTGTGTGGCTTTATTTCTGGGTTCTCTACTCGGTTCCACTGCTCTGTGTGTCTGCTTCTGTATCAGTCCCATGCTGTTTTGGTTACTGCAGCCTCGTAGTATAGTTTGAAGTTTGGTAATTGGTGCCTCTGGCTTTTCTTTTTGCTCAGATTGCTTTGGCTATCTGGCTCTGTTTTGGTTCCATATTAATTTTGGAATAGTTTTTTCTAGCTCTGTGAAAAATGGCCTTGGCAGTTTGATAGGAAGAGCACTGAATCTGTCAATTGCTTTGGGCAGTATGGTCATTTTAACAATATTGATTCTTTCAATCCATGAGGATAGAATGTTTTTCCATTTGTTTGTGTCATCTCTGATTTCTTTCACCTCCTTGGTTCGCTGTAGTCCTAAGTATTTTTGTGTGTGGCGATTGTAAATGGGATTGTGTTCCTGATTTGGCTCTCAGCTTGAACATTATTGGTGTAGAGAAATGCTACTGACTTTTCTACATTGATGTTGTATCTTGAAACTTTATTGAAGTTGTTTATCAGTTACAGGAGCCTTTTGGCAAAGTCTTTAGGGTTTTCTATGTATAGAATCATAACATCAGTGAAGACAGACAGTTTGGCTTCTTTTCTTATTTGGATGCCTTTTATTTCTTTGTTGCCTGATTGCTCTGGCTCAGGAAGGTTCACTTTTTCAAATCTTACATGACCAAACTCTAGCAGAAATCAGATTAAATTCAATCAGATCTTTTCTGGTTCCCCCAAAACAAGCAGGACAAACCTACACGGCCAGTGCTGAATCTACCAAGTGTTTAGCTAAAAGGCACAATTTACATTGAACATCTCTGCACTTCCCTGTCTCTGAAAGACAGCTTTGACCCCGGCTCACATTACTGTGCTTACGGAAAATCTCCATGCAGCTTTCAAAAATAAATTTTCTTTTAACTAGCCACATAAGTAAGCCCTGCTCCACCAATCAGCCGAGGATGGTTGTGTTGGCTTGCTTTTCTCTTTTTTTAAAATAACTGATGCAAAGACCCAAAGAAGGATCAGAAAAATCATCTCTTAACTCCACTGTCTGTCTCATTTTGAACCTGAGCATGAGGACCCAGAGGTAAGTGACCTGCTCAGAGTCTCAGCCTAGGCCAAACCTACGGGGTCAGAGAGCCCTAGGTCCATCTCACCCCCAACTTGGCTGCCCTGCCAAGAGACTGCACGCTCCGCCCAGAAGGCCATCTGCTCACACGGGGCCGGGGGCACTCTGCAAGGCCAGAAAGGGGCCAGGGGAGGACCTGCGCTGGACATAGCACCCTGCTGACACAAATGGGGAGGAACTGACAGGAAGAAACTCTGGACTCCACCTCAAGAGAAGGATTCCAAACAGCTTCACCACTCTGCACCCCCAGGGAAGCCTCATTGTCCAAAACTGACAGGGTCTTAGAAGCTCTGCCCCAGACAGGCAGGCAGCAGAGCCTTTTGCCGGATGAATCAAATGACGTTAGGAGGACCACACACATTGGCTCAAAACACAACAGAGGCCCGAAGCAAATTCCAGCAGACACCATTTGTTCTCACATGACAGGAGTGGACCGGGACCCGGGAGGACCATGTGATGCTGAGGAATACGGCTTGAGGGACAGAAGAGAATGGCAAGGAGAGGGCTTGGTGGTAGGGCCCGAGAGAAAGAGCCACAGATAGATGAGGAGGGGGACGAAGAAGGGAGGGGAGCCCGAGGCCCAGCCTGGAATCGGGGCAGGCCAGGCAGGGGGTGTGGATGGAGATGGCTGCAGGGCACCTGCAGTGCTCCAGGCACAGTGCTCAGGGATCAGCTTGCCTCCAGCACTTCTGGGAAGATAAGCAGGTCACAGCTATTGCTGCAACCCTGGGGACCCGTTGTAGCCAGATAGCCAGAGAGAGCAGAAGGGGTCAGACCCATAGGATTTTAAGAACTTCTTGTCCCCTGACCTGCCGGGCATAGAGCCCTTTGGACTAATCAAATGCTTTCAGGCCCATTAAGCAGCTCAAGCTGCTTAAAATACTTAATGCATTTGGAAAAATACAATCCAACTCCTGGTGTGAGCAGAATCCTTTCAACTGTCTGCTGCATTTCAAGTTGTGGAACTCTGTGCCCACCCTCCTGCAGTCCTGGAGAAGAATGTGACACAATGACTCCATGCCCTGGGAGGCACCTGCCGGATTACTGTGAAGGGACAGGAACTTCATGCCAAGACAACAAACAAAAATCCTCATGGGTGATTCTATTGCAGCTCAGAAGCCATCACAATAGCTCTATGATTTAAAGAAAGGTGGGGAAGAAAGATTCCCCCTTTTACAGCATTCACCATCAAGGCTCCTGGAAGTACACTGCAAATGGGCTGCACAGCCCAGCAGCTGGACTCTGGGGAGCTCCTTTCTCTTCCTTCTGTCCTACCATTAAAGTCATCCAGGCCCAGTCCTGGGTGTGCCACCGGCCTGGGGCAAGCCTCACCCCCTTAGCTCTGGCGGCTCAAAGCTCTACAGAACTCCAGAGCCCAGACCAAAGATGACCAAGGGCATCTTCTCATAGTCATCTGTGACAATGAAGGCAAACGCTGCTGTGTGGAGGAGCCAAGTTGCAGGGCCAGGCTCACGGATCATGCGGCTTATGGCTTCTGCACTGCAACATGGTAACAGCAAACTGGGAAGCGACATGAATGAGCTGCTGGGTGTCCAGACCTTCCTTTGGCAAACGCCCAAGAGGGACAGGGCCCTCATCTTGTAGTGAGAGGAAAGCTGGAAACAGAGAGAGGGAGAATGGAAACTAATCCATCCGAGCCACGGTACACCAGTCTTTTGCCTAAGCCCTCACCACACCCCTTTGAGAGATTGTTTGGTTTTCCCCATGTTTGGCTTTGGACAATAGATGCAGCCTATCTGCACACACAGCCCCTGAGTGGCAGAGCTGGGATTTGAACCGAGGCCTGCCTGAGTCCACAGCCCAAGCTGTTCACTACCTTTCAACTGAGGATGGGCGCAGATAGGTATGTGGGTCCAACTGCTCCACACCCGACTGTATGGGAGAGACACAACAGCCAGTCAGTAGGGTTCTCACTCCTGTGAGAACCTCAGCATTTCTGTACTAGGCAATGAGGTACCTTCTGGAAAGGCTGTGTGCCTGTCACATACGAGAGCAGGAAGGTAGGCCCAGACATGTACACATTGGGAGGGTGGCTCACTTTCCGCAAATTCGGAATGCTTCAGGAGGTTTATGTGCTGGACAGAGGTCACCCAGAGGAACTGGAAGCAGCACCAGGCACCCTAGCAGCTGAGCATGACTCATGTGTTCATCTTACTGGCAGGATGGCATGGGGCTGAATCACAGCCAATGGAATCAGGAAATTCCCATCTCAGCCAACCCCAGTCATGAGAAACCTCCTTCTAAAATGCTGTTAGAGGCCAGGAACAAGGCTGGGGGATGACTATTCATTCACTTAGGAAAATCTTGGGGGTGGGGTTCTGCTAAGGGCTGAATGTGCTCCTCCCAAATTCAGAGGTTGAAGCCTAATCCTTAATGTGATGCTATTATAATGTGGGGCCTTTGGGAAGAAATTAGGCCCTCATGAATGGGAATGAGAAGAAAAGTCACGAGAGAGATGCTCTCTCTCTCCCCGATGTGAGAGCACAGGAAGAAGGCAGCCATCTGCAAACCAAGCAGAGGGCCCTCACCAGGAATCACCAGCCCCTTGACGTTAGACTTCCCAGCCTTCAGAACTGTGAGGAATGAATGTGTGTTCTCTAAACTAATCTATGATATTTTTGTTATAGCAGCCTGAACTAAGGCTCACATACTCACAAGAAAGAAGAAAAATGGTAGTGTTGAAGGAAGCCAACTGATGAGGTAAGGTTTATTTCCTCATTGTGAATAGACTTTAAATGTTAAGGAAATTTAATTAGTCACTTGAAATCTGGCCACTAGTAATGCACTGGAACCAGAAGGTGTCACAGGTAAGTTTTAACAATACCATTGAGGAACATATCACCTCAGTCTTATATTAATTGCTCTCCAAAAGAGAAAAGGATGAGATGCTGAATGTTATGGGTCTAATATAATCTCCACACTAAAACCAATGAAAGGCAGAATAAGAAAGGTAAATTATAGGCCAAACTCATTTATAAACAGGTGAAAAAACATCCTAAATAAAGTATTAGCCAAGTGAACCCAGCAATTTTTAAGAGACATATCATGATGAAATACAGGTTTATCCCAGGCATGTCAACTTGGTGTAATATTAGAAAAGCTATTGTCGCAATCACATAATTCATCACATTAACAGATCATCTCAATTGATGCCCAAAAACCATTTCATAAAGTTCAACATGCATTCACAATTAAAGGGAGAAAAAACTCCTAGCAAATTAGGACCAGAAGGAGACTTCCTTAACAAAGTGAGGATCTACCACAAGTCCACAGCAAACTCCACACCTCATGGTGGACCATTAGAGATGGCCCTACAAGAAGGAATAAGACAAGAATTTGCAGTATAACTGCTTCTGCTTAACACTGTTCTGTCACTCCCAACCACAGAAGTAAGAAAACAAAAAGAAATTAAAGGATGAAGATTGCAATGGATGAATGAAAGCCAACTGTCATTACATGCAGGAGACATACTGTCCATAGAGAAAAGCCCCAAGCTGCTCTTCAGACTGTTAAGCAAGGTTGCTGGATACCAGGTCAAAACACAAACTCAACAAAGGTCATTTCCAGAGGGCTGCCACTGGGACAGTAGCCAAAATTTCATACCTGGGAATCAATTTAATGTAAAAATGGAAGACCTCTATAGAAACATATCTGTTACTTTATTGAAAGACATAAAAGAGGACCTATTAATTTAAGATCTCCATATGCCATGAGCATGTTTGGATTTGGAGTATTGTCTTCCAGGTAAATTCAGGAAGGAGGCATGGCTGAGTCAGGGTCTATGCAGGTGCACCAAGTCCCAAGGCATCCTGTTTCCTCCAGGGGTGGAGCAATCTGAATGGCTGCTCCACAGCCTCGCCAATAGAGGGCGCCATCAAACTTGTATTGTTTTGTTTTGAGTTTTTTCCTCTCTGCCAATATGGCCCATGAGAAATGGTATCTTGTTATAATCTATATTTTGAAGGAATTAGCTTTGTGATATAAGATGCAAATATTTTCTACTGGTTTATTACCTGGCTTTTTCACTTTGCTTATGGTGTCCCTCCCCCATCATGCGAAAGCAGTTTTGTTTTGTTTTTTTCCTAATGCAACCAAATTTCTCAATCTTTTTTACATTGCTTTTGGATTTTGAATCATAATTTTCCCTACCCACAGGTTATTTTAAAATTTACCCATGTTTTCTTGTGGTAGTTTTTCTGGTAACTACCTATTTAGAGACATTTGAAATGTATGCTTGTAGATGATGAAAGATATCGACAAAATTTTATCTTTTTCCAAATGGCTATCCAGTTGTCTCAAAACCATTTTTAAAGGGTTCTCTCTAATACTGTTTTACTTAGGCATTTTACATCAATATTCCTAAGTGAGATTGGTGTGTGGTTTTCTCATTGAATAATCTTAAGGTTTCTTTTTCTATGTTCTAGAATAATTTAAGTAGCATTGAGATATCTGTTCTTTGAAGATTTGATAGAATTCTCCTGTGAAAATATAGATTTGAATTTTTTTCCAGTAGGAATTTTTTTTTAAAACTTTCTGTGTCTACTGGGGTCAATCTGAATAAATTATATTTTCCTAAAGAAGTTCCCTTTCTATCCAGGTCTTCACACTTACTTGCAAAGCACTATACAAAGTAAGCTTTTAATGATTTTTTTAAATATGCTCTGTTCTGTTAATGTCATTTCTTATTCTGTGTTGTTTGGGGTCTCTCTCTCTCCCCTTCATGATTAGCTTAGACAGAGGTTTGTCCACTTGATTCTTTTTCTAGGATGTAGTATTTTGTGTATTTATCAGTTTCATTTTTTTCTCATTCCTAAAACTCATGAATTTCCAATCTTACTCTTATTTTTTGTCATTCTACTCTAAGTTTATTTGGCTATTTTTATCTATCATTTTTAGTTAGATGATAAATCCATTAATTCGTTTGGTTTCATTTCTGAGGTTATAACCACAGCTTTATGTGTATTCCACAGAGTGATATATTTTAATTATCGTCAAATTCAAAAATTATGCACTTGGTTTGTGTATTTCCTTTCACCTAAAAACTTATTTAATAGAGTTTAATCTTGTAACTCTTCAAATTGAAGGGCCTTTTTGGTTTTTAATCTTATGATTAATTTTTAGTTTTATTGCATTGTGAGCACAGAATGTTGTTTGTATTATTTCTGTTACGGAACTCATTGAGGTTGTCTTTGTAAGCTAATATATGTCAACTTTCCTAAGTGTTCCAAGTAGTCTCGAAACAAAGTTGTATTCCCTATTATCACAGCACAAAGTCTGGTACATTTGGAGGCGTATGTTTTGGTCCCCTTCACATGTCTCAGGCTGAGCAAGGCAGTCACAATGTCCTGGAACTGCGTGTCCCTCATGTCTCCCCACCGCCCCTGTGGTTTCCGCATCGTAGAGGTTCTGGTGATGTTATGTGAAGCAGACATAACCACACCTAGTGTATCTTCTCTGCAAATTGCAGCCTTTAGCATTGACAGCGGCCCTCTTTGTTTCCATTAATGCTTTTGGCCTGATACTAGCTTGGCTGCAGTCAGGATTAAAACTCCCAAGCTCTTTTTCTCTCTTCATTGCTATACACCCTCCTGTCATTTTCAGCCTTCCTGGATCACTGTGTTTTGGATATGACTTCTTTATACAGCATAGAGTTGGGTGCCACTATGTGAACCAATCTGAAAATCAGTCTTGCCTTTTAATAAATGGGTTAAATCCACTCTAATTTACTGATGCGGCTGCTAGGTTTGGTCTCAGTTCTATTCTTTAGTGTTATATTGACCGTGTGTATTTCACTATATGGTTTGTTTGCTTCTTTAAAAGTTGTTTTGTTTTGTTTTTGCATTTCTTTGGGTATTTAAGGTCTATATTTTTGTTTCAGTGGTCATTCTTGTATACCAAACAATGTTACCACTTTCCTACCTGCAGGGCAATCAATGAGCTGATTCTCTGTTCCTCTTTTGCTCTTCCTACTCCAACTATTATTTTTATTCATTATTTCTATTTTGTCAGAATATATAACATTTATAGCCATTCCTCCATACTTATCCCTACCTTTCTTTCGGTCATACATATACAATTTTTTTTAAACATTTTAAAATACTTGTTTAAGTGTAAAAATACTATCAGTGCCTTCGCCAAAGTTTCCCACATCATCTTTTCATTGGATGAAGCCTGTCCCCTGCTATGTGGCATACATAATGTGGCTAATTTTTAACACCTTCATCCTCTATGTGACAACAGTGTTTTCAGTAATTATCACATAATAACCAGTAATAATCACTATTTCCTTAACTGGATCTGTAATTTTAAAAACCATGGACAATTTTAAAAGATGAATTTCAGTCCTAATGGTACAGCTCATATTCAGTAAAATATTTCATGTGTCAACTACAAGTTGCACCAATCAAACAAAAATATCCAATCTCATCATCTGTGCTCTTACTCTTCAAATTTTACACACCAATAAAAACCTCTAGTGTTCACATAGAATGACAGAATTGAAGAAATCCAAGTTCTGTTTCTTTGTCTTTACCTATTGTGATATCACTGGTTATTCCTAATCTGCTATCCAAACAGAGGAATACACAGGGTCACAGGAGTCCGGACCTCAATGGAGTTTGCATGATTCTGGATTGCTACAAACTTCCTCTCAAAATAAACACATGTGCCTCAGTCTGCAGATGTCAGGGGCTGATCGTATACTTGGGAGTTCTCCAAATTAAATGCCATGTAGAATATAATGTTTATTAAAGCATAAGTAATGCAAATATGCTAATTTGAGGTTTACACATAGCATTAAAATGCAATTGTAATAGGAAAAATTGCTTAGAAATTAGACCAACAATAGGTTTTTTCAGGAGGAGTATTTTTTGGCTGACATTGTTTAAAAGTGTTGGATCACAGTGACATAAAAAGCAGACGGACTTTCAGTCAGTTTTATTATTGTTTTTAAATTATCGACAGATGATGAAACTCCTCATTGCCTGCAACCAGGGCAGACCATTTCTGCCGTCCAGCCTCTGACATATCACTAATGCCAGCTGATTCTTTAAGTGTGCCTGGTGGGCACAATATTTTTGTTTCTGAATCACTTAAAGAACCATTGGCTGGGCATAAAATCCTTCACTCACGTTTTCTTTCCTTGAGTTTCTTAAAAGTATTGTGCATTGCTGTCTTGCTTTCTTTGTTGTTGTTATAAGTCTGACACCAGACTTTGCATATAACTTGTAACTTTGTAAACAACTCTGTAAATTTCCTTTGTAAATAACTTGGTCCTTTTGCCTGGAGGCCCTGCTGATATTCTCTTTATCTTTAGAATTTAGTCTTCCTAGAGCATAAATCTTGAGTCAACCATTCCCGGAATGGCAGTGGACTATATTTCCATGTAGATTTGGGTCTTAATTTTATTTTAGGAAAGTTTTCTTGACTTGCAGTTTTAAATTTTTAGTTCTGTTCCATTGCCTTGTTTTAGTTCTTCAGGGTCACCAATTACAGGTAAATTGGATGTCTTTCCAACAGACACTTTGGTTTTGATCTTTTCTATTTCTTTCATTTCTATCCCTACTGTGCTTTCAGCTGTAACTACTATCCCTTTGGGGAACCTTATCATTTACTATTAATTTCAGAGATTATCTTAGACTTTTCTTCATTTGCTTTCCTTAATTAGCTCTCATTTCATATCTCCCGTTGTTTATCCATTTCCAGTCTTATTTTATGAAGAGCTGGCTCATGGTGTTTTTTCACATTTGCAATTGCCTATTACTTACATTTCATTTGTGCTTCTTGGCTGTTTTCATGTCCAGCATTTTGCTACACATTTTCTATTTCTTTTTCTTACAGTAATATTGTATGGACGCTAGGTGTGCTTGGGTTTATATTAATTTACTTAGACTCCCCAAAAGCTGATGAGTAGAGTCAGTAGGGAGGGAGAGGTCTGTGTGGCTTGCTCAGGAACATGGTTCAGCCATGCACTCTTCTCTTACTTCTCTAAAGTACAGTTTTTTTAATTAAGGAGAGAGATTTTCCTCTTCTTCCACCTCCTCCTCCCCTGAGAGGAGCTCTTCTTTGTGGATGATTTGTTGTTTTACTAAGTTCCTTATTTTCAGCTAATTCTTCTCTTCCCTTTCACACCAAACCTCCAGGAAACATCTCCCAGGAGCAGACTCTCCCATCCCATGCACTTTCCAAGACCCTCTCTTTTATTCCTGAGTGACATTTCAGATGTCTCTTATTATCTCCCGAGTGAGGGTGGGACCAGGCCGCTGCTGCACTCTCCTGTGCCCGGTCCTGATGGCTCGGGGCTCTGGCCTGGCCCTGAAACCCTGTATCCTGGTCTTGGGTGGAAACAGAGGTTTGCTACATTAATTGTCCCCTAGTTGTGCTATAATCATGGACTATGGGCAACTATATTTTCCTCCTGATTAACTGTATGTTTTTCAGGGAGATTCTAATTTGGTGGGCGCTGTTATCTTGCAGGGATCCCCCCTTATCCAATCGTGATTAAAAAAAATGGCAAGCACAGACAGAAAAGAAATAGAATAAAAACAACTTCTTACTCATTATAAATAGACTAAGAAAGCACAGCGTTCTTATAAAGCCCTAGAATAATTACTTGTTGAAGAAAAGTGACATAAAATGAAATGAAAATAGAAAACGCAATTTACATGGTGAGAGTGAAATGGGCGTGCGGATTACTGCCCTGGTGTCCTGGGTGTCAGGCGTGGTCTGAGGGGATTCTATGTAGCTTAGGAGACATCAAGGCACAACAGCTGATGACATGCATTTGCCTGGTAACTCCAAGGGGACCCGGTGGTGTCTGTGTGCACACACATGGGCACACATACGGGTGTGTGCATGGCAAAGAGCGGCACTGAGACTGGCAGGTGGGGACTCCCTTTCCTCCTTCACCTACTTAACCCCAGCCCTGGGCTTTGTTTTTTCTTGTTGTTGCTTTTATTTTTTTTTTTTAATTCAGCAAGACAAAAAAAAATGAGAATGTTCTTGTTTTCCCTCATACCATATGAAATTTTCTCAAAGTAGCCTTCCTGGTGACTGTTAGAATTACAAGACACTAGGATGGATTTTCCAGGACGCTTTCAGGTGACAAAATGTAAATTCTTTGCTACACTAGAAAAAGTAAAGTATGTTTCCAAAATTGTCCCTTAAAAATAGTAATAGGAAGAATAATAACAAATTACTATTTTTTTTTTTTTTTTTAGAAAGACAGGGTCTCACTATGTGGCCCCAGGCTGGTCTCAGACTCCTGACCTCAAGCAACCCTCCTGCCTCGGCCTCCCAAAGGGCTGAGATGACAAGCATGAACCACGGTGCCTGGCCAGTCATTTTTATTATAATAATTATAATATATTATAAATTATTATATAGTACATATCATACATTACATCATACATCACTACATGCTATATAATGTATAATATATACGTTGTATAAATGTATATTAACATAAGTTTTATTTTGTAATTTAGAATAACATGATCTGTAACAGTATATAATAAAACAATCAGCGGATTCGGAAACCACACGTCTCTGTATTCCTTTCAGAACCACTGGCACACGCACCTGCAGTTGTTTCGGGCTGTGGGGTGTGTGCTGCACTATTTGGTTTTTGCAGCATCATGGGAAGGGTTTAACATTATCCTGGTACATAAAGGAAAACACAAGAACAGACAAGAGGCCAAGCTGTCCAGTCTGAAAATCATGTATCACCTTGAACAAGCAGTGAAGGCTGGAATGTGTGTCTCAAACATGAATTTCAAAGCCAGCAGGCAGCGAGGAGGCTCTGCCCGCCCGGCCTGGCCTGTGAGCAGCTGGCAGTGCCTTGGCAGGCTCCATGAGTAGGCGCCACGCTCCCTCCAATTCTGGCTTCGGCACCTAAGTGGGAATATTCCAGGAACCAGGAAATGATTCAGACCCGAATCTGCCACTCAGCCCCCGCACAGAATTTTGTCAGCTTTTGGCCCCTTCAATCCTCAGTCTCCTCACCAGTCCTGGCGGCAACAGGACCCTCGGGCAGCAAACCTCCCAGAGGCCACCTCCAACTCCGGACACCTTGCCAAAGCCCTTTCTGCTCGGCCGAGGGGTCGGGAACTGACAGTCACATGTGACACAGCAGGACACCTGCTGATCAGGGAGGGGCATGTTTCAAAACACTCTGTGTGTCCTTCTATCTTTACACTGAGAGCCCACACAGAATTCCAGGTTATCTCCTTTTTATTTGAAATGAAAGGTTAAGGCCCGGTGCAGTGGCTCACACCTGTAATCCCAGCACTTTGGGAGGCCAAGGTGGGCAGATTACCTGAGGTCAGGAGTTCGAGACCAGCCTGGCCTATAGGTGAAACCCCATCTCTACTAAAAACACAAAAATTAGCCAGGCTTGGTGGTGCATGCATGTAATCCCAGCTACTTGTGAGGCTGAGGCAGGAGAATCGCTTGAGCCCGCGAGACGGAGGTTGCAGTGAGCCGAGATTGTGCCACTGGATCCAGCCTGGCCGGCAGAGAGAGACTGTCTCAAAAATAAAAAATAAAAAAAAGAAAGAAAGAAAGAAAGAAAGAAAGAAAGAAAGAAAGAAAGAAAGAAAGAAAAAGAAATGAAAGGTAAGGTTTTTGTAGACAGGGTCTCCCTATGTTGCGCAGACTGATCTCTAACTCCTGAGCTCCGATGATCCTCCTGCCTTGACTTCCGAGAGTGCTGGCATTACAGGGGTGAGCCACTGTGGCTGACCCTTAAGACTTTTTGACAACCATGATTACCTCCAGAAAAAAAAAGAGTAGCCTATTTAAGACACTCAAGGATTTCCTGTCCAGCAAAGCGTTCAAGAATGAAGGGCAAGAGACAGCCGTGTTTATGTTTATATGGAGTCACCACATCTTCCCATCCTCCCTCTGCACGTGTCTGCTTCCGCATTTCCTCTTCTTGGAAGTACGCTGGGCATGCTGGATTAGGGCCTGCCCTAATGACCTCATTTTGCTTTGATAAGCTCTGTAAAGACCATTTCTCCAAATAAGGGCAGGTTCTGAGATGCTGGAGCTTAAGACTTCAACAAATGAATTTTGGGGAGACACAATTTTACCCAAAACAGGGGCATTGAGCATCAACAGCTGCCTGCTCACAAAAAGATGGGTGAACAGACATAGAGCACTTCCTCTAATCCTGCGAAAGAGACGGAACCAAGTCCAGCAAAGGTACTGGATCCAGCTGCCAATGTGCAGGAGAGAGAGGACAAAGGGACACGCTGAACTTCACCAGGAGTGCACCCATCCAAAATAAGAAGGGAGATGTTCCACAGGTCAAATGCCTCAAAGTCTTCCACACGTGTTTGTAAGGAAAAGACAGGGACAGATAGTATAGCAGTTCCCCCCAAAATTAAAAACATAAATTACCACATCATTCAGCAATCCCACTTCTGAGTATACACCCAAAAGAATGAAAAGCAGGGTCTATCTCCAAGAGATTATTTGCACACTCATGCTCATAGCAACATTATTCACAGTCCCCAAAACGTGGAAACAACCCAAGTGTCCATCATGGATGAATGGATAAACAAAATGTGGTCTACACATACGGTGGAGTATTATTCAGCCTTCACAGGCAAGGGAATTCTGACACTTACTACAACGTTGCGAGAACACTATGCTAAGGGAAAGAAGTCAGTCACGCACAAAAATATTGTAGGATTCCACTTACGTGAGGTACCTGGAAGAGTCAAATTCACAGCCAGAAAGTAGAATGGTGGTTGCCAGGGGGTGTGAAAAGAGGGGAATGGACAATTACTGCTTAATGAGTGCAGAGGTTAAATTTTGGGAAGATGAAATCATTCTGGAGATGAGTGGTGGTGATAGCTGGACAACAATGTCAATGTCCTTAACGTCACTGACCTGTACACCTAAACAATGCTTAAGATGATACATTTGTATGTATCTCTTGCCACAATTAAGAACTAAAAATTAAAATACATTTTAAAAATAAAGAAAGGGGCCGGGCGCGGAGGCTCACACCTATAATCCTAGCACTTTGGGAGGCCGAGGCGGGTGGATCATGAGGTTAGGAGATCGAGACCATCCTGGCTAACACGGTGAAACCCCATCTCTACTAAAAATACAAAAAATTAGCCGGGCGTGGTGGCAGGTGTCTGTAGTCCCAGCTACTTGGGAGGCTGAGGCAGGAGAATGGTGTGAACCCGGGAGGCGGAGCTTGCAGTGGGCCAAGATCGTGCCACTGCACTCCAGCCTAGGTGACAGAGCGAGACTCCATCTCAAAATAAATAAATAAATAAAAATAAAGGGATGGAGAGAGGAACCTGAAATTTATAAAACACTTGAAAAGACTATCAACTTCTAGTTCCAGAGCAAGATGATATAGACTGCTTTTCCTTCTCCCCTCTATCACATGCAAAAAGCCAGACTTACAATTTTATTACATTAGATTGTGGTTATGATTCAAAACTCTGTGAATACACTAAAAACCACTGAATTGTACAGTTTAAAGGTATGAGTTACATGGTATGTGAATTATGACTCAATAAATTTGCTATCAAAAAAAAGAAATGAAGGAGAAATTAAGATATTCTCAGGAGAAGAGAAGCTAAAGAATTTATTACTAGCAGACCAACCTTTAAAGAAGGGCTAAAGAAATGTCTTCAAACAGAAAAAGAGACTAACAGAAGAAGACTAGACTGTCCTTCACCTCATGAGGTTCTTTAATCATACTTTAAGTTGAAGCAAAAGTTATTATGTCATACGATAAGGTACTCAGTGGATACGGAGGAAATACTTAAGACAATTATATTTAAAAAGTAGTGAGGGTAAAGGGTCCAAAGTGGTAAAACTCTGACACCAGTAGGCTGACATAATATTTACAGCAATCATAAAGAACACTATCCAAAGCCGTACATTCAAACACAGTATAAATAAGGAAATGTGGGACTCTAAAAAATGTTTGTCACCATAGGAAGGCAAGGAAAAAGAAACAGAGGAATGAGAAAGAGAAGGAAAAAAATCATAAAATGCAGACTTAAACCCTAGCAAGTCAATAATCATTTTAAATATAAATGGTCTAACTACATCAAATAACAGACATTGGCAGAATGGATTTAAAAAATAACCTACAAGCTACCTACAAGAAACTCATTTCAAACATAACAACATGGGTAGACTGAAAGTAAAGGATGGGAAAAGACATGTCATGCCAACACTAATCATGAGAAAGCAAAAGTGGCTATATTAATATCCAGGCAGACTTCAGAGTAAAGAAACTAAATAAAGACAAGGAATAATATTACATAATAATAAAATGCCCAGCCTACCAAGAACATACAGAAATTCTAAATGCGTACCCCCCAGACCACAAAACACATACAGCAAAAACAAATCTTGCCAAGAGAAAAATCGACAAATTCACAATAATATTTGGGGATGTCAGTACCCACTCTGAGCAACTGACACAACTACTGGACAGAAGATCAGCAAAGATACAGAAGTGTGCAACACCATCCAACAAAAAGATCAAATTGACATTTATAGAAAATTCAACCCAAAAACTGCAGAATACACATTCTTTTCAATTGTCCATGGAACATACACTCAGATAGACCATATCCTGGGTCACAAAAAAAAGCCTTAATAAATTCAAAAAAATTAAAATCATGCAGAATATGTTGACCAAAATGGACTCCAACTAGAAATCAATGACAAAAAAACTACAGGAAAATCTCCAAATACTTGGAAATTAACCAACACACTTCTAACTAATCCATAGGTCAAAGGGGAAATCTCAAGGGAAATTTTAAACTATATAGAACTGCACTAAAATGACAACACGACATACCAAGTTGGTAGGATGCAGCTCAGACAGTGCTGAGAGGAAAACATATAGTTCAGTAAGGTTTCAGGGTACAAGATCAACATTCAAAAACTGATTGCATGTCTATACACTAATAACAAAGAAGTGGAAATCAAGACTGTTAAATGCAACACCATTTAAAGTTGCTCTAAAGATAACAAGAAGATACTTATGAATATATCTAACAAAATATGTACAGGATCTATATAAAATAAAAATTACAAAATGACAAGGAAGGAAATCAAAGACCTAAATACTGAAGAGACATACTCATGGACTGGAACGCTCAACATAGTTAAAAGGTCGATTCTGCCTAAATTGACTGACAGGCTTAACAAAAGTCCTGTCAAACTTTGTAAGGTATTTTGTAGATGCAAACAAACTTATTCTAAAATTTATTAGAAAGAGAAAAGCCTGAGAATAGCCAAATAACTTTGAAAAAGGAGAATAAAATTGGGGAAATCACCCTGCCTGATATTAAGGCTTCCTACAGAGATATAGTAATCAAGACAGTGTGATATAGGCAAAGGGAGAGACACAGAGATCAAATGGAATGGAGTAGAGAGCCCAGGAAAAATGATCCCTACAAATATGCCCAACTGATTTGTCACAAGGAGCAAAAGTAATTCCATGAAGGAGGGACAGCCTTTTCAATTAATGGCGCTGGAGTATTTGCACATCTATAGGCAAAAAAAGAAAAAAGAAATTTGACATAAATTTCATACCTTATACAAAAACTAACGCAAAATGAATCAAGGACTTAAATATAAAACTATAAGACATGTAGAAAAAAAAAATCAAAGGAAAGAGCTTTGGGACCTTAATGATTAGGCAAAGAGTTCCTAGACATACACCAAACACAATATCCATAAAAGGAAAAAATTTGATAAAACTTTGACCTCCTCAAAATTAAAAACTTTCATTCTGTCAAGGGTCAAGTTAAGATAACAGAAAAAAAAATTATACTCTGGGAGAAATTATTTGCAAATCACGTACCTAACAAAGGACTTGTATCTAGAATATATAAACAGCCCTTAAAACTCAACAATTAAAAAAAAAATCTAATTAGAAAATGAGCAAAAGTGGGCCAGGTGCGGTGGCTCATGCCTGTAATCCCAGCACTTTCGGAGGCCGAGGTGGGCTGATCACCTGAGGTCAGGAGTTCAAGACCAGCCTGGCCAACATGGTGAAACCCCATCTCTACTAAAAATACAAAAATTAGCCAGGCGTGGTGGCAGGCGCCTGTAATCCCAGCTACTCGGGAGGCTGAGGCAGGAGAATCACTTGAATCTAGGAGGCGGAGGTTGCAGTGAGCCAAGTTCGTGCCACTGCACTACAGCCTGGAAGACAAGAGCAAGACTTCGTCTCAAAAAAAAAAAAAAAATGAGCAAAAGTGATGAACAGATATTTCACCCGTGAAGATACACAGATGGCAAATAATCATATGAAAAGATCCCCAACATTATTAGGCATCAGAAAAATGCAATCTAAACCACAACTAGATATCACTACACACCTATGAGAATAGCTAAAATAAAAAACAGTGATAACACCAAATGCTGGCAAGGATGTGGAGAAACTGAATCATCCATACATTGCTAATGGGAATATAAAATGGTACAGCCACTCTGGAAAATAGTTTGGCAACTCCTTTAAAAGTAAAAATGAATTTACCATGCAATCCAGCAATTGTAGATAATTGATCATAGAGGAATAAAAACTTGTTTTCACATAGAAACTTGTAAGTGAATGTTCATATAGCAGATCTGGGTTCATAACAGCCCCAAACTGGAAACTCCAAATGTCCTCCAGTGGTTGCCATAGGTTAGGAATGATGGAAGAGGGACTGTGCATGTGGCTACAATGGGGTAGCATGAGGCAGTCCTTTGCTGATGATACAATTAAATATCTTGATTGTGGTGGTGGTTACATGAAGTTGCACATGCAATTGGACAGAATCACACACATACACACACACATACATACATTATAACTACTGGAGTCTGACTAGTTTCTGTTGACTACATCACTGTCAGTTTCCTGGTTTGACTATTGTACTATCGTTATGCATAATGTTAACATTGAAGCGGGGCTAAGTGAAGAGTGTTCAGGATCTTCTTGAATATTTCTTTGCAACCTCCTGTGAATCTAAAAATATTTCAAAATAAAAAGTAAAAAACAAGAGTATATCAACTCCCCCCAAATTCCTTGAGATTTATATTCTAAAACAAGCCTATTTGTTGGATTATGTTGTCAAAGAGACCTTGGTCATAGCCCGTGTTTAGTGGACTGTGGCCGGCTTTCTCACCCACTTCTGCTGGTAACAGAAGTAAGTCACAGCTGAGTTCAAATTCCGACTCTGGCACCTGTTAGCTGTGTGGCTTGGAGAACCCATCTGGAAGGTTCTCATCAGTCCTCCACTTCTCATCTTTCAGGTGGGTGGGGAGGATGAAAGGACATCTTTCAGGCAAGGTCCTCAGCAATGTGCTGGGCACAGGGAAGGCGCCTCACTGGCTGAGGATCTTCAACAATGCCCCTGCCGGGCCTGAGCTGCATGACTTTCCTTTCCATTCCTAAAGCACCTGAGTTAACAGAAACATCTCCAACAGAAGGGCATCCCTCCTTCCCAACTCTAGGAAGACCTATACACTGAAAATACCACGTCCCACATCAGGCCAGACCAAACAAACAAACGTAATTAGAAAAATATTCTTTAAAATATGAACCTGATAACCAGCTAAAAAATTCACACCAGGCCTTCTTCACTAAAGGCTTTAGGTCTGGTCCTCTCTGCCACAGCATCCCATTCAGTCCCCAGTGCACCTGCCACCCACCTAGTGCCCCACCCAGAGTTTTCAGCCCTGGATTGCCACCAAGGTCTCCAGGCAACTTTCAAAACATACTGATATCTGTGCAGGTGGTATAATGGTGAGTGTAGCTGTCTTCCACACCATACTGATATATCTGTATGCAAAGTCCCTGCCTTGTCCAGGAAGCGGTTAAAGTACCAATTTAAAGAAGACCAGCATCACTAGCATCTAATGAGTCTGCAGATCATAACCTCTAGGACAACCTAAAATAATAAATTAACACATACTTAAAGCTAGTGGAAGAGCAATGGGAAATAAAACTGCTTTACTCTTAAAAGGCAAGGAAGTTAGGCTGGGCCATGGTGGCTCACACTGTAATCCCAGCATTTTGGGAGGCAGAGGTGGGCAGATGGCTTGAGCCCAGGAGTTCGAGACAAGCCTGGGCAACATGGCAAAATCTGTCTTTATTATTATTATTACTATTATTATTATTTTTTGAGACGGAGTCTCACTGTCGCCAGGCTGGAGTGCAGTGGCGCGATCTCTGCTCACTGTAACCTCCGCCTCCTGGGTTCAAGCGATTCCCCTGCCTCAGCCTCCTGAGTAGCTGGGACTACAGGCGCCCGCCACCATGCCCAGTTAATTTTGTATTTTTAGTAGAGATGGGGTTTCACCATGTTGGCCAGGATGGTCTCAATCTCCTGACCTCGTGAACTGCCCACCTCTGCATCCCAAAGTGCTGGGATTACAGGCGTGAGCCACCGCGCCCAGCCGAAACCCATCTTTATTATTAAAAAATATATACAATTATAATTTTTTAAAGACAAGGAAATTATCAAAGATAACTAGAATCAGGTCAGAAGGTCTCAGAGGCCAATATGAAGACACTACCACCAGCCACAATGAACCTCAATGAGGATAATGATTGCAGTGGTTTGAAACCTATGACACACGTTCACGCCCCAGGAGTTCACGACGATAGATTAAAATAAATTTTAAAAAACCACCTTTGGAAGGTCATGGGAAACAAATTCATCATCTTCAAAACTGGTAAATGAAGTAGAAGAATCACATGCCACCCGGCCTTTTCTCTCTCAACTGTCCCACTGGGTGACCACAAAATGGATAAAGGGAGGTATCTCTTTAGAGAAGCAACAAGCTGAGAAGTAAAAAGAAAATGATAGAATTAGAGTATCACTTCATTTAAAAATATGCTTAAAAATACTAACGTCCGGGATCTATACCCGAGACTGATTAAATCCAAACCTCCAGGAGTGGAGCCCAGGCACCTGTCCTTTAGAAATGGCAGCTGGAAATCTGCAGTCAGAGTTGAGAAGCGCTGGGTGTCCCTGCAGTTCCCTTCAATGCCCTCACCTGTGACAGGCTTCTCCTTCCATTGGCGCCTCAGTCACCCGCCCGGCCGCTCCCCCGGGATCCTGTTCCTCCACCAGGAGTCCCCTGCAGCTGTCTCTCCTTACCAAAGACACTCCGTCATTCACATCCAGCTCAGAGTCCACTTCCTCCAAGAAGACTCCCTTGATTTTCACAAAGCTGAACTGAGTGGCTTCCCTGGCTTTCCTGAGATAGAACTTGGGCCCCACACAGTTCACCCTCCGTCAGCACGGAGGACTTCTAGTGAATGTCGCAGTGGCTCAGGCACACGACGCACTTTTAGAACCCTCATCACCCTGAAGGCTCCTCATGGCTGCCTGCAGCCAATCCCCACTGACGCCCCAGACCCAAGCAGGCCCTCATCTGCTTTCCATCTCTGTCATTAGGCCCTTTCTAGAAACGTCCTATACATGGAATTGCACCACATAGTCTTTCATGTCTGGCTTCCGTCAGTCAGCACACTGTTTCTGAGTGAACTAGGTATTTTTAAGCGTATATGGGGATTTGGTATTTAAAGGAATCCTGGATGAACTTAACAGTAAGCAAATGAATCACTTCCCGGTGTGACTCATCATCTCCCTGGGTCTTCACTGTGTAAGAATGATGGGTGTCGGCTAGGTGCGGTGGCTCACGCCTGTAATCCCAGCACTCTGGGAGGCTGAGGCAGGTGAATCACCTGAGGTCGGGAGTTCGAGACCAGCCTGACCAACATGGAGAAACCCTGTCTCTACTAAAAATACAAAATTAGCCAGGCATGGTGGTGCACGCCTGTAATCCCAGCTACTCGGGAGGCTGAGGCAGGAGAATCATTTGAACCTGGGAGGCGGAGGTTGCGGCGAGCCGAGATCACACCACTGCACTCCAGCCTGGGTGACAGTGTGACACTCCGTCTCAAAAAAAAAAAAAAAAAGAATGATGGGTGCATCCTGGTTCCTCTCCCAGGGGTGGTCTGAATCCTGGTCCACATGATAGGTTGGCTCTGACGTGGGCAAAGCTTCTCATTCCATTTTCATCCATTTATTCCACAAACCCTTCCCATACCTGAAGCCTCAGTTCCTAAAGGGGAACCTAGGAGGGTGTGAGAGTCCATCTGCCCCCCGCAGACCACCAGCATTATGTGTGACCACCCACCAGCGAGGGTTTCTAAGGTAGACAGATGTCATATGATTATGATTATGAGAATTCAAAGTGCTCTTTTTTTTTTTTTTGAGACAAGGTCTTGCTTTATCACCCAGACTGGAATACAGTGGCATGATCATAGCTTACTGCAGCCTCAACCTCTCAGGCTCAGGCAATCCTCCTGCCTCAGCCTCTAAGTAGCTGGGACTACAGGCATCCACCACCACACCCAGCTAATTTTAATATATTTTTTGTGGAGACAGGGGTCTTGCTGTGTTGCTCAGGCTGGTTTTGAACTCCTGGCCTCAAGCAGTACTCCTGCCTCTGCTTCCTGAACTGCTGGGATTACAGGCACGAGCCACTTCGCCCAGTCTCAAAGTGTCTTTTTTTTTTTTTTTTTTTTGAAACAAGGTCTCACTCTGTCACCTGGGCTGACTGAAGTGCAGTGGTGCAATCTCAGCTCACTGTAACCTCCGCCTCCTGGGCTCAAGCAATCCTCCCACCTCAGCCTCCCAAGTAGCTGGGACCACAGGCAACTGCCACCAGGCCCAGCTAATTGTTTGTATTTTTAGTAGAGATGGCGTTTCACCATGTTGCCCAGGCTGCTCTCAAATTCCTGGGTTCAAGTGATCCACCTGCCTCGGCCTCCCGAAGTGCTGGGATTACAGGCTCAAGCTCCCACACCCAGCCTCAAAGTGTTGTTAACTGAAGCTTGTCCTCATGAATTTTTCCAGTTTCCGTAGAGTGTCAGTTTCACAAGGGCAGGTGCTGCCTAGTTCTCTGCTATAGGCCCCATGCTCCCTGAACTTCGGGAGCAGTCCATGAAGATTGCTTAAAAACTGGAACTGCTGACACTGAACAATAGCACACAGGCACTGTATTAGTTTTCTAGGAATGCTATCACAAAGTACCACAGGCTAGGGGACTTAACCAACAGAAATGTATTTTCTTCCAGTTCTGGCGACTGGAAGTCGAGATTATGGTGTCAGCAGGGCTGGTTTCTCAGGAGGCCTCGCTCCTTGGCTCACATACGGCTGTCTTCCGCCATGTATGTACACGGCCATCCGTCTGTGCCTGTCTGTGTCTGAATCTCTTCTTACAAGAACATCAGTCAGATTGGATTAAGCTACCTTGATGATATCATTTTAACTCAGTTACCTCTTCAAAGACCCTCTCTCCAAATACAGTCACATTCTGAGGTCCTGGGGGTGAAGATTTCAACACATGAATTTTCAGGGATCACAATTCTCTCCGTTTTTACATATATTTGAATGCGGAGGCTCATGCCTGTAATCCCAGCACTTTGGGAGGCCGAGGCAGGTGGATCATGAGGTCAAGAGATCAAGACCGTCCTGGCCAACATGGTGAAACCCCGTCTCCACTAAAAATACAAAAATTAGCTGGGCATGGCGGCATGCACCTGCAGTCCCAGCTACTCGGGAGACTGAGGCAGGAGAATAGCTTTAACCCAGGAGGTGGAGGTTGCAGTGAACCAAGGTCGCACCACTGCACTCCAGCCTGGCGACAGAGGGAGATTCTGTATCAAAAAGAAGAGAAGAGAACAGAAGAGAAGAGAAGAGCCCTATAGAAGAAATAAACTTAAAATGAAGAGATTTGTTTAATGAATAGTTACTGAACCACCAAAGCAGTACTAAAAACAAGACTATAGCCAAGTAAGGAAAACTTGGAAATTTTCTGATATTAAAAAGGCATTTCTGCAGTCAAAAAAAAAAAAGTTGGGAATAATGCTTAAAAACAACGACCCTCCTGCTTTGGAAGTATAATGAGGTCCACAGAGTCTGAAGTTGTCTCCTGAAATGTAAACAGCTCTGGATTTGATAAGCACTGGAAAACACAGAGGCTGTTAAAGCCAGGCAGAGATGCAGGGTTCATGAGTTCTCATTACCTCCCTGCCCCAGTGGGGACAGGCCTCAGACACGCACAAGCCAGAGCTCTGTGCCGCTGACAAAATGAAGCCATTACCAGCTGATAATGAACTCTTCAGCAAGAGATTTACCTACAGAAAAGTTCAGCCCCTTCGCCAAATCTCGAAACTGCTGGAGATACTAAGAAGCATGCAGAATTATCCCAAAACGCTACACTTTCATCTTCACCTATCTGTGCACTTAAAATACTTTTCAGGTTCCTCCTGGATCAGTGAGGACAGGCTAGGCTGTGCTGTGACAACAAACAGCTCCCACGCCACAGGGCCTGGGCCCAGTAATGGTTTCTGTCTTGCTCACTCAAAGTCCACTGTGAGTCCAAAGCAAATAACAGCCACGTTGCTATTATGGCCCCTCCTCCTAGGCATGTGCTTCTAGGACCGATGTGACTGGAGAAAGGACAGCATAGAAAGTCCCTTCCAGCTTCTACCCACAAGTCACTTCTGCTTACATGTCATTGGCTGAAGCAAGGCACATGGTCTTATCTAACTTTGAGAAAGCAGAGAGTGCAATCCTCTCATGTTCCCAGGAGCATCGAAAATACTACTGGGCAGTGCAAGTGCTGGCCACTTCTGCAAAGACACCACAGCAAGGGACACGTCCTCCAAATGCTCCCCCGCCTGTCTCGGCTCCTCTGACTTCAACCCAGTCGCAGCAGGACACAGTCATAGGCCAAATGTGGTGGGCTTGGTGAAGTACAGGCCACACATCAAACCAGATGGTGCTCCCTTCTGCCTTGGGGATGGCACCCTGGACATATTGTGCTCCCACAGAAGCCACCAAAGTAGCATGGGGGAGGCCTGATGTGCAGGTGCAAGAGACAGCGTTCCCATCACCCCGAACCTGATGCACAGCACCACCCGTCGCCCTCTCCTACAGCCCTCGGCACGCGCCTCCCCACCACAGAGCCCCTGCTCACCAGGCCACAGTGCTCCCACACAGGAGAGGTGCTCCACACCATCGTGCATCAGGAAAACGCCATCCAAACCACAGAGAGCTGCTACCCCACTCCCATCAGGGTGGCCACGATTGAAAAACCAGAAAATAACAAGTGTTGGTGAGGATGTGGAGAAAACTGGAACCCTTGTACACGGTGGGTAGGAATGTAAAATGGTGTGCAGCCCCTTTGGAAAATGCTATCCTTAAAACATTAAAAATAGAATCACCATATGATCTAGGAATGACTCCACTTCTGGGGGTATGCCCGAAGGAAGTGAAAACAAGAGCTCAGGCCGGGCGCAGTAGCTCACGCCTGTAATCAATCCCAGCACTTTGGGAGGCCGAGGCGGGCGGATCACGAGGTCAGGAGATTGAGACCATCGTGGCTAACACAGTGAAACCCCGTCTCTACTAAAAATACTTAAAAAAATTAGCCAGGCACGGTGGCGGGCGCCTGTAGTCCCAGCTACTCGGGAGGCTGAGGCAGGAGAATGGCGTGAACCCGGGAGGCGGAGCTTGCAGTGAGCTGAGATTGCACCACTGCACTCCAGCCTGGGTGACAGAACGAGACTCCATCTCAAAAGAAAAAGAAAAAAAAAGAAAAAGAAAACAAGAGCTCAAAGAGATTGTACCCCCATGTTCACAGCAGCATGATTCACAACAGCCAAGAGGTAAAAGCAACCCAAGCATCCTTCACCAGATGAACGATCAACAAAATGTGGTCTATTCATACAAGGAAGTATTCCTCGACCTTAACAGACAAGGAGACTGTGACACGTGCTACACTACGACGTGTGTGCACCGTGAGGACGTTGAGAGTGAAATATGCCAGTCACAAAATATAAATCCTATACAATTGCTCTCATACGAGGCACCTGAAGTCGTCAAAATCATAGACAGAAAGTACAATGGTGGGTGCCAGGGGGTGAGGGGAGGAGGAATGGGAGTTAAGTGTTTAATGGGGACAGAGTTTCAGTTTTGCAGGGTGAGGAGAGCTCTGGAGGTGGATGGGGTGATGGTTGCACAACCGTGTAAATGTACTTAATGCGACTGAGCTCTACACTTAAACATGGTTCCAGAAGGTGAATCCTATGTTATGTGTATTTTACACAATTTTTTAAATAAAATAGTATTTAATTTTAAAAAGTTTATAGTAGCTTCCATGACCCACTGGATAAAGTCCAAATATCTAAACGTGGGACTGAAAGCCTCCAAAACCCGGCTGTCGCCTGCTCCATTCTGACACTGGCTATTCCCTGACTGCCTCTGCATCTGTCCAGCCTCCACGCCTTTCCTCATGCAGTTCCTCCTGCTTGGGACCCCACCCCATCTGTTTTCCCTCCTTGCATCTCAATCCAGCCCACCCATGGGGTCCATGGCACTCGTGCTTTGTAAAACACCATGGTGTACAACTGCATATGCCAGCCCCTGCCTGCCCTAGAGACAGCAAGCCCCAGAGGGCTGGGAGGGCTAGGAGGGCTCTGCCCCACCCTTCTGTTACCACAGCACATAGCAGGCTGCCCTGCACATGGTAACCAACCACATTCTCTACTGCTGAGGATGACCAGCTGGATGATAAAAACTAGAAACCACAGACCGGAGTCCTCAGGCCAGAGCTGGACCGGATGTGATGTGCATACAAACCCCCAGTCTCGTTAACATGCAGGTTCCAAGTCAGCAGAGCCAGGGTGGGGCCTGAGACTGTGCATTTCTCACAGCTCCTCCATGGTTGCTGAGCTACGGGTCCACGGCCCTGCCTGCAGGAGCAAGCAACCGAGGGCCAGAAGCAACACCTACCTCCAAGCACAAGGTTCTGCCCCAACACACCCAGTGCAATGGAACTGTGCTCCCTGGCCCAAGGCCTTGGCCCGACCCTCAGGGAACCCACCAAGGCCCCCCATGCCTCCCTAGGCACCTGGGAGGAGCTTTGATGAACACCCTTTCTAATGCAAATCACTCATATGTTCCTGCAGATGGAACCAGCTTTTGTGTTTAACTTCATTGTTCTCTACAGTTAAATAAATGACTATAAAACTGGCTTCTTAGACCCTCTTAATTACTCAGAAGAAATCCCACAAAAGATGCATTTCCCTGAACAAAGCAGGTGAGCAACTACAATAACATTTCTTGAACAGAGCTGATGTTCCTCCTGGGGTAATTTAAATAAGCTACAATGGTACAATCATTAAAATTGATTACACAAGCCTAAAAAAGCCACAGGATGGGAATCAGAGGACAGGGTTCCAGTACTGGCTGTTTGGTGAATTCACTGGTATGACCTTAGCAAGACCCTTAGCTCTTTGCAGCTCAGGTTTCTCCTCCAGAACAGGAAGTACGGTTGAGAAAGCTGTGGCTTACAGACTGCTGGGGACCCACAGGCAGATCGCCAAGTGAGTTTATGGGGCAATGAAACCGAAGACCACACAAAACGCATCACCTCTAATGAGAGTAAGAAACTGTCTCCTGAAACTTCTGCTTGAGGTCTATAATGTAGAGGTATCCTAGGTGGTTAAGTAAAATGTATTTTTTACGGGGTTGAAAATCAAACTGTCTGACAAAGTCCTATAATTCTAGGCTCTGTTCACTGCAACAAATACAGATGCGCACAGCGTCGGAAAGGCCAGGGGACTGGGTGAACCGTGAGCAATGGGGCTGGGGGTGGGCCGGCTATGCCTCTGGCCCTGCTCTCTGCATAGGAAACCAACCCTACCAGTCGGTGTCCACATGCACATGGCCCTGAGGGCCAGAGTGAGGGACCCTCCTGGACAGAAATCCACAGAGCACACACATGGTCACCAAGCAGTCAGGTGTTAGAAAGGTTCCCAGGTTTGGAGGATGCCAAAGCAGATGGGGAAAGAAATTCCCTGATTGTCCTCCAGGTGTGCCCAGGACTAGCAGGAGGCAGGTGAGAGGCCAGAGTGCAGCATGGCAGGAGGCCCTCACTCCTAGATGTCAACTGTGAATTTGCTGCAGCCTGACCGTGAGCGCCGTCTTCAAGAAGATGTCAGGACTGTGAGCCCAGGGCTGAAGAAGGCAGACCAAGCCCCCAACCCCCACAGGCTTCCTGTCTGGAGTGGCACAGACAACAATAAACAAATAAGCTACAGAATTAATGTGGGGGTGCCTGTGCATGGTGGGGGGTTACCAGCTCAGGGATGTGGGCCAGTACCAAAGTCCGCAGAAGCCACCTGCAGAAGGGAACGTTGGAACCAACACGAAGAAGGTGATAAAGTTATTAGCCAGGCAGGATTTTGCAGGATAGAGTTTTAAGAAATAAAGTCAGTTGAGGAGGGGCTTCCAGCATTTACTCTTAATGGGATGGCCAGGGAACGGAGAGCTCTGGTCGGAGGAGCATTCTCATTTAAGTTTGTATGCAATAAACCAGCTGCTGAGCAGACACAGACTTGGGTGGGAAGGTATGCAGTCAGTGTGGAAACAGGAACCATCAGGAAACTGGCACAGCAATCTAGCAAGGAGATGACAGGCTCTCATCGCACGGCAGCGGTGCCGGTGTGACCATGGGCAGCTTACGGAACAGATTCCATGTGGGGTTTAAGAGAGACAGGAGTCAAGGTTGGCTCCAAGTCTATGGTCTAGGTGTCCGGAAGCATGGAGCTGCCATTTACTGAGATGTGGAGATTGGGGTTGAGATGGCCAGGGACAGCTTGGTGCCTGTTGTGTGGGGACGTCAATTAGAACTCTAAGGGAAAGCGCTGGGTGAGCAACAGGGTGTACAGTCTGGAGGTCAGAAGAGAAATCAGAGCTAAAAGATAAATGTGAGCTCCTTGTGCCACAAGTCGGAATGAGGTCAACCATGGTGGGAGTGTGGACCGAGCGGAGAAGAGGGGCATGGACTGACCGCAGGGACACTCTGACACTCACGGGTCAGTAAGGGGACTGAGCAAAGTCCAGTGAAGCAGGAAGAAAATCCCAAGCACAGAGTGCCCCACAAGCCAAGGGAAGAAGGTGTTTCCTAGAGGGGACGACTGTGGCAAACACTGCTGGTCAGTCACATGGGAAGGGACCGAGAGCTGACCACTGGATCTGGAGACTTGGAGTCTTACAGATCTTGATCTCTAAGTGATGGGGTCAAAAGTGTCAGGAGAGGTGTCTGTGGAAGGGGCAAAAGTCCGACTGGAGCGGGTATAAGAGAGAACGGGAAGGGAGGAAATGGAGAAAGCCACTGCAGACAACTCTTTCCAGAAGTTCTACAGCAAAACAAAGCACAGAAATAGGCCAGCAGCAGGGGGTGGGGCGGGGGGAGTGGGAGCAAGAGACTTCTGTTCTCTTTCCTATGATGGGAGCGGAAGGCAGCTGTTTCAATGCTGAGTGTGAAGGCCAAGATCCCATGGACCACAGGCAATGCTGCTGGAGGGCAGCGTGAAGCTGAGAGGCAGCATCTGGTGCTAAAATAAGGAGGGGCTGACTTTTGAGCCAACTATACATTATTTCCAACTCGGGAGGAGAGGAGGATTCTGCACAAACGCTGGTAGGGAGTGATGAGGGGGTGGGAGTCTCAACCAGCCATATGGGTCCTCATTTCATCAAAACTCCTGGAGCCTGCAAAACCCAGATGGAGACTGGGATTCCAGGCTAAGGGAGACACCAGGACTTCCAGGTCCCAGGGAAGCAACAGGGTCACAGAGTAACCAACAAGACCCGCCTGTTCTTCCTTTTCCTGATGAATCTTGACATTTATGTCATACAAAGAGCATGGACTAGGGCTCTGAAGGTACAAATGTGAGTCGATCTCCATTAGCTGCTTGAAATTAGCAAAAATCACATCATTGCTCTACATTATCAGTTTCTCTATCTATACAATGGAGATAGTGACTCTTGCTTTTCTCAGGATTGCTAAGAAGATAAATACATGTAAAATGTCTCAGTTAATGAAAATTCAAGTTGTAGGAACACAGTAAGGTATCATTTCTACAAAGTTTGAAAATATCATAACAATGGGATATATCATTTAGGCATACATGCAGTGTAAAAATAAAACATGCCTCCAAAAAACAAACAGTAAATTCAATTTACTGGGTTTCACAGGGGTGGCTGGGGAGGCATGCTCATGGAAGGCTGAATCATATTTGTACATGTCTTAAACTGGATAGCAGGTACCCCAGATACTCCTTTTTTCTTAAACAGAGTCTTGGTCTGTTAGCCAGGATGGAATGCAGTGGTATAATCATGGCTCACTGCAGCCTCAACTTCCCAGGCTCAAGTGATCCTCTTGCCTCTGCCTCCCACGGAGGTGGGACCACTGGTGCGCGTCACCACACCTGGCTTTTTTTTTTAATTTTTTTGTAGAGACAAGGTCACTCTATGCTACCCAGACTGTTCTTGAACTCCTGGGCTCAAGCAATCCTCCTGCCTCAGGCTCTCAAAGTCATTCCTCTTATTATTCTCTGTATTTGTGTATACTTGGAAAATATTCTTTAAGCCTTCCAAGTCTTTTTTGTTGTTGCTGCTCCTGTCTACACAGTAAGTTGTCCAAGTTTTCCTTTCTACTATGTGACACGTGGTCATGGTTCCCATGAGTGATCAGAAGGCTAGGTCCAGGGCTTCGCCGCCAGATGGGGTCGTGCATTCAAAAAAAAGCTATGGGACACAAAAATTAGCCAGGCGTGGTGGTGCATGCCTATAATCCCAGCTACTCAGGAGGCTGAGGCAAGAGAATCCCTTGAACCCATGAGGTGGAGATTACAGTGAGACAAGATTGTGCCATTCACTCCAGCTTGAGCAACAGAGGGAGACTCTGTCTTAAAAAAAAAAAAAAAAAAAAAAAAAAGGCTGAGTGCAGTGGGCTCACGCCTGTAATCCCAGCACTTTGGGAGGCCAAGGCGGATGGATCATGAGGTCAAGAGATCAAGACCATCCTGGCCAACATGGTGAAACTCTGTCTACTAAAAGTACAAAAATTAGCTGGGTGTGGTGGCACACGCCTGTAGTCCCAGCTACTAGGGAGGCTGAGGCGGGAAAGTTGCTTGAATTTGGGAGGCGGAGGTTGCAGTGAGTGGAGATCGTGCCACTGCACTCCAGCCTGGCAACAGAGCAAGGCTTTGTCTCAAAAAATAAAAAAATAAAAAAAAACTATGGGAGATACATATGTATACACAGATTAGCATACATGCATATTTCCTAGCTCTGTCTGCTGAGAGGGCCTGGAAGCAATGTACCTCGGTGACAAGAAGAACCCTGTCTCCAGACCTTGGTTTCTAGATACCATTCTTCAATAAAATAAGGCAGGGATCCTTGCAGAAATAGCTGAGTCCAGGACTGGGTAGGAAAAATTCAAGATGAGCCTGAGTATCTTGTGCCAGAAAGAGGTACAGTTTTCTTTGGGTATCTGTAAGGGATTGGTTATCTAGGCCCCCCTGTAGATACCATAATCCTCAATGCTCAAGTCCCTTCTATAAAATGGTGTAGAATCTGCATATAACCTATGCACATTCTTCAATATATTTTAAATCCTTTCTAGATTATTTATAATACCTAGTACAATGTAAATGCTATATAAATCGTTGTTATACTGTATTGTTTAAGGAATGATGACAAGACAAAAAGTCTGTTCAGTAGAGATGCAACCATCTATTTTTCTCCCAGATATTTCCCATCTAAGGTTGGTTGAATCCACAGATGCAGAACTCACGGATATGGCCAACTGACTGTACTCAAAAAAACAAAAAGGTAGGGATCTCTCTAAGGGACATGGGATGCCACCTGAAAGAGCTTCATATAGTCAAAGCTGGGACAGTTTGAGCAATAAAATAAATAACACAGCACTGGATTATAAAGCAAGGTATAAATTATATATCCACAAATCCATATTGATGTAAATGTTTGAATAAATAAATGGGGGAGAATAGATAAGTCCCCCATACAGAAATATTCCAAATAATTTATACAGATATCCCCACCCCCCATGAAGGAGTGGAGTGTAACTCCACATTCCTTAAGCATGGGCTCTGCACATCGACCTCCTTCCAGGGAGGACTATGGAAAGAAGGTGGGGTAATCTTTTTTTGCTTTCTTTTTTTTTTTTTGAGACAGAATCTCACTCTGTCGCCTAGGGTGGAGTGCAGTGGCGTGATCTCAGCTCACTGCAAGCTCTGCCTCCTGGGTTCACGCCATTCTCCTGCCTCAGTCTCCCAAGTAGCTGGGACTACAGGTGCCCACCACCACGCCTGGCTAATTTTTTGTATTTTTAATAGAGACGGGGTTTCACCATGTTAGCCAAGATGGTCTCGATCTCCTGACCTCATGATCCACCCACTCGGCCTCCCAAAGTGCTGGGATTACAGGCATGAGCCACCGCACCCCGCTGAAGGTGGGGTAATCTTACAGTGAGCAACTGGCACATGCTACCTCAGCCAGCTGATCGGGGTCAACATCGATAGTTATGAGTCATATTGATATCATGCAACATTGATGTATGTTGAAAATGGTGCTTCGCTTCTGTGGTTTTCCTCCCCCAAACCCATAACTCCAGTCTAACCATGAGAAGAACAGCAGATAAACCCAAATCGAAGGATATTCACAAAGACCTGTACTCTTGAAAACTATCAAGGTCATTAAAAACAAGGAAAGCTGAAAAACTGTCACAGACCAGAGGAGGCTAAGGAGACGCAAGGACTATAGGTAACGTAGTGGCCTGGACAGGCTCCTGGGACAGAAAAAAAACATTAAGCAAAAACTAAGGAAATTGGAATAAACTGCAGAGTTTAGTTCATAGCAATGGACCCACGTTGGTTCCTCAGTTATGCCAAATGCACCGTGTGATGTAAGATGTTAACGAGAGAGAAGACTGGAGGAAGCAAGCATGGGAATTCTCTGCAGTCTTTGCAACTTTTTTATAACTTTAAAGCTGTTCTAGAATTAAAAGTTTACTAACAACAACAAGAGGCCGGGTGTGGTAACTCACGCCTGAAATCCCAGCACTTTGGGAGGTGGAGGCATGAGGATCACTTGAGCCCAGGAGTTCGAGAACAGTCTGGGCAATACAGTGAGACCCCGTTTCTACAAAACATTTAAAAATTAGCCAGGCATGGTGGTGCTCACCTGAAGTCCCATCTAATTGGGAGGCTGAGGTGGGAGGATCGCTTGAGCCTGGGAGGCAGAGGCTGCAGTGAGCTGAAATCGTGCCACTGCACTCCAGCCTGGGTGACAGAGTGAGACCCTGTCTCAAAAAAACAACAGAAGCAATGGAATAGGCACGGCTCCCAGGAGGGCAGGCACCTCTCCTCCGTGATGCGTAGGAACTGGCTGGTTAACGCATCCATCCATGCACCCTGGAAAGTGCTCTTCCGCAGATACCCCAGGGGCTTCTGCCCGGCCCTGACTTGCTGCCTCCACTGAATCTTGGTCTTCTGGAAGCTCTGCTCCTTGCAAGTATTCCTCTCCCTGATGCACACATGAATACACACCTGCCCAAGTCACTCTCTGGGTGGCTTGCTTTTCGGAAGGTTTCAGTGGCACAGCAGTCTGTATCACAGCAATGCAAACAACGGCACATGAACGGACAACCTGTCCGGGTGATTGATTCCTTTACCACCCTGCCATGACGCTCAGCCAGCCTTGCTCTCCTCCCTTCTCGGTGTGTTCTCCTCACTTGAACAAGAAACAAAACAACTAAAAGCGAAGCCAAACCTCTGCCATTTCTTACACAGAGCCCCTGAACCCCGTGGTGTTTCCTCGAGCTGGACTTGCTGGCTGCCCCACCCCCCGCTTTACAACTCTGCAGCCTTGGACGCCCACCCCTGCCTATCCTCACCAACCCCCCAGCCTCTCACTCAGCAACATTTACTGAGCAGCTGCTCTGTGCCTGGCCTGGGACATTCAAGATATTCCACCATGTGGCTCATTCCCAAACAACTGCTTCCTGCCCCTATTTGCAGTGAGCACTAGCAAAGATGCCGCCGCAAGGCCCTAAAAACCACAACCGCAGGGCACAGACTGTATCAGCGTTTACAGTATCTGCCTATAATAAAACAACAGGTACAGTAAGACCACAAAACACTGACACAGACAGAACACGACAGAAGAAAGCGAAAAGAAATTGCTGTTAAATATTCCAGGGCGTAGCCGTAAGCAAAGGCTGTGGCTCTGACAGCCAGTGAAGCTGCGGGGACAAAACTGGACACACCAGGACTCTCCAACAGGCGTGTCCCCATCACCTACCAAACTCTGAAGTTACACAGGGCAGAGAGCTAACATGTCAGTCCAAAAATCTCTACGAAAGGGGACTTTACCTCAGTCTCAAGCTCCCAGAGTTTTAATTTTTTTTTTTTTCCAAAAATAATCAGAACTCACCAGTGGCCAAAGGGAAGAAGGATATGGGGTGGAAGGAGGTGGCCATTATGGCAAAGAAAGGAAAAGGAAAATTTCTGTCTTGCAAGAAAGAAAGCGCCGTGGCCTCAGCCCAAAGGGCCCCTCTTAGGAGCTGGTGACCCAGCAAACCCTGAACCTCTGTGAGCCTCTGATTCCTTCTCTACATGAACTAACCCCTGTGGGGATGCTCTGAACATCTAATGAAACCACAGATGCAAATGCCCCCTGAAAACAGTAGACTCTATACATGGGAATAACCACATCATCACCTCTCTGGATGGTGCAAGGACCCAGAAGTCCATGGCCCTGGGGTGGAGAACTGGCTCCCTAACACCCTGCAAGGCCAACCTAGAGCCACGACTTGGCTCTGAGTCTCCTAACACGAGGGATTGTTTGTTAGTGCTCCTTGAAAAGCTGCTTTATTTATAAATAAGTTGCCTGACAGCAAATCTTGAAGCAGAGACATTAGTCAGTTTTGAAAATTTCCACTTCAAACATTAGCAATTTAGAGGAAAAACCCATAAATGAGGTAGTATGTAGTCCTGGTACTGAGTAAAAAGTCAATCGTTCACTCCCAGTGAGATTTACAAGGTGGTTTGAGTCTCTAGAGGCGCTTTGCTGAGGCCTCCTGATTTTAAGGCTTAGTTCTGTGATGACCCAGGCAAGGAGCTCTGGTTCCCAGGAGGCTGTGGGGCTGCCTCTCCATTCTAGATGATGGGCCTGGGCTACGGGCCTCTCATGTCACAGATTCCAGTGGTGGAGCCGCTCCAAAGATAGGAAGAAGCCTGCAGAAGCCAGGCCTGAGCACAGCCACCTCATCCCCTAGCCTGAGAGGCAGCTCAAGGAACACAGCACTCATGACAGGACAGGTCAGGCCAGGACAGGTGATGGCTCCCTGATGGCTCTGGCTCCAAAAGAAGCCGAGAGAACGCACAGCCTCTCAAGGATACTCCAGCCTCTGTCCACCTGCACACACACCAGGCCACGCCCACGAGGACGGCCAGTCAGCATGCAGCCAATACACCCACAGAGGGATGGGGAGCAGCCCTCAGTGCCAGCTCCAACAGGCCCACTGCAGGTCCTGTCACTGCACCCAAGGAGCTGCCTTCCATTTCACCTGACATTTCCACTAAGGGCCCAGCGTTTATCATTCCAGAAGAGCAGCAGGCAGAACCTTCACCTCCCAAGAGCTGCAAGTGCGCTGTGGCAGGAAAAGAAGATCTGGCGTCTGAAGTCAGCTCCTGCTCTCCAGGAAAAGAGGGACGATGACATAGGACTTGAGCAAAATGAGAGCCCCGTGATGGGAGAGAACAACTGATCAATCTTGCTGCAATGGAAAGGCTTGGTCCCTGAGTCTCTGTGTTAGCTTCCTATGGCTGCTGTGACAAGTCACCATAAATCTAGTGACTTCAGACAACACCAACTTGCTCTCTTACAGTTCTATAGTTCAGAAATCCCACAGAGGGCTGAGTGCAGTGGCTCACGCCTATAATCCCAGCACTTGGCGAGGCTGAGGCAGGTGGATCCCTTGAGCCCAGGAGTTCAAGAACAGCCTAGGCAATATAGCAAGACCTTATCTTTACAAAAAAATGCAAAAATTAGCCAGACATGGTGGCATGTGCCTGTATCCCAGCTACATGGGTGGTTGAGGCACGAAAATGGCTTGAACCTAAGAGGTGGAGGTTGCAGTGAGCTGAGATGGCGCCACTGCACTCCAGCCTGGATGACAGAGCAAGATCCTGTCTCAAAAAAAAGAAAAGAAAAGAAAGAAAATAAAAAGAAAGGAATCCCACGCAGGTCTCCTTGGGCTAAGGTCATGGTGTCGACTGGCCTGGTTCTTTACGGAGGCTCTAGGCAAGAATCTGTTTCCTTGCCTTTTCTGGCTTCTAGAAGCCACCTGCATTCCTTGGCTTGCAGCCGCTTCCTCCATCTTCAAAGTGCATCACTTCAATCTCCACTTCCATCGTCACAGCACCTTCTCCTCTGACAATTAACTCCTCCAGCTTCCTTCTTATAAGGGTCACCATGATTATAAGGGCCCACCTGAATAATCCAGAATAATCTCTCCATCTCAAGATCCATAACTTAATCAGATCTGCAAAGTCCTTTCTGTCACATAAAGTAACAGATTTACAGGCGCCACAGCTAGGGTGTGGATATCTCTGAAGACCATTTTCCTGTCTACCACAGTCTCTGAATGACAAACGCTCTTTAAATTGGAATCCTATCTGCAACAAAATCAAGATCTAAATTAAGATTTTGAAACTCATTAGGGAGAGACACATGCATGAAGAATGCAACTGGGCCGCCCACATTTGCATAACAGTAATAGGCTTGTTATCCACTGCTTCAACCCGTCACACCCAGTGTGGGCACAAACACCAAACAGCCTTATGAGGCGGAACCCTCATACACTGTCGGCCCAGAGTCCTCCTCCTCATCACGACTCTATCTAAGACGGCTGTAAACACAGGATCTCCTCTGTGGAGAGTGTGTTTTCCCTCCATCAATCTTCCTGGGAACAGCAACAAAATGTAAGGAGCGGCACCGCCTGTAATCCCAGCACTTTGGGAGGCCGAGGTAGGCTGATCACCTGAGGTCAGGAGTTACCAGCCTGGCTAACATGTTAAAACCCTGTCTCTACTAAAAATACAAAAATTAGCCAGGCGGGGGGCAGGCGCCTGTAATCCCAGTTACTCAGGAGGCTGAGGCAGGAGAATCGCTTGAACTTGGGAGGCCGAGGTTGCAGTGAACCAAGATTGGCCACTGCACTCTAGCCTGGGCAACAGAGCAAGACTCCATCTCAAAAAAAAAAAAAAAATCAATGAGCGGGGATCCTGATTTTCAGATGTCTAGCCACCAATAACCCTAAACACACAAAACTGCACTTCTCCCTTTTTTGTAACGTGAAATTTTCATAACAAACCCCCAAATCCTGAGTGCTGACAAAACCATCCCAACGACATCACCCAGAGTGGTTATTTCCTGCGCCTTGGACAGCTGCGAGAATCAATGTGATTTCAAACACGAACAACTGTGAGTGGCCAAGGTCACCCTGAGATGTCCTGAGTTTTGACTTACATTGCTTCTGACTTTCACTTTTTAATGGTCGGCTGAATACTTAGGCTCTACCAGTCTCCTTCCCTCTGGTCGTCCCCGCGCCAAACAGAAACCTTGTTTTTCACAGAGTCCTGACAGTGACGCCGCGGCTGGCTGTGAGTTGCCAGGTGGATCTCCGCATGCTCTGCTGCACCTCCTGTGTGGCTGTGGTGTGCTGGGAAGAAGCATCAGGCTCCCCATGAACAAGGAAGGCCCAGCTCTTCAGGGCAAAGTTCAAATGAAGGAGGAAGCTCACTGCCTCCCTAGGCAAAGCGGGGGCAAGGCCTCTGCCAGCCCAGGACCCTCAGGTTCCCACCTTCTAGCAGCTTCCACTCCACCTGCTCTTCCAGGTGCCACCAGACTCCAGAACCCACGTGGGGCAAGCAGCATGGCGGGGCTGCAGTGCTGCCCGGACCTTTCTGCAGGGCTTCATCCCAAACCACAAAGGAGCATCGGGCAACCACATTTCATGTTCTTTTCCAGTGTCTCTTTTTCACACTGAAGTCTGAAGTGGAGGCTTCCTCCTGCCCCTCTCTGCACGTATCTCTGCACAGTACAGCTGTTCCATTCATTTCTCAACATCGCCTTGGTTCCTTCGGCACGCCGAGCAGCACACCAGGTTATAAAAGGCACAGGTTCTCCTGCTCACCAGGAACTCACACCTTAGGGGACATCGACTCTAAGAAACAGATGGGCTTGAGGGCATGTGGCCAGTATTGCGAGGAGCGAGTCCGCAGGGTGGTCCAGACCCAGCCTGGGAAGGTGTCCTGCGGAAGGGCGGAAGTAGATGCCATGTGCAGAGGAAAAACGAGTGAGGCGGGTGATGGAGACCCAGGAGGCATCCCAGGCAGAGGGTACCGGATGGACAGTGACACGGAGGTAAATCCAAGGGCCGGAGCAATTTTCTGGGGTGACTGAGCGTACAAAATAGAGGATGGCAAGAGGCAGGTTGGCAGGTGATCTAGGCTCCTGCACACCTTTCTGCATGGCTTAATCCCAAACCGCGAAAGAGCTCTGGGTGACCGCAATTCATGTTCTTTTCCAATGTCTCTTATCTGATGTCTCTTTCGGAAGAGACACAATTTGATCCTGAAAGCAGTCGCAGCCATCAGCAATACTCAGTCACATGTGCTGCTGGAAAAGATCACTTGGCTGCAGAGTGGAGAGTGGGCCAGGGTGAAGAGTAGGCCAGGGTGGAGAGTGGGCCAGAGGTGGCAGGATGCAAGGTTTAGGGCAGGAGGCTGTTCAAACGTCCAGCAGACACAGTAGGGAGTTGGGGAGCATGGGGGCCACGGCAGGGCACTGTGTAGCGGCCACCCCAGCCTCCCCAAGCAGGACAAAGGGGGCCCTCTGGGATCCATAAGAGCCTGTGGGCACACCATGTAGGGGCGGTGTCTGGTTGGCCCATGGGCCTTTGGGTCTGGAATGGGTGGAGCCCAGGGTGCAGCCACAGCCCAAGGAGGGGCCAGGGCTGGAGGAGCCAGGGCTGGAGGAGCCAGGGCTGGAGGAGCCGGGGCCATCGATGAGCGTCCTGGGGAGAAGGGCCCATGATTCCTGATGGAGGAGGCCCAGAACACTGTAGGCATCATGTACTCAGTGCTGAGTGAAAAGCTTCCCGCCACTCAGAATGGTCACGCTCGGGATGGCTGAGACATCTGCAACTCACAACTCTCACCTCCCAGCTGTGGCACTGAAAGCCTCCCTCAGAGCCTTGGTTTCCTAACCCACCGAACAGGATTAACTGCACTTGCCAGAAAGGGCTTGTGGTAGCATTTCATAGGACAGTGCAGGCCAATGCTCTTTGGAAGTCGCAGATGCAGGGCACAGATGGGAGATGGCATGGACAGGTCCTGCTCGTCAAATAGCCGGGGAGTCTCCCATGCTTCTTGGTCTCCCTAAGCTGGGCCACATGGCAGCTCTGATCCATGGCACGTGAGCAGAGGGGACCGTGTCACTCCCAGGCAGAGGCAGGTCTGAGCTGTGAGCCCTGTAGCCTGGCCAGAACCGGTGTCCCAGGGCAAGGAAGAAGCCTTTAGTATGTTCACGCTGTTGAGGCTCACCCAGCCTGACTGGCCAGAAATCAGTTAGGCCACAGACAACCCTGTGGCCTCAGGTAGAAGGCCACTGTCTCATTCTGAATGGTAGTTTTCAAAAACTCAAGGAACCGCGTGAGGAAGGAAGGGGGATTTATAAATTCCTGATTCCATTAGCTTTGCTCTGTAATTTTGGGTGAGTCACAGCATGCACAAATTAGAGGGCTGAAAACATCTCCCAGACAGTCTGGCAGAAGCCCCCCCTGAGAACGAGGAAACCGAGGCCCAGGAAGGAGCAGAGTCGCTCAGGGGCTGCTCCAGCGGCCACGGGCCTCGGGGACAACGCAGGCCCAGCCCGGGGAGAAGCCCCACGCCAGCCTTCTCTCTCTCCCTGCAGGGAAGAGGCAGCCACACAACTGGGCATGTCCTTCTGGCCTGCACACCTGGGAGTCTCCAACAGACGCTCACTCGGGTCCTGGGGTAAGGATACCTCCCAGGTCGCTTACTGGAGAAGGAGCCACACATGTGTCCCTGGGTCTGATGGTTGCAAGAGGAAATGGAAAGTGGGGGATCCCGCGCTGGCAGGAAGACCCTGGCAGTCTGCATCAGGCAGGTGGGTCCAACAACCGACCTCAGGGTGGGCTCAGGCTGGAAAAAACCACACCGAGTTCCTCCCCCAAGAAATACTGAAGACAGCAGCAATAAGTTCCATGTGCTCCCCATTCGCCCCTCACAGAAAAGGCCAAAAGGCATGACCATGGAATCATCAAACTATTCCCAACACAGTTCCTTATGGGAAAGAACATGGAATGAAGTCACAGCCAACAACAGAACTCCAAGGTCCCCTAGTAAAGCGCAGACCCCAGACAACAAAGATACGAGTGGGTCTGAGTCAAGACAGAAGACAGGATTACACGGGAAATGGCAGCAGTGAGCTGCGAGTGCTGCAGGAAGGAGCGCGGCCCACAGTGGAGGGAGACAGCACTCCCACGACGAAGCGCCACATCCTGCACCAGCAGACTGTTCACAATTGCCCACTTGCACCTTCAAGACCACTTCCAGGAACTTCTTCCTTTGACTTTTATGTTGTTAAAATAATTTTACTTTTTTAGAAAACATAGTGTAAATATTTAGCTTAATAAATGGCTATGAGGCCAGGCGCAGTGGCTCACGCCTGTAATCCCAGCACTTTAGGAGGCTGAGGCGGGCGGATCACGAGATCAGGAGATCGAGACCATCCTGGCTAACACGGTCAAACCGTGTCTCTACTAAAAATACAAAACAAAATTAGCCAGGCGTGGTGGCGGGCACCTGTAGTCCCAGCTACTCGGGAGGCTGAGGCAGGAGAATGGTGTGAACCCGGGAGGCGGAGCTTGCGGTGAGCTGAGATCGCGCCACTGCGCTCCAGCCTGGGCGAAAGAGCGAGACTCCATCTCTAAATAAATAAATAAATAAATAAACAAACAAAACGGCTATGAAACAACCTTTACAATCCTCAGGCAGGGAAGAAGAGGGGCCCTACCGGCCACTCCAGCCCTCGGGACCCAGCCTCCCTGTGTGCCCCTGACCACATCCTGGTTGTAGGGTAATCATAGCCCCACCCTGCTCCATGTAGCACATGTCCCTACACACACACTATGTGTGCCTTTTATGTCCCCTTTAACCGTTGGTTGTGCTTCCACCTCTTTTTTTTTTTTTTTTTTTTTTTGCCTCCCAAGTTATTAACTGAAGAGTCGTTGGTCACACAGCATTTCCCATGGTTTGGCTTTTGATGGCCAGGTGCCTGAAGCACAGCCAAACATCGTCCTCTGTCCTTTCCGTTCCTGCAAATCAGTGGTTGGATCTGGAAGTCGAATGAGATCCCTGTTAGAATAGGGGCAGACCAGCTCCCGGGCAGTGTGGCTCTTCCTCCCTTCCTGAGATGTCAGCAGGCCCCAGGGCCACCAGCGCCCAGCTTGTGAATTCAGATGTGCTGAGACGCTTCAGACACAGAGGTTCCATCCTCTATACATGGAACCTCCCAACCTGCCACCTGCTCACCCAGTAGTGCGGCCTGCATAAGAAAAGCAGGATATATATTTCAGAGCTTTCCCTTATTTACCAAAAATATATAATTGGTTCCCTAGCATTCTCCAAAGGTGACGGATTAGGTTTATTTCCTGAGTATTGTTAAAAAAACTCATGGACTTAAACATACTGCATACATTTCAACCTACTGTGATTTTTACTCTTACTGATGTTCAAATTGTCCATCTCTGGCCTCATCAGGTGAGCTCACGAGTCCTTTTAACACTATCCTCGTGGACTTTGACTTTAATAGTTTTTTTCCTCTTTTAATGCTCTCTCTCAGCAGAATCACATCCTCACAGTCCAGGGTGGCTCCTTTATTATCTGCTATGACAAAGCATTTAGGTTCAACTTGTACATTTCCCGCCCCCAACCCGGTATCAACCATTTGTCCAAGTAGTCTCAGCTTCTTTCAGCAGAAAACTGAATTTCAAGACATGACCCGGGACTGGGGGTGCTCCGTGTGATTGGTTTGGCCACTGATTCCAGGCCTCTCCAGGGAACGCTCTAGGGCTACTTATGGATTTGTAGTTCCGGATTCCAGAGGCTTTGTTTTTCTTTTTCTTTTCTTTTTTTTTTTTCTTTTTTTTTGATACAGAGTCTCGCTCTGTCACCCAGGCTGGAGTGCAGTGGCGTGATCTCGGCTCACTGCAAGCTCCACCTCCCGGGTTCACCCGGGTTCACGCCATTCTCCATTCTCCTGTCTCAGCCTTCGGAGTAGCTGGGACTACAGGTGCCTGCCACCACGCCCCGCTATTTTTTTTTTTTTTTTTTTTTTTTTTTTTTTGTATTTTTAGTAGAGACGGGGTTTCACTGTGTTAGCCAGGATGGTCTCGATCTCCTGACCTCATGATCCACCTGCCTCGGCCTCCCAAAGTGCTGGGATTACAGGCGTGAGCCACCACGCCCAGCCTCCCGAGGCTTTCTTAACCCGCAGCACCTTTCCTCCGTATCTCCTTTCTCCTCGCCACTGAAAATCCTGGTCAAGGTCCTCAGAGTTAAAAGATCACATCAGTAATCATTTGCTTCATCTCACGTTACACACAAAACATGCTAGGAATAACAATGCTGAGACTCTCACTACCCACAGGATTCCGGGAAACCACACGGGACTTTTTCTCTCCTGTTTCTTCCATTCTCTTCCCACTTTGTAGGGCTGTAAGCACGGAGATGGAGCGCACAGCCACGTACACTACACTTGCCCCTCAGCTGCCTCCGTGGATCGTGGTTCCACACAGAACTATGGACTGGACGTTCCCCCCAGTCCTTACGGCTCTGTTTCTGTGCTTATCTACTCGTCTGAAGCACACTGTCTAGTTCCATGGCTCCCAAGCTGCACGGAGGCACCCTAGGGGCCCTGCTGCACCCACAGGGGCACTGCAGCACAGCCCAGATGTCCATGGGGAAGGCAGTGACCCTTGGCACCTGTCAGCACCGCATGCACCACTGCCTTGAGGCAGCTCTCGTTTCCAAGGTGAGATCACACTACATTCCTCTGAAAGACGTCTCGTGAGGCCAGAAGTAGCTGTAATTAAAAGCAAATTCCTGCTATCACGCTTGTTGGGATAGTACCATTTAAAAAAGGAAGAAGAAAGAAAAGAAAAACAAAAAAAATGAAAACACAAGTGCTGGTGAGGATGTGGAGAAATTGGAGCCCTTGTACACTGTTGGCATAATAGAAATGTAAATGGGTGCAGCTGCTGTGGAAAATAGTATGGCACTTCAAAAAATTTTAAAAAGAGCTACCATATGGTCCAGTAATTCCACTTCTGGGTATATCCCAAAAGAACTGAAAGAAGGGACTCAGGGAGACATCTGTACACCCCTGTTCACAGCAGCATTATCCACAATCCAAATGGCGGAACCAACCCACGTGTCCAGCAGCAGAAGAACAGATCAACAAAATGTGGCATATTCCCGCAATGGAGTGTTATTCAGCACTAAAAAAGGAAGCAATTCTGACGCATGCCACAACGTGCAGGACCCCTACGGACACCATGCGAAGTGAAATAAGACAGTCACAAAAGAACAAATACTGCACGATTCCACTTACATGAGGTACCTAGAGAGGTGAATTCAGACAGAGGGAAAGTAGAGTGGTGGCTGGGAGGGGCTGGAGGAAGGGGGAAAGGAGAGGTACTGTTTCATGCGCACAATTTAAGTTTTGGGAAGATGAAAACGTTTTGGAGATAGCTGATGGTGATGACTGCAAAACAATGTTGATGTACTTAATTCCACCGAACTATACACTTAAAATGATTAAGATGGTATTTTATGTTATGTGTACTTTGCCACAATTAATAATGTATATGCTTATATTAAAATACCACATGTAGGCCAGGTGCGGTGGCTCATGCCTGTGATTCCAGCACTTTGGGAGGCCTAGGCAGGCAGATCACTTGAGGCCAGGAGTTTGAGACCAGCCTGGACAATGTGGTGAAACCCCATCTCTACTAAAAATACAAAAATTAGCCAGGCGAGGTGGCGTACCTCTTGTAGTCCCAGCTACTTAAGAGGCAGAGACATGAAAATCGCTTGAACAGGGAGGTGGAGGGTGCAGTGAGCCAAGATTGCACCCCTGCACTCCAGCCTGGGCTACAGAGCAAAACTCTGTCACGCTGTCTCAAGAAAAAATATCACACGTACCCCCATAATATGTATAACTATGATATGTGTATAAAAATTAAAAATAAAAATAAACTTTTAAACAGCAAGTCCCACACAAAAGTCAGCATCAAACAGGAAATGAGAATGGTGCCAATCTCATTCAGCAGACACACTTCCGTTTGTAATTGTGGTTTAGGATGAAATACATTTGTTTCAATTTATGAGTATTATTTCTCATGTGGCTTCCAAGTTGTTGGGACATAAATACCATGTGGTTTGGACCTAGCTACTTAAAGAGTAGAGTTGTTAGCTATGTGTTTTGGTCTAGAAACACCATGAAATTGCTGAGATCCAGGGCACCGTGGTCTGAGAAAGTTTGGCAATCTCTGCTCTGGAGGCTCCTAAGGGTGCTGGTTGCTTTTTAATAACTAAGTCCAAATCCCTGATGACCTCAGGACACCTGCTTATCAGGTGGGGGGTTGGGGACATTCACACAGTGGCAGAGAGGCCACAGGACTGGCTGGAGCTAAAGACACTAAGTCCCTGACTTACTTCTAATGAACGAAATACTCCAGAAGGGGGCCAGGCGCGGTGGCTCATGCCTGTAATCCCAGCACTTTGGGAGGCCGAGGTGGGCGGATCACGAGGTCAGGAGATCGAGACCATCCTGGCTAACACGGTCAAACCCCGTCTCTACCAAAAATACAAAACAATTAGCCGGGCGTGGTGGCGGGCGCCTGTAGTCCCAGCTACTCGGGAGGCTGAGGCAGGAGAATGGCGTGAACCCAGGAGGCGGAGCTTGCAGTAAGCAGAGATGGTGCCACTGCACTCCAGCCTGGGCGACAGAGTGAGACTCCATCTCAAAAGAAAAAAAAGAAAAAAAAAAGAAACTAAATCCAACACCCTCCATCCTCAGTGGAATCCCTGAAGCCCGGAGTGGGAGAGAGGCCTAACTCTAGTGACCAGGCACTTCACAGTGGGGCAGAGTAAGCAGCCACCAGGAGGCCCTTTCTCCTGCAACCTCTGAGCTTCAGGAACCGAGGGAACCTGGGCACAGCTCCCCAGAGCAGCGAGGCTCCACCTGACCTGCCAGCGATGTTCAGAGCCACACCCCAAGCGCACTCTGCAATGTGGGAATTCAGTCACGGCAAAACTGTCGTGACAGGGTTCTGTCCCTCAGAAGATGGCACACCTGAATGTGACCCTCTCAATACATCCTTAGATATTGCCCTTCCTCCCCAGCACCATCTGAGCAAAGCACCCCCGGCCCACAAGGAACTAGAAGAGGCAGGAAGTGCCTCAAATCCTAGCTCAGCATGCCACTGTATGACACCTCTTCTGGTGCCCCTCCTGGCAGCACACTGTCCCCGGTATAGAGGGGTGGATGATGGCTCAGATGACCTCGAGACCACCACCGGGCACATGGGAGGCCTGTGTCTCGTGAGAGAGCGGAGGCATACGATCCTGGAGGTAGAGCCAGGAAGACCTGAATAATGCTTTGCAGTTGCAAACTGCTTTCTCTTTCTGCACAGATTTATTAGTGAGAGGCATCATTTCTATTATGCCCATTTCGCAGACTGGAGGGAGGGAGACTAAGGCTCAGAGACACACAGGGCTCCCGGTAGAGGCCACCATCTGCATGAGGGTAGATCGAGGACCATTTCTGCCACTGGCCCCTGGTCTCCTGTCTGTCCCAGCAGGGCCCCTGCCTCCCATCCCCCACCAAGTCTCAGTTTCACCAGAGCCTCCAACTCACATCCTGTGCAGGCCCCACTGTGCTTCCCTTTAACTTTACTTGGGGTCTATCTGCCTGTCCCCAGGTGGCACAGCCCAGTCAGGGAGCCCTGGGGCTCTGCGGACACTGGCTGTTACCAGCCAACTCTCTGCCTCGCTTGCCTCTGCAGGGGACAGCCAGTGATAGAGAGGAACAAAGGAGACACTCAAGCAGGCACCCAGCACGTGCCTAACGCGCAGGCACTAGTGCCTTGGGAATAAAGCTGCTATCACTTCTGCGAAATACACTGGGGACTACGCTGGCCTCCGAAACACAGAACCGGTGTATCCAAACCCCCTTCTGACCTGAACAGCCATTCGCCAGGTCCACATGGCTCCGGGACAGACCTGGGCCTGGGTGCTCTGCTCCTGGCTGTGCACAAATGCTTTTCCTGCCCATGACTTTGTAGCCTAGTAGGAGGGGCTCATAGCTCCCTAAGCAAAGCTGGCTGGCGGGTCACAGAAGGACAGCAGGCTGGGGACTGAATGGACCATGGCTTCTATTTAGAACATCTCACTCAAGAACTAAATGTGCAAGAGAGCTGGCAGAAAGACAGCTATGGGGCACAACTGGAGGAGCAAACGCAAAACCATCACGTCTTCCACATTAAAATGTACAGGGCCGCTTCTAATGCCGCAATCAGTGCAAGCCAAACTCTGCGTCTATTTTCTACTAGATTGGAAAACCTCTCAGGAGAAAGAAAAATTTTCCAGAGGGCCAAAAAACTTCATTCTTCTGCAAGCAATCAAATAAACATGTAACAAAACAAAATCAAGACTTCAAAAATTGATCTGAACACACATGCACTGCATTTCACCACTCTGGTGTGGGAATAGGGCTTTCTGCCTAATCATACATTTTGATTAATAGAGATGAGCTCTGCATGAATAACCTATTGTTAAAGAACATGAACTAAAGTAGTCTAAAACTTAGCGAAACAGAAATTAGGCCTTTTCTTCTTCTCTTGGACAATTAGGGGACCCAAATTAGGAACAAACTCACTGGCCCTTGCCCCGACTCCCTTCCTGTAACCTCAGCCGAGACCAGGTGGCTGTCCTCATGCAGACCTGGCCTTGGATCTGTAGTGTCTGGAGAGAGGCTGAGGGGAGGGCTTGGCTGACTCCTCTGCCTCCTCATGCCAGTCCTGCAGATTGAACCCTGCCCTGCTAGGCTGGGCGCTGCAACCCTGAACTTCATGCTGCAACCTTGAACTTCAGCCCCAGATACCTCTACTTCCTCTGTTCGCCCCCTAGCGTCCTACGCCCTGACAGCCACTGTCCATTTCCAGAGGGGCTCCCCCAGCAGCTCACTGCCTGGAGGCCCAGACAGCAGCGGCAGTGAGCTCTGCTGGCCCTAGAATCCCCCAGGGGCAAATTAAAATCCACCCGCCTGGACCCTAAACTGCAGGTTCCCACTCCCCATTCCCATCCTTGCCATGCAGATGACACGTTTCCAAACCCATGCGAAGTGCTGTGCATGGTGAGCAGGTAAAGACTGGGCCACGAGGTGCATCGGATGGAAGGGGCCCCAAGGGTCCGGGCCACCGTGCAGGGCTCTTGCTCTCTTTAAGGCGACCTGTGATTTAGGGAGTATCAACCAGCATAAAAATCCAAAGAAACCTAGTGTTGGAGAAATACCAGTCTCTCCTCGTTCCAGTTCACTCTGTGGGGAAGTGGAGAATCCCTGCTTTTTTCTCTTACAACAACAAGGCTACACTGAGCATGCCAGGAACTGTGTGGGCATCATTCATGGATTATAGTCACCATGCCATGGGAGCACTGAGAACCCCTGCCCTCATTTCATAAGCACGCAGCGTGTCAGTACAACAGAGCAGAGGACACCCAGGTCTCCGGGCTCTATCCCAGTTCAGGGACCTGCCTCCCTTCCCACCTGCTCTCCTGACGGGGAAACACTGCCAAAGTAATCACAGCAAGGTGTAGGTGGCAGGGCAGAAATCCGCTCAGCCCATGTGGGCCATAGCCCATCTCTGTGACAGCCCTGGGTGACCGAGCTTACCAAGCACAGCATGGGGCAGTCCTTCAGAGGTGAACCATCTCCTATGGCTCTGAGGAGGCCCCAGGGGATAAAATACTGAGAATGACAAGTGACTGCCCTGAGCCACCACCAAATCCAGCAACCAAAGCACCTAGAGCCAAGGCAGAGCCCAGTGTGGCATTTGTAGCTGGCCCCAAGCCCCTGGTTTCCCGCCTTCCCACACAGGCGCCAATAGACCTCGCACACCTAGACCCTGTGGGGATGTCACTGGTCACTACAAGGTCTTCGTCCTGCCTCTAAAGTTTTCCCTTTTCATTATCTCAGAAAGACCAGCGTTGAGCTGCCAGACCTTGACAACAAGGTCTACAGACCACACAAGGACAGCTGGACTCCAGGCAGATGGGCACCTACTTAGCCCAATCAGAACCCACACTGAGCCCTGGCACTCACCTGCAGACAGGAGTCCACAGCTGCTTGTCCTGCCTCCCACCCCAAACCATTCCCCACACTCACAATCATACACAGCAAGCTCCACTGAGTCCCTCCTGGCTCCAAAGCCTGCAGTGGCACCGGCCCCAGGACATAGGACACAGTCCAAGCTCTTCACTCTGTTCCCAAGGCTGTGGAGGGCTGGCTGGCCTGTGAGTCCTGCTCTCCTCCACCCCCGTCTCTTCTCCCCAGCCCCCTCTTCACAGGTTTAGAGACCAGGCGGAAGGAGCTGCCCACTCCATGCCTTGTTTTCCCGTGTGCAAGCTGCTCTCTCTGCCTGGAACCACCCCCACCTCCAGCCCATGCCCCCCTTTCTCCTGGGCTGCCTCTACTCCTGCAGCCTCGGCACACAGTCACTTCTTCCTGGAACTTCCCCAGGCCCTCTGCTCCGCCCATGTGGGCAGCCCCTCCTTGCGCTCCAGCATCAAACCCCAGATAGTGGACTCTTTGAGGGGAGGAGCTGTGCCTGTCATTATTCTACCCTCAGTCCCTGCTGGGCCTGGCACAAGGCAGAGGGGATAGAGGTGCTCTGGAGAAAACTGCTCCACAGGCCAAGCACGCAACCTGTCGGGCTCCAGCAGGCCCTGACTTTGGACCAATAAAACCTCAGGTCGAGGACTTCGCTCCTAACTCAATGATAAGGTCTGAAAATCCGAGCCAGTGTGGGCTTGCCATTGCTCCTACAACTGTCTTTACTAGCAGACTGTGAGCCCCACACTCTCTTTCAAAGAGCAGGACATTTGTTTGAAGGGAGTCTTATTCCATTCAGGGTACTCTCACAAAATACCATAAACTGGGTAGATTATACATGACAGAAAGTGGCTTGTCTCAGTTCAGGAGGCTGGGAAGTCCAAGACCAGAGAGCCAGCAGATTCCGTGCCTGGTGAGTACCTGCGTGATGGCTCAGAGACGGCAGCTTCTCACTCTGTCCTCACATGGTGGAGGGCGGGAGGCTCTCTCTGCAGCCTCTTTTAAAACGGCATTGATCCCATTATGAGGGCTTCACCATCAGGACCTGATCACCCACTGCTATAGTTGGAATGTGCCCCCCCAAAGTTCATGTGTTGGAAACCTAATCCCCGATGCAACAATGTTGAGAAGTGAGACCTTTAAGAGGTGATTAGGTCCTGAAAGCTCTACCCTCATGAATGTATTAATGCCATTATCGCGAGAGTGGGTTAGTGACTGAGGAGCAGGTTCCTAATAAAACAATGAGTTTGGCCCCCTTCCCTCTCTCGCTCACTATATGATGCCTTCCACCATGTTAGGACGCAGCAAGAAGGCCCTCAGCAGATGCAACCCTCAACCTTGGACTTCCCAGCCCCTAGAACTCTGAGCCAAATAATGTTCTGTTCATTATAAATTACCCAATCTGTGGTATTCTGTTTCAGCAGCAGAATACAGATTAAGACACCTCCATAAGGCCCCATCTCCTTGGGAATGTGAATTCCAATGTCTCCCTCCCAAAGGTCCCATCACTTTGGGGATAAGAATTCCAAAATATGGATTTGGTGGAACACAAGCATCAGATCACAGCAAAGAACCCCTCATTTTCATTCCCTCAGGAGCCACGATGGGACCTGGCTTTAAACAATCCACTATCACAATAGGCAGCACTGACCACTAAGGCCACACAGGTCACTTCTGCTGGCGAGATGGGACCAACCCCCTATGGGGCCGTCCACCATCTCCACTGTCAGGGAACCCTGGCTGTCCTGCCACAGGCTTTGCAGGAGGCTAAGCCACTGTGGACGTTGCTTTTACTGCCCTGGTGGATAAAAAGCATGGCAGAAGCCCATGGGTGTCTCTGAGACTGCAGCACTAGGCCCACCTGCATTGTCACATCCTGCATGTGCTCAGAGGAGAGGGTCTCTAAACACCATGGGGCTGTGCTCCAGGGAGGGCTGCCTTCTGGGTTTTAAACCCTACCCCACTGCAAGGGATGGGTACCTCATGGCACTGCACTACAGTACAGAAGCCAGCACCCCATGCTGTGGACTGCAGGGGTGCTCCAGGTGCCCCCCTCAGCTCTCCAGGGTTCAGAAAAACCTGCTCCCTGGTGAATGTGAACCTCTCTTCTGCCAGCATGAGGGTCTGCTCCACCCTGTCACCCTCCTACCCCTCATCTCATTGGCTGGCTCCCTTCCCCTCCCAAGGACATCTTACCAAAGCAGAGACAGTGATCCTGACACCAGGTCGGTCTAGGCAACTGTGGCCTGTGTGGCCGTATCCCCTGGGATGCAGCAGCACAGAAAGGAGGGCTAGACTCAGCTGCAGCCATGCCCAGACCCAGTTGGGAGGGCTGTGTGCTGTAGATCCTGTCCTGGATGCCCCTCTGCCAGGCCAAGGCTCACACGCAGGGACCTTTCTCCACTTGAACGTCTGTGCATTGTAATATAACTTCCCAAAATATTACTCTGCAATTATTTCCAAAGACTTAAATGGGATCTCCAAATACGTACAATTAAGACTAAAATTGTAATTTTAAATTACTGATAATTTGAATAAACATAAAACTTTCCTATCTCTAAGCCAAATGCAGACAATAACATCCCAATTAACCCTTAGGTACTGCCAAACTCCGGAAAACAACCACTTTGGACTCTCAGAGGGAGAAACAACTCCTGAACTACATGGAGCCTGGCAACAGACTCTGGAAATAGTCATGATCTTCCACCTGTGCAAAGCCAGATGCTTCCCCGGCTGGACCCTATGGAGCAGCGCTGCCTTGCTAAAAGGGCAGTGGATGTTTGGGCCCACGGTGGCAACAGCACCAGGTCCCAGTGAACAGGGGAGAAGGACGCAAGGTCATCCCTCATCAGTCCCACTTTGCTAGGGGATGGGGGCACAGGAGGCAGTGGCGTGAGACTCCCTCTGAGTCTCAGCGGCTTTAGTTAGCTCTGGAACCTCCTTGTGGCCTCCCATTCCCAGGCCCCCGCTAAGATCCAGGAGCTACAGGGGGACCGACTGGAGTAGTCTCTCACCAGAGGCCACCAGCAGCGGGATGAGATGTTCATGTAAGCTGTCCTGCTGCCCTGAGGGCCAGGAGAGGTGACAAGCACGCCTGCATCCCACATCAACAGATGCTCCCAGCTCCCCACCCCAGCATGGTTTCTGGCCTACGGGGTACCAGAAGAGGAGCAGGGACTTTCCGTGAAGGGCTGTGCCTCATGGAGGGGGCTGGGGAGGTGGCTTCACCATGATTCCCAAACAGGGCTTCTAGCAGACCCCTAGGATAGCTGTACCGAGTCCCCAATGTCTGCGGACGCGGCACCCGAGTTTCCTGAGAATCCAGAGGCAGGAGGCCATGACCAGAGCTGCCTCACAGGGGAAGAGGAGGAGCTGCCCAAGGAGGAGCTGCCTGCTGCTCCCACCAGTGTGGGGCCAGCCTGGGGCCGCCTTGAAGGAACAGCCCAGGAGCACTCCCGAGGGGCATGGTGGAGGATAGGGAGAGCAGTCAAGGGCATCAGCCCAGCAAGGCCTCCCACAGGTCGCAGGGAAGAGCTGCAAGTTCCCAGCAGGGTCATCTCTAAGAAACCTACCCGAGGGTCACTGGAGACAGGAAGTCCAAGTGAAACATCTGCTGGACCCCAGAAGTGCCACCCAGCCCACTTGTGGAGAGAATGCCCTCTCCCCAGACACTCCATCCCTCGGAACACTCCCTGGCCAGCAAAAACAGAGGCAAAGAAAGAAAGAAGGAGACACACAGCCCTCCCTCCCCAGCCGGCTCCAAGACAGGTCAGGCTCCAGCCGGGTGGGAGAAGCTCCAAAGAGTCTATAATTACTCCTTTTCATGACTGACCAACAATGTTCCTGGGACTGAAAGTAACCAAAGAACCTTCTATTGCCTTAGAACGACAGAAAGCTCCAGGGCCTGCCTGGAATGTTCATTTGAGCAGAAAAAGAGCTCACCCCCAGGGCAGGCTCAGAGGGACCACGAGGGTGAAGATGCTCATGTCTATCCTGCTCCCATCGTGGAGAGCTCAGCGCCCACCCAGATGGACCTTATGGTCCTTATGACTTCTGAGGGGAAGTCAAGCCTGAAACTGGGCCTTCTTCTGGAAACAGCCCTAGCAGCAGCAGGGACCACCACAATGCAGCCCTGCCAGCCCATTCCCACCTATACTGGCGGGGGCTGGAGGGTTGGGGGGCTGCACTGTCAGGGAGGGACGGGAGACATAGCTTTTGCCCCCCTTCCACCTCCCCAACTCAGCTCCTTCCACCTTTTCCTACCTGTTTTTATAGAGATGCGAATGGGCCAGTTTTACCCTCTAGGTAAATAACTGCTCAACAGCTTTGAGGATGGGCAGAAGCAACCTTTCCTTTAGTAGGTGGGTGGCAGATCTACACTTCCTCATACAAGAACTGTGGTCTTTAGGAATACATATTCTCCCTCCCCTTGACGGAATTAGGAAAGTAATACTTTTTACACTTGAAATTAAGAGCAGAACAGATGGTGATGGTTTAGAAATCTGTTCATAAGAACTGATGCTGGCAGTGGGACCATCAACAAGACATGGATAATGGGGGCAAATTGGTTTATTGCAATGTGCACCCAAGTCCCACTACTGCAATCCGAAAAGCCAAATACTGAGAATGGGGGACAGGTATGGACAGAAGGTTTAGCCACAGTAAGAGGGCAAAACAACTAGCAACGCGGAAGTGACCACAGAAAAACCCCCTTCTTCTTGTGTGTCGCCTGGGCCAACGCTGTTGCCCCAGGGAAGCCTGGGCGCCAGCACCATACAAAGTGCCATGCTAAAGACAGCCCATCAGCTCCCAGTGATAGGCGGGAAGTGCTACACCCTTGGATCTGAGTGGTCACTCCTCTATTTGTTGAGGACATCTGGGAGCCTCCCATTGGCAGCATCACTCATGTGTGTCGCAAATTCACTGAAACCACAAGGCACGAGAAATCCTACGGATTAGCAGCCACCCATAGCCAGGTGGCTTGGCCTCGTTATTTATCCCTTTCGGTGTATTCATTCAGAATGTGCCAGGCTGTCTTGTGGGTGCAAGGACGCAAGGGAACACTGACACTCCAGTTCCCTGGAGCTTATGTCCTAATTAGGAAGACAGATGACAACTGAGTAAACCATCAAATAACAAACATGATTCCCGGTTAGGGTAACAGGAAAATCAAAGCAGGGGAAGGATTGGAGTTTCCGCTCCAACACGTAAAGAACTTGGAAGTCATCACTCCCATCCTCATGACTAGAAAATGGTGCACAAACTGAAAATCAATGACCTTCTTTGGACTCATCAGTGAATTGAGTTTGCAACCCGCCCCCCTGAAATCTAGAGACACAGCCAAATCCAAAGATCCACTGACCTGGAACAGAGCCTCCAGGGCCATACCACAGTAGTTTGGGTAATTCTGACAAATTGCTGCAGGCCAAGGGTGGACTCCCATGACTGAGAAACTCCTAGAAGCCACAGTCTTAGGGGGGCCCAAAACTTTCATGGGCTTTTCCTCCAGGATCCCTACTAGGTTCTCACCATGAAAACCCAAGAGACATCTCCTGGTGACTCTGGCAGAGGGAGGACAAACGTCATCCTGGTGAAATGCATCCAGAGCCTTCTCTAGGACAAAGGCCTGCTCCCCGCAGGGAAAGACTTTACCAGAACCTTGTTGCAAAGCCACGGAGGAAGGGCATTCCTGAGTCCAGCCCCCTCTGGCCTCCTGTTTGGGGTCTGGAAAAGCTATATAAGAAGAAACATCTGTGACAGTCACAGCCCAGGGAAATGGGACCACAGAAAGACTGAGATGTAATCAGAAGACTATAGACCGCTGGCCCTCCCCACACCCTACAACTACACCAACAGGACTCCAGTGTACAACAGCAGGTGAAAGCTGGGAGAGCTGCACGACACTCACTCTGTCTGAGGAAGGGAATTTAGGGAAGCCCAGAGCCAGAGGACAAAAACAAGGGCACTGCAAGGATCGGAATACGCCGGCACTCACAGCTACAACAAACATTACACGTAGCCCATAGCCAGATTAACAGAAAACCTCACGTTAAAGGCCTGTTTACCTCAGTTCCCATCACCCTATACATCATATCTAGCTTCAAATAACTTACAAGGCATGCTAGAAGACAAAAAGGACAACATGTTTCTTTTTTTTTTTTTTTTTAGATGGAGTCTCGCTCTGTTGCCCAGGCTGGAGTACAGTGGAGTGATCTCGGCTCACTGCAAGTTCCGCCTCCCAGGTTCACGTCATTCTCCTGCCCCAGCCTCTCGAGTAGCTGGGACTACAGGTGCCCGCCATCACGCCTGGCTAATTTTGTATTTTTAATAGAGACAGGGGTTTCTCCATGTTGGTCAGATTGGTCTCAAACACCCGACCTCAGGTGATCCGCCCGCCTCGGCCTCCCAAAGTGCTGGGATTACAGGTGTGAGCCACCGCGCCCAGCCCAAAAGGAACCTATTAACAGAAATGAAGAATGCCTTTGACGGGCTCATCAACATGGCTGAAAATAATCAGCCTGAAGACAGGTCAACAAGAACTTCTCAAAATGAAACACACATGCACACAAAGAATGGTGGGAAGACCGGGCACAGCGGCTCATGCCTGTAATCCCAGCACTTTGGGAGGCTGAGGCGGGGGGATCACCTGAGCTCACAAGTTGAAGATCAGCCTGGGCAACATGGCAAAGTCCCACCTCTACAAAAAAATAAAAATAAAAAAATAATAATAATGGGTTGGGGAGGGGAACAGAACAAAGTATCCAAGAACTGTGGAACAACATCAAAGATGTTACACGTGTAACTGGAATACCAAAAGGGAACAAAAGAGACAATGGAGAAGAAAATCATTTGAGGTAATGATGGCCAAAATATTTTCAAAATTAATGACAGATCCAAGCCACAGACCATGGAGGCTCAAAGAACACCAAATAGAGTAAATACTAAGAACAAAACAAAACAAAAAAAAAACAAAAAGCAAAATACCCTACACCTAGGCACACCATATTTGAACTACAGAAAACCAAAGACAGAGAAAATGACTAAGGCAAATGACCAGCGGGGTAGGGAAACACCTTATCTATAGAGGGGTAAAGATAAGAATTACAGCCCACTTCTCATCAGAAACCAGTAAAGGAAGAAGAGGGTGGATAGGCCAGGTGCGGTGGCTCACGTCTGTAATCCCAGCACTTGGGGAGGCTGAGGCAGGCAGATGATTTGAGGTCAGGAGTTCGAGACCAGCCACGGACAACATGGTAAAACCCCATCTCTGCTAAAAATACAAAAATTAGCCAGGCATGGTGGCTGGCGCCTGTAATCTCAGCTACTCAGGAGGCTGAGGCAGGAGAATGGCATGAACCCGGGAGGCAGAGCTTGCAGTGAGCCGAGATAGCACCACTGCACTCCAGCCTGGGCAACAGAGCGAGACTCTGTCTCAAAAAAAAAAAAAAAAAGAGAGAGAGAGAGAGTGGAGTGAAATCCTTAAAATTTTGAAAGAAGAAACCACCAACCTAGCATTCTATGTTCAGAAAAAGTATCCTTCAAAAATGAAGGAGAAATAGTTTATCAGGCAAACAAAACCAAGGGAATTCATTACTGGCAATATATACCCTGAAATAAACGTTAAAAGATTTTTCTTCATACAGAAGAAAAATTATATAGGTTGAAAACTTGGATCTACATAAAAAAGAGGTATTCAAAAAGGAATAAATGACAGTGAAATAAAATTTTCTATTTTCCTTACTCTTATTTGATATAAAAATAAATTTATTTACTGCAATAATGGTAACGATATACTGTATGATTATGACATATGGATAATTGAAATAATTAACAGCAATGTCACAAGGGACAGGAAGGAGGATTTGGGAGTATTCTGTTATAAGGTAGTTGTACTAAATGGGAGGAGGTATAGTGTTATTTGAAGGTGGGCTTAGATTATTTTGAAATACATATTGTAAACATATATTGTAAAACTTTTAAAAAGAAGTATGAGTGATACACTATGAAAGGAGATAAAATGGCATCACATAAAATGGTCCATTGAAACCAGAGGAGAGAGAAAAAGAAGTCTCTGGCAAGTACAGAAGACAGTTACTAAAAAGTTTGATATTAATCTAAGTACCTCAATAATCATTTAAATGTGAATGATCAAAACACACCCATTGAAACAGAGATTTTCAGAGTGGATAAAAAACACAAGTCTCAACTCTATGCTATCTACAAGATATCTACTTTAAATGCAGAGACACTGGTAGGTTAAAAGTAAAGGGATAGAGAAAGGTATACCATGCTAACTCTAATCAAAGTAAGTTGGAGTACCATTATTAATTTCAGACAAAGCAGACTACCAACCAAGGAAAATTATCAGGGATAAAGAGGCGACATTACATAATGAGAGAAAAATCAATTTTTAAGAGGATGTTACAATCCTTAAAGGCTATGCACCTAACAACAGATAATTGAAATATATGGGGCAAAATCTGAGAGAATTTTAATTCTAAATGAGAAATTGGTAAATCCACTATTATAAGTGGAGACTTCAAGACCTGTCAGTAATTGATAGAACAAGCAGACAGAAAATCAACAAGGACAGTTCACTTGAATAGCATCATAAATCAACTCAACAGAATTGACATTTATAGAATATTCCATCCAACTACAGCAAAATACACATTCTTCTCAAGCTTGCACAGAACATTCACAAAGATAGACCACATTCTGAGCTATGAAGTACACCTTAACAAGTATTTTAAAAATAGAAATCATAAAAATATGTTCTCAGACTACAATAGAATTAAACTAAAAATCAGTAAAAGGAAGATAGATTTCACTGGTGAATTCTACCAAACATTTAAGGGAGAAATTACACCAATTCTTTACAACCTATTCCAGAAATTGGAAAAGAAGAAACACTTCCTCACTTTATGAAGCTGGAATTATCCTAACATCAAAACCAAAGAAATTATAAGAAAATGACATACCACTGCCTCTCAGGAGCAAACAACTTAAAAATCCACAACAAATTATTAGCAAATCAAATCTAACAACGTTTAAAAAGAATTATACACTACAACCAAGTGGTATTTTTTCCAAGGCTGCAATGTTGGTTCAACATTAGAAAAATCAATGGATATAATCTACCACATCAACAGACTAAAGAGACAAAATCATATGATCAGATCAATTGATGCAGAAAAAGCATCTGACAAAAATCCAACAACCATTTCTGATTAAAAACCACTCACTAAATGAGGCAGAGACCATCTTCAGCTTGATAAAGAACATCTACCAAAAAACCTATTCAGGAAATGCCAATAAACAGTCAGACCCCACTTCCCACCCATAGACTGGCCATCATGAAACAAAGAAACAAAAAACAGAAACTAACAAGTGTTGGCTAGGATGGGGGAAAATGAGAATCCTCATTCAGTGCTGGCGGGAATGTAAAACGGTGCAGCTGTGGTGGAAAACAGTTTGGCAGTTCCTGGAAAAGTGAAACAGAGTCACCACAGAACGCAACAATTCCACTCCTAAATACATACACAAAAGAGTTGAAAACAGATACCGAATCTAACACTATCCACACACACTCACAGCTGCATTATTCCTGACAGTCAAAAGGTGGAAACTACCCAAACGCCCATCAAATGAAGGCACAAACAAATGTGGTGTATCTGCAGAATGCAATATTGTTCAGCCTTAGAAAGGACTGAAGTTCTGACACATGTTGCAACATGGGTCATCCACATAAACTTCATGCTAAGCCAAAGAAGCCAGAAAGAAAAGGTCACAAATTATATGATGTCTAATTTATGGGAAACATTCAGAATATGTAAGTCCATGGAGACAGAAAGCAGATTGGGGTTGCCAGAGACTGGGGTAGGGAGGCTGGGGAGTGACTGCTTAATGGAGAGTTCCTCTCTGGGATGAAGAAAACTTGTTGGAACTAGACACAGATAGTGGGTGCCCAACACTGCAAATGCACTACATGTTACTGAATTACACACTTTCAACTGGTTAATGGCTAATGTTATATGAATTTTACCCACTTTTTTAAAAAAAAAACCTACAGATGACATCATATCTCATCATGAGAAACTGGGCATTTTCCTCCTGAGGTTGAGAACAAGGAGGGGAGAGGGAAAGCAACAGCACCAGGGCTGCCAGCACTCGGGAAGGCAAGGACTGAAGTCCTGTGTTGAGTCTGTCCTCGTGGGACACTGTCACAGCAGGGCAACGGGGCAGGGGGCCCACTAGAACAGGCTTAAGGGTGGCCAGGTTGACCGCTGGCTTTTAGAGGTGGGGTCACAGCCTTTCTGCATCTTCTCTTGAAATCACTCAAAACCAACAAAGAATGAGAAATGAAAACTGCACCTGCAAATCTTGCCAGACGAAGTGCTGAGGCAGCACAGGGATGAGGAGCCCCGGGGGGGCGGTGGAGGCAGAGAAGCCTTTTCATGCCCAGCCTCACGGCCCACCTCTAAAACCCCAAAAGGCCCAAGCACTGAGACACCAGCACAAAAAGGGAGTGAGGCAGAAAGCAGGGGGCTACTCAATAGTCTAAACAGGGAGCAGTCAGACTCCCAGCCACTCAGAGGAGGACTATCCTGACCCCTGAGCAGGGATGCCCTGGCAAAAGGGCACCACGTGTTCCATATGAGAAGAGGGCAGGGAACATGGTGACACCAGTGAGCACCTGTCTGCTGAGCGCTGAGGCCCCTCCCCCCACCCCACACCTCCCCCAGACTCAGCACCCACCCCCAGGGCAGGAGGCTAGAGAAACGGAACTCTCTCAGGTCTGGGGATGCTTGTTCCTGCATCATGAGGCAGCCTATCCTGACTGATACACACTGCATAAGGGTTCACCTAAATGATGACATAACTCTATATATCAGAGTTAGGGTTAGGGTTAGATGGAGCAGCTCTCAGGAGGGAAATCTACGAGTTCAACCATCTTGACCACAACAGAAGACTAAGAAATAGCAGCGTGCCCATATTCTTTACAAATGTGGAGATAAATCCAGAGGAAGAAGCAATAAGAGCTGGAAGTGGTAATCTATGGGGAGTGGGCAGGGCAGGGGCGGTGGGGAGATGGTCTGGGAGGCCAGGGGTCTGCTATTTTTTTCATAAAACTTATAAAACTCTTTGACATCTTAAAATATGCATATGTATCAGGCTGACAATATAAAAACTGTGTCTGAAAAGTAGACCAAGCCTTTGAGGTGCAAAGGGGACAAGGATGGGTGGTCTGAGTAAGCATTCCAAGGCACAGGCCAGTCCTAGCTGCCTGGTTTCCCCAGCGTCCTGCACAGGGCGTGGTGTGGTGACTGAGGTGTGGCTGAGGCCCTGAATTCCAGTTCTACCACATGGGCAACAACCTCAGTTCTCTCACCTCTAGTGACCATTAGGGGAGTGACCGTGGCTTCCTCAGCACGGTGCATGGTGCATGTGGGATAAATCCTGCTGTGCCTGCTTCTAAGGTCTCACCGAATACCTGAAGGACCTGCAGTGTTCTGGGTTGAGAGGCAGGAACAGGACAGGCTGGGCAGGTTAGGATGTCTCCTGAGAGAGGGTGTGGAGCAGGATGGTGCTGAGCCAGCTCCTGGGAACAGGGTCTGGGTTACAGATCGAAACCATGGGGAGGCCAGTGGGAGCAGGGTCATCGAGGGAGAGCAGTGTGTCAGAACAGGCAGGTGGAATGTGGCTCAGACGGCCCACTAAAGGACAGAGCATGGCTGTGACACAGCTGTGGCCCCATTGTGCACTGCACTGAGATATTCCACTGGGCACAGAGCTCCTGCGGGACAATGGCTGGCTGTAGAAGATGCTCCCACCTCTGCAGGAGGGGCTGAGCTGCTCCCACAACCAGACCCTGCAGGCAGCTCGAGAACATGTCCTGCACAATCGCCTTGTGGGGACTAACTGTGGTGGCCACCAGTGTCTTGGGCTGCCCTGCTGCTGCCCCTGGGGAGGGCCCTGCCCACACTGGTGGTGCCTGGGACTGGCTACCTGGGTCAAGGCAAGCAGCCTGGGGTGCTGAGCAATTTAGGAATTGTTATTGCCAGGTCGAGCGGAAAGAACCTGCCCACTTTCTGCCAGCCCCTCCTCCTGGGTCCCTGGGAAGAACTGACCACCGGGATGCCCCCAGCCTATGTGCACCCCATGGGGAAGGGAGGCTGCCCAAGAAAGCAGCACAGCTCCACCAGGAGGACAGAGGCACTCAGTGCAGCTGGGAAAAGGGACCTGGGGCACTCCAGGGACAGGATCTCCGAGGTGAGACTGACAGGGTTACAGGGAATGCACAGTCTTCTCCTAGCAACTGGTCCCCTGTAAATGTCTGTTCTTCCCCTTTCGCCTCAAAATAAATGTAAGCGTATGTGAAGTTTGTGAAAGCAGAAAGCAAAAATATTTACCGTAGCTGTGTTTAAGCTTTTATTAGAGAAAGGTGAGGGCCATCGTGGCTATAACTCTTCTTACGGCCCCCAATTAGCACATCAGCCCAGACTCATTCATGAATGCCACATTAAGTGCAGTGGGGATCATAACGGGTTCTACTCACTCAGAATCTCCAGACACAAGAAGAGGCTCACCCCGTCTGTCCACAGGACAGTCCTGGCCTATTGGTGGTTTGTCCACAGGAGATTCAGCAACGCGTAAATATTCAGGAGACTGTAAAGAAAAAGAACACAAACAAATGAAGCGTCAACCAGCTGAGAAAGGAAACCACTTATTCACCCACAGAGGGGCAGGTGTGGATGGCAACGATGGGCCACACGCTCATATGGGAGGCTAACAGCTCCCTCCCCAGAACCTCTAGAGCAGCTGGAACTCCAAGGCTCTCCAGAGCAGCTGAATATCTGAAAAACCAAGCGTCACAAGTTGACCGTGATTCTCCCCCAAGTCTTCAAGTGAACCTTCGTGTTTATTTCCAAAGGTCAGTGAGTATGGACAACTAATGATTTCGGGCCACAGGTAGCAGAGCTGCATGCTAAGCTTGTGGGGAGTACATTTTTCAATGTAGGAAGATTTTGTAGGAAGATAAGGGAAATCTCGTGCCATTAATATTTCAGGTTTCATTTGCTCTGACAGGAAATGAAACACATTCATCAGGGTTCTGTTCCCAACTTGTTTTTTCAAAGTACAAAATGCTGCCTGAGATACAGAGCTTGTGGCATAGAGCATGCCACACCTAGTAGGCTGGGGGATGTTCTACCAAATACACTAAACAAACCCCCTGCAGAGAAAGGGTGATGGTGCCCACGTGCTGGTGCCCAGAGAAGCCATCAGATTAGCCAGTGACACTGTTTCTCCTTGAGATGCAGGTGGCCATCAGCGCTCAGCCAGCACCCCTTACTGATCAGCACCATCTGCCTGGACTTCGCACAGAACTGAGCTGCAGAGATAGACGTCCTAGCTCTGCCACTGACATCCTGAGAAGACTATGTAACCTGCCTGTGCCTCAGTTTCCTTATTATGAAGGATGATGGCAGCACTGAGATATGGGGGTTCAGGCTCCAGCTCCAGCACCTGCTCCCAACCCCTCTCACCCTCATCTTCCTACCACACCAAACGAGGGAGCTGACAGCCATTCCTTAAGAGGTTCCTCCAGCTTTAACATCCACGGCTGCTGCCTTCCAACTTGATACTTCCTCTAATCTGTGTTTCCTGCCTGGGAGCAGGCCACCCAGCTGGAGGCCTCCTAAACCCAAACATTTATTCCCACTCCACGGGCCCACTCTGATACTGAAGCACAAGAAGGAGTAGTGTCCATTTTGGGGAAACCCAGGCCAAACCCCACCTGCCTGCTCCTACCGTGGTGTGGGCATGAAAGGCACACCAAGAGCCAGGGACTCTAATGGGGCCCAGGGAGGCACAGTTCTGCATGACAAGGCCATTGCCTCCAAGTCATGGCATGCAAAGCACCTGAGGTCCTGGGCCTAGACCCTGCCCATGGCTTCCTTGCCCCATCACACCCCAAATCCCTGTGCCATCTGTGCCTCACCTCTTCTGTGCCCATGTTTAAATCTTTTTGTTGCTGTTGTTCCTCTAGAATCTTCCTGGCAAACTCCTATTCATTCTTCAAAACCCAGCTGGTGCAGGCATCTCTGAATTCTAGGGGAAATCACACTCTTCTCAGCCCTGTCTTCTTTCTGCAGTCCTCACAATCATTCGTGACCACTTCTCCCATTCCCTCTCAGGCTCCTACCTGGCCCCGAGAGGGCACACAGTTTATAGACTGCACATGATGCTGCTGGCCAGTAAACCCTCAAAAGCAGCCTTAAAGAAGGAAGATAAATGAAAGCAAATGCAAAGGCCGAGGAGGGGCCTCTGCTGGGTGAGGAGGGAGCATCGGGCTGGGAGTCAAAGACATCGGGCTACAGAGGAAGCAAGCTGCCACAGAACATGCCACTGTCGCCACACGGAGCACCCACAGCCATGCTCAAGCCCATTCTTATCCCACGGACAAACGGGGCCTCCAGATGTTTCGGACTGAGGAGGGGGTTATCACATCAATATGGATCAGGATGACCTGGGGGAGCGGGGCTCATCTGGGAGCCCCCAGAAAGGAAATGCAGAGGTTGCCCTCAGGGCCAAAAGTACACAGCCCTTCTGGGACAAGACAGCTGCAGGATGCTCACTGAGTCCCCGCTGCAGGGTGTGCTGATGAAGCTGTTCAGGAGACACAGGGAAAGAGCTCCTCCCTGACCTCTGCCTCCTCTGGGAAGAACCAGCCCTGCATACTGAGCCAGAGAAAGCCTGGCCTGCCCAGCTGTGCCCCTGCCGGCCCCCACAGCACGCCACACTGCAAAACCACCGTTACCTGCCACGGGGCCGGGGGCTGCCACCTGCCACATGTTCCTGAAGCTAAGCATACAGCCGGTTTGACCCGGAGCAGAGGGGCAGTGATGCGGCACCCAGGAACCAGGAAGTCAGCGGTTGTTCATTCTCCCTCCGTTCAACAACCGCGGGCGGGGCTCAGGCTCCTGGCTTTCTGTGTGTCGCAGTGCCCAGCAGATGACTCTCCCTGCAGGGCGTGTGTGGCATCCTGCCTCCTTCCCTTGACTCGGCCTCTCCCCCTGCCCACCCAGGTAAAAGGTTCGCAAGGAAGTGCAGAACACTCCAGCAACTCTCAGATAATCCCCACAACCGGCCGGGCGCAGTGGCTCACGCCTGTAATCCCAACATTTTGGGAGGCCTAGGTGGGCGGATCACGAGGTCAGGAGATTGAGACCATCTTTGCTAACATGGTGAAACCTCGTTTCTACTAAAAAACGCAAAAAATTAGCCGGGCGTGGTGGCGGGCGCCTGTAGTCCCAGCTACTCCGGAGGCTGAGGCAGGAGAATGGCGTGAACCCTGGAGGCGGAGCTTGCAGTGAGCCAAGATAGCGCCACTGCACTCCAGCCTGGGAGACAGAGCGCGACTCCGTCTACAAAAAAAAAAAAATAATAATCCCCACAATTAACTGGCAAGCGGCCCTGCCCAGCCTCGCAGTGAGTGGGCGGGACAGGAACGTTCGCTCGGTGATGTGGGCAACAACCCCAAGCAGGACGCCAAGCGACCGGTCGCCCGCTCTCCAGCTGCCATGGCGACACCAGGCCCAGCAGTAGCCTCTGCAGCCCCCTCCAACCGGGATCCTGCATAGGCCCCGCTGCAACCACCCCCAGCCCCACCCCCACCCCCAACCCCACCACACCCACACGCATCAGGCACTCCTTTAAAATACATCCCGCCCGAGTGTTCCCACAATGACGCGGACGCCAGGGGGCGACCAAAGGGAAGGCTGGTGGAGAAGAGCACCGGGATTCCTCCTTGCAGTGGGGGAAGCCATCTGCTTCACCTCTCCCACCTGGGAGTCCTGCTTCCTCCAAGGACAGGGACTCGGGGCCTGGAGGGGGCGTTGCGCATCAAGGCTGCTCCTGTGTCCCTCTCCCTTCAGGAGTGAGCCACGCCTCCTTTCATGAGTTCTCCCTGTGTGCCAGTTGGCCAGGTGGCCATTCCAAAATAAAGAAGGGGCTTGGCTGCCGAGGGCAGTGGCCTGGGTTGAGACCCGGCTCTGTCACTGACCGGCTCCGTGGCGCCAGGAACGCTTCTGCACCTCCCTGTGCCTTTTCCCTCACCCACGGAGACCGCAGGCAACGCTGCAAAACTCAAAGCAGACCACCTCAGCCTGCAGGCCTTCCCTTCCCGCCGAGCCTATGCCTCCCAAGTGCTCAGCAAACACTCGCGGTGATTCTTATCCCTATCTGGGCAGAATCCTCGGGGACCGACTGGGGGCAGCTTCCTTGCCCCACAGTGGCATCTAAGCAGCAGGCAGCTGAGCTGGGGTAGGCAGGTGAAAGGAGCAAGGGAGGCTGCTGAGACCAGAAAGGAGCAGAATGGGGCGGGGGCAGGATGCAGTGAGTGCTGCTCCCCAGAGACCAGCTGGCCCCCAGTACCCCTGCCCCACGCCACAGTAAGCCGGGGTGCAAAAGGATGTGACAAAAAGTTCTCCTCAAAACAAGAGTCAGCTAATAAGACAAAAAGCAACTAACGATCTACTAAAACAAAGACATGGTAGCTGAGTCATTCCCCATTTGTCAAAACTCATAAAATATACAACATGAAGAGTGAACCCCAATATGTTTTAACTATGGGCTCCAGTTAATAATAATACTGCCCCATCAATGGTAACGAATGTACCACACCAATGTAAGATGTTAATAATGAGGAAACAGGGGAAATGGGGTGAGGGTGTACAGGAGAACTCCCTAAACTTTCTGCTCAATTTCTCCATAAACCTAAAACTGCTGAAAAAAAAATTAAATCTATTAATTTTTTAATATGGTGGTTGATTCATTCAAAAGGCTAAATGTGAGAATGGGATACCATTAAACGGCCAATGGGTAAAGGGAAGATGGGGCTACAGGATTCTCCCAGAATGCAGTGCAAGCCGGACCCTAGGAAGGAGCCCTGGAGGGGAGCAGGTTTCTCCTGAAGCTGGTGAGGGCCATCAGGCTCTGGGTACCATCTCAACCCCCCTCATCACAGTCCCTCTCTCTCCAAATTGAGGAGTGTTCATGAGAATTCTCAGGATTTTAGTTATTTACCGTCTTTCCCCAGTACTGCTTTCCTGGGGGTTTGGAGGGAGGGCAGGGAGGATGGAAACAGGAAAGGAAACGTTAGTAACCATGCCACCCTTTGCCCGGGTCCCTGGCTTCTCCCAGGCTGCCACATTTCCCACCTCATGGCCTCAGAGAGTCCCCCTCTCTCTATTCAGCTGTTGGCAGAGAATTGCTTTTTTGCTAGCTTTCCCTTTTTTTGAGAAGTGTATTTCTTTAGAATGAAGCCTTTCAGAAAGGCAATTCAGCATTCTCTATCGAAAATTTAAATAGGCATATCCTTGTGCCCAAAAATTCCATTTCCAGGAGGACTCACATGTATAAAAAATGATGTCTGAAGATTTTCATTGCCGCAATCTTTTAAAAAACTGGAAACCTAAGTACCCATAAATAAGAGAATGGTTAAATAAATGACGACAGAGTTCACGTGCTGGAAGAGTCAACGGCGTTTTTAAAGAGGCAGGGCAACGCGCACTACAGTGAGGGATCTTACAGGCCTGTTTTTGAGGGAAAATGGTAAGTGAGCTACAGCGAGCACACGTGTGTAGATCCCAGTTACAGGTCCGTCAAGATGGCTAGAGAATACACACACTGCCCAGCCCATACACACGTGCAAAGGCACACAGAAAGGGGAAACCCCTCAAAGGCTTGTCAGCCATGTCCTCTGGGGAGGGGAGCGGGGAGAGAGGTGGGAGAGGGAGACAGGTGGGAGCAGAGGGGGCCTGGACATTTTACTTTATTAAAGATATGTGTACTGGTTGAGTGTTTCACCAAAATGCATCTAATATTCAGCAGCAATATAATCAAACCCACCTGTGTGCCTTTGAAGGTCTCCTCTTCTAGCTGGGGAGATGTCGGCACTGAGACAAAACGACCTGTGGGGAAGGGTAGACTGCAAGGGGAGGAAGCAGGACTTCCCAAACGGGCCGCCACTCTGGGCATCAGGAGAGGTGGCGAACAGGCTGGTCTCCCCCAGGAAGGCACCCACGGGAGCAGAGGAGCCAGCCTCCCACAAGACCAGGACGTAAGCACGCCCCAGGGCACAGCCAGAGACACCCAAAACACAGGAGGCGGTGCTGACCCAAAGGAGGGCAGGACCAGGGAATGTGCCGGCCAGGACAGCCGGGGGTGCGCAGGCGGGGGCAGTATTAATTTGGGGAAAACAATCATTCAGTTTCATTCGATGAGTAGTTTACGTGCAAATGTGTGTGGCGGGGGTGTGTGCTGTGTGCGTCAGATACAGAGTATGTGATGTGGTGGGTAGTGAGTGTGTGGTGTGTATGTGGTAACTGTGTAGTATGGTGTGGGTGTGTGGTGCATGTGTGTATGGTGGGGGGTGTCCTGGAGGGTGTGGTGTGTGGTGTGTGCTATGTATGGTGTGTGGTATGTGGTGTGTGTGATGTGAATGTGTTGTGTGTGTGGTGTGTGTGTGGAGTGTAATGTAGTGTGGAAGAGTTGAGTGTGTGTGTTTTGTGTGCATGGTGTAGTGTGTGTGGTATATGGTATGTATGGGGTGTGTGGTGTGTATGGGATGTGCATGGTGTGTGTATATATGCTATTGTGTGGTATGTGTATAGTGTGTGTGGTGTGTATAAGATGTCTGTGTGGAATGCGGTGTGTGGTATGGGTGCTGTGATATGTATATAGAGTATGGTGTGATGTGTGTATGGTGTCTATGGGGTGTGTGTGGTGTGTGGTATGTATGGAGGGGTGTGGTGTGTATGGGGTGTGTATGTATGGTATTATGTGGTGTGTGTGGTATGTATACGGTGTGTATGGTATGTGTGTGGTGTGTATAGGGTGAATGTGTGGTGTGTGAGGTGGGCATGGTGTGTGTGAGGTGTGTGTGGTATGTGTGGCATGTGTTTGGTGTGTATGGGATATGTGTATGGTGTGTGGTGTGTGGTGTATATGGGGTATGTGTGTGGTGTGTGGTGTGTATGGGCTATGTGTGTGGTGTGTGGTATATATGGGGTATGTGTGGTATGTGGTGTGTATGCGCTATGTGTGTGGTGTGTGGTATATATGGGGTATGTATGTGGTGTGTGGTGTGTATGGGTATGTGTGTGGTATATATGGGTTAAGTGTGTGGTGTGTGTGAGGTGGGTATGGTATGTTTGTGGTGTGTGGTGTATATGGGGTATGTGTGTGGTGTGTGTGAGGTAGGCATGGTATGTGTGTGGTGTGTGTGGTGTGTGTGAGGTGGGTATGATATGTGTGTGGCGTGTATGGGGTATGCGTGTGGTGTGTGTGAGGTGGGCATGGTATGTGTGTGGTGTGTATTATGCACACACATGCACACCTGTGCACTGCAGATAACAGGCAGGCCGGCAGCCCGGGACACACAGCGATGACGACCTCAGCCAAGGCCAGGCTCAGTTGGCGAGTGGCCAGGCCCCCATCAGCTCAGAACCCTGAATGCACGAAGAGTCCAGGAGGAAAGAACGAGCTGTGTCCCCATCTCCACCCAAAGCAGCTCTCACAAAGGGGCTGATCAGGGTCGTGCAGCCCAGGAATCCTGGGGAAGATATTTTCTGTAACTTTTCCTGGGCAGGGGAGGTCCGGGGTGCGCGGGCAGGACCAGTCCCTTATGGGCTGTGCAGCTGAGCGGGGCAGCAGGACCCGGGACATGCACTGCACGGGAGGAGGAGCAGCTTGTAGCACAGCCACCTGAGCTGCAATCTGGGTGGAATATCCAGCCGCACTCTCAGGCCCCATGGGCGTCACAGAAGAACAAAGGCACTCCAAAAGGAAGCCATGTGCAAGATGGCCCCAAACCCCCAGCCATCCTTCAAACTTCTGCAATTCTGAATCCTTCATAGATGAAGGTCAAATAGACAGTATTTTTGTATATACAGATCTTCTTCCAAAACCTGCTTTCCCTTCAAAAGTCACCTAATACCATTATGCTCTCATACACCAGGCTCGGAGGTGAGCTGCTTCCCCAAGGTCTACACCGCAAAGCAGCCCCTGTGAGGGCCCCTGGGATGAGCAGGGGGAGCCTGACCACTCCCCTCTCCTCTCTCAACTGCAGCACCAATGGAAAGTGCAAGGAGAACATTTCTGACCCTTCCATTAGGAAACATGTTCGCAGAATTAAAAAGCAAATAAGTCATTTTCAGACTAGACACAATAGAAGACTAAAATATTTTTTAAAAACCCAATGTTTCACCTCAAGGACTTCCACTTGGAGGGAGAAATAGCCTGCAGTTGGCATAATTATCCAGGGCCCCAGTGTTCCTAGAGGGGTGTGCGTGAGTGTACCCCACTGGCCCGCAGCCTGTCACTGCAGCCCAGGACAGGAGGCTCTAGGGAGGGGCCGAAGCTACTCACTGACCCAGATGTCAGACCAGAGCAAGGACTATTCATGAAATAGAATCTACCAAACTGGCTTCAAAGTCACCGAATACAATGAAAGAAACTCGGTGACTGTAAGCTACAACTAGTAGAATTTTTTTTAATTTAAATAAGTGCTAACGTTCTAAAGACGGTGAGACCCACAAGTGGGGGCTCCCCTTGTCTCATGTGCTGCTATGGCACCAACCCCTAAGCCAGCACCAGCACATCCTGGGGCACCGCCAAGGATTTCCTGAATCCATTCAGACACTGCTGTGGAAAGACTGGAGGTCAGCAGACTGTCCCTTTCTACCTCCTGGTGGTGGACTACAGGAAGTAGACAGGCACAGATCCCAGGACAGCTTCCCAGGGAGTGGCTTGCAAACCTGGGCCCAGAGGATTGAAGTCAGAGACCCTAGGATCCTGGGGGAAGGGACAGGAGGTAGTACTGTGGCCTGACAGGTCCCGGAGCTGGAACAAGGCGGCAGGTGCAGTGGTGGGCACGGGCCACTGCTGAGCAGCCTGGTGGTCGCAGCAAGGTGTGAAAGGGCACCAGGCCTCCAGATGCTGCCCCGCCTGCTCCTCGAGCTACTGTGAGGACAAACCCAGCTGACAGATGGGAAGGCCCTGGTGTCACACACAATCAGCAAGGATCCCTGTATCAGGAGGGGTGGCACATGCTTTCACCTCAGCTACTGAGCAGCCTGACCCAAGCCAACCCCTTTTGGCCCAGAAGTTTTTGCACTCAATCCTTGCCCATCTGCGACGGACACAAACTGTAGTGCAGACACATGCTGCTTTATATACGACAAAACGCAATGGTCCCTGTCCCAGATAGTGCAGATGCGTGAAAATAACTAGAATACTAGAATGCAAGCTCCTTGGAGCAACAAAGCCCTCTGGCTCGCCCACCGCAGTGCCTAGCACACAGCAGGTATTCAACAGGTATTTGCTGAATGATGAATGAATGGATCAATGGATGTCTTTAGAACCTTTTCCTTATAAACATTTAAATGTGTGCTTTCAAAGTGAATATACAAACAAGGTACTCAAGGTATCTGCAAGTAAAACACCTAGGGAAAAAGAACAAAATAATCAAAATCAGGAGACATTAGGGTCCTCCTCTGACATCTCTGCAGCCTGGAGGATTGCTCAATAACAGTAGTGGGGTGCCTGCCAGAAATGAGGCCAGCTCCTCTCCTGCCTCCAGGGAACCTGAAGAGTAAAGAACAGACACAACCTCTGGAGGGTGCTGGGCTATGTCCCCAGGCCTAAGCTGTAACATCCTGTAACAACCAGGCAGCCATCAGGACTCCCCAGCCTGAACCGCGCTCACCCTGATGCTCCAGGAGATAAGTAGCCAACAGCTAGAGCTTGGGGCTTTTATGAGCTCCTTGCCTTAGCAATGCTGTCTGGGACTGGATGTGGTACCCAAATACAAGATCCAGTCCTGATCATCTCCCTTGCATATTCTAAAACTCCTCCTCAGTGAGGCCACAGTTTCTACATTTCAGATTTCAAAGCACAAAAGGATAGATCTTTGAATAACCCACATGTCCTAATCCATAGTATATTCCCAGAAACACAAAGTCTCTCCTCTGGCCCTTCCTTGAAATGGCCTGACTCTTACATGTCACAAAATGGATGGGAAGTAGCATCTCCATGACCCAAAATATGAAAACTGGAAACACTTCCTGGCCTTCCAAATAGCAATAAAAATTATTTAATATAATTTCATATTAAGCCCATTTAATAGAAGTCAAAATATCTCAAGCACGTATGCTATTAGAGGGAACTGATATGAAACTAAAAATTCAAACAGATACAGCAACATAAATAAAAATGAAAAAGTGAAAAAAAATCACTTCATTGCTATATAGGATTTCCGAAGATGATGCTCTTGAAATCGCTTTTAAAACAATATGTTCCAACTTCCCACTAATCCAAATTACTCTAGTGACGTCTGGCTTCAGCAGCTCACTGCAAATATGCAGCCTCATTATTTTACTTGGAATGGTAATAGCGAGGAAGCATCTATTTCCATCCCTCCATCACTAAAGCTAACATAAACCTATAATCTGCACTGAAACTGTTCCACTTCTGATTAGAATCAGAAACACTTCCAGATGGGCTCAGCACAGCCAAGGGGGGACTGTCCTACAAGGCCACGGTGTAGGGGTGGCAAAGGAATCATGGCAGCAACTACCTTTTGTTTTTTAAAATGTGAAACATTTCTGAATGGCTTAAGCAACATCTATTTAATTTAAAAGCTCTATTGAGATGAACAAAGAAAAAGAACACATGCTCAGCTCCAGAGACATGTAAATGAGATTGGGGGACAAAAGGAAGTGCATTAATTCCCTCCACAACCCCTGAAGAGCAGCGGTGGGTCTGAGCATCTTATCTCCACGAAGCAGGCCAGCAGGCAAGCCAGCTGCCACCTCGTTCACCCTGTGCAAACCACAGGCTCCGTCCCCAAAAGCAGGCAAATGACTATCTTATTTGTTCAGGGGAAGCAAAATGGTCCAGGGTTGGTAGCCGAGTTTTCTTCCCAACAAGACCTAACCGCTGTCATCTTTCTCTGGGACCCAGCCTCACTGAATAGAGTGAAAGGTGGCCAGCAGAACCCAAACTGTTCTGCCACAGGCTCCTCCCCACAGAGCACAGCTCAGTGCAACAGAGTCCCCAAATCCAAGATGCAGAATCCACGAAGAGAAAACCTTCTGCTCCAGAAGGTACTTACAGGAAGTCAAAATAGTCAAAATTAAAATCACATCTTCTTATGGTTCTTTTTTCTAACAAAATCCATTATTTCTTACTGCAAAACCTAGAAGATGTTTACTATTTATAACCAGAAATAGTTTCTCACAAAACAACCATAAAATGTAAATTATTCAGTGACCCATCTCTCTGGAAAAGAATAACACCGTATGAAATTGAGGTACTGCCCCAAAAATCAAGACGATGGGCCCTGAAACTCTAAATATTTGAATTTTTAAATAACTTCATATCAAGCCCATTTAACAGAAACTATGTCAAGCAGACACACTATTAGAACTGATATGAAAATAAAATTTCAAACTGACACGGCTGTATCAAAAAGAAATGAAAAGAGAAAAATCTCTTCATTGCCTTTTAGGATTTCCAAAGATGATGTTAAGCCCAGACATGGTTCTGATCTCCAGGAAAGCAATTGCTGTGGTACAAAAGGACAAGGGTTAAAAGAGAACGGTGGGAGCTCTCTTTCCCAACTAACCCAGGCGGTGTGACGCAGAGACTTTCGGCACAGCCCAGGGTGCCCAGGACTGAAAACTCCTTCACCACCCCCTCCATGGGTGGGAAATACTCGGATCTTCATTCCTGTGACACAAGACCTTGAAAGTTGCTGAAAAATGCTGGTCCCATCTGACTGGGGCAGCATTTTCATTTATTGCACACCATTAAGATTTTGGCAGGAATCATTGTGCTAGATACCATTATCCCACCAATCACTGAGCACTTTTCATTTCCTGCCCCTGGTGCTGTTGGATACCTTACGGCAAGCTGCCGTCCCTGCCCACCCACCTGAGGACAGAAACCTCCAACCCTGCTTTGCCAGGAAAACTGACCAGCATGTCTGACAGATGGTCAGTCCTTTGCTGTACATGGCCCTAAAAAAAGGAGACAATTCTTTTACTCAGACCAAAGTAAGCAAATGCTGAAAGTGCTTATAATGAAACATCACATTCCCCAATCTGGACTTCCCCACTCCGCTGGCCATCCTTGTCATTATTTCTGATTTTAATTCTACCGGTGGCTGTTTTCCACCTCTCTAAATAATGTTTAAACTCTCTTTCTGGGTATACCAACTTCGGATAATATTTATTGGCATCCCATTATGAGAGGTGAGTTTTGCAAGCCACGACCTCCCCGGCTCTGGTACAAGTGACCAGAGGATCGCACCAGCTACTGCAGTCACGCAGAGGGGCTTTCCATTCTTAGCAAGAGCACTGGGATAAAAGAGATCCTTCTAAGAGCTTCCACCTAACTCTGGGAACACAGAAGCATCCTTTAGAAGCCCTGTGGTCACACGGCCTTCAGGATGGATACAGGCTCTTTTCTTAGCTTTACAAAGCCCCGGATAGGCTGGCACTAACGTGGCATGTTGCTGCTGCACTTTGGGGGCAGGAACTGGCTCCTGCTCCAGTTTGCATCCTCTGTGCCCAGCACCTGTGCCCAGCACCTGTGCCCAGCATCCAGCTCGATGCAGGATGAGTAGGTAGCTTTGGCCTGTCCACCCAACCCTCACAGAGGCGACCAAGATCAAGTCCTCATTGGCTTCTTGGATTCTTTCTACTGTGTGAGATATTCTCGATGTCTGAGGGATGAACCACAAACAAAACATGGTCTATCCATACAATGGGGGCAGTAGTCAGCCCTAAGAAGGAAGGAAGTTCTGACGCATGCTACAACACAGATGGGCCTTGAGGGCGTCACGCGAAGTGAAAGAAGCCAGTTGGAAAAAGATAAATGATTGTATGATTCCACTCACATGCGGCACCTGGAATCGTCAAATTCACAGAGACAGAATGTAGAATGGTGGTTGCTGGGCGCGGTGGCTCAAGCCTGTAATCCCAGCACTTTGGGAGGCCGAGGCGGGCGGATCACGAGGTCAGGAGATTGAGACCATCCTGGCTAACACGGTGAAACCCCATCTCTACTAAAAATACAAAAAAAAAATTAGCCAGGCATGGTGGCGGGCGCCTGTAGCCCCAGCTACTTGGGAGGCTGAGGTAGGAGAATGGCGTGAACCTAGCAGGCGGAGCTTGCTGTGAGCCGAGATTGCACCACTGCACTCCAGCCTGGGCAACAGAGCAAGACAGTGTCTCAAAAAAAAAAAAAAAAAAGGAAGTAAAATGGTGGCTGCCGGGGGCTGGGGGAGGTGGAAGGAGGAGTTAGTGTTTAATGGACACAGAATTTCAGATTGCAAGATGAAGAAAGTTCTGGAGATGGATGACGGTGATGGTTGCACAACACTGAGTGTATTTAATGCCATAGAATCATATACTTAAAAGTATTTCAGGTGGTAAATGTCATGTTATGTGTTATTTATCACAATTTTTAAAAACTAGAAATATTAAGATATCCTTGATGTCAGATGCCAGGAGAGCGGTGTCAGGCATCTCACCAGCCGATTCTCTCAGAATGTTTCCTCTATTGCATAACCAGGAGCCTGAGGTATCCCAAAGAAAAGCCCCAGTGTAAAATCAACAATAACCTCAGTGGGCCTGGTGCAGTGGCTCACGCCTGTAATCCCAGCACTTTGACAGGCGGAGGCGGGTGGATCACGAGGTCAGGAGATCGAGACCATCTGGCTAACATGGTGAAACCCCATCTCCACTAAAAATACAAAAAATTAGCTGGGCATGGTGGCGGGCGCCTGTAGTCCCAGGTACTTGGGAGGCTGAGGCAGGAGAATGGCGTGAACCTGGGAGGCGGAGCTTGCAGTGAGCCGAGATTGCGCCACTGTACTCCAGCCTGGGCGACAGAGCAAGACTCTGTCTCAAAAAAAAAAAAACAAGAAAACAAAACAAACAAAAACAACAATAACCTCAGTGGAGTGGCTCCATCAGGGAGTGACAGGGGCGTGACTTACTATTGGAGGACAAGGCAGGAGTCAGGGAAGATGGCCCACGCCTGCTTTGAACTGTAAGGAGCATGCAAAACCTCTTATCCAGGCCCACAGGGCTGCCTGTCTACACCACAAACAGCTCAGGGACAACGGCTCGGGAAAACCCCAGGGTCCAGCCAGGTCACGGGCACAGGCCTGCACTCACGGGGTACTTCACAGAGGACAGAGGTGCACTGCAAATGCGTAAGAGGATATTTTCACCAATGGTAAAGTGGATTTTTAAATAACATTAAGGTTTTTAAACAGATTTTAGAAACGAAAGGGTTCCCCCTGTATATGTCAAGAACCTGAGTTTCTTTCTGAAACTTGGGCAGGCCCCTTTAAGTTGGTTCAAATAGAAAATACACCAGCAGCAGCCACTCCCCTGGGGAAAGGCAGACTTTATGGCTGAAAGGGTCGCCCAAGCGCTCCTGGTTTTCAGCATCACACAGAGTGGCTCAGGTGCCCATTCATTTTATGAGTCAGCCCAGGGAGAGTCCCCACAGATTCGGAGTCATATCTATGATGGGACGCAAGCTCTACACTTCCCAAGCATTGATCCTGAGGTTGATCAATCCTGAGCATTGATGTCTGCAAAAACAAATCACTTAGGTGCAGAGACACCGCAATGACCATCCCGCTGGGGGCTCCCGCCTGATTCCTTCCACATCCTGGCCAACAGCTCTGGCCAACTGGGGAGCCCACGGACAGCTGCTCTGCCTGGCTCCTGCTGAAAGGATGATTCTAGTCAAAGGAATATAGAAGAAAGGTTAGGGGGAAAATGAAAAAAGAAGAGGAATGAAGAGGTAATGGCCCTTTAAGATAACAAAGTCTTACCAAAAGCCACAGTAACTTGTACGGTAGATATCGGCACAAGAATAAAGCAGTAAATTAGAATGGAGAATCCAGAAACACAGGAGAAACACTCAGAACACAGCAGCAACTTAACCCATGACAAATCTGCCAAAAGAGAGAGGTCAAAGTGGCTGACTAGGAAATTAGGCTGGAAAACTGAATACTCCTATAAAAAAACTACATCCCCAACTCACACTACATCTAAAATACATTTTAGATTGAATAAGAGATGTAAATGTAGAAAAATCTGGACTATCAAGTATTAGCAGAACATGCAGGAGGGTGCTTATATATATTAGGGTAGAGAAACCCTTTCTCTAAGTAAGATACAAAACTCAGGGTAAATAAAGCAAGCTTGATAGATTTAACAATGTAAAACTTCCAAATTTTTGCATTGCCAAATATGTCTTTAAATAAAATCAAAGGACAAGTGGCATCTGAGAAAAAAATATCTGCAATATATATAGCAAATGAGGAATAACCCTATGTACCAAGAACACCTATAAATCAACAACAAAAAAAACCTTCACAAGTCAAGAGGAAAAGAGGCAAGGATGAAAAAGAGAATTAGAAGGAGAAATTCAAATTAGTATTAAGCACACAAGAAGCAGCTTGTTGTCATTCACAATTTTTACAAATACAAAATGAAATAAGCTATCACTTTATACCCACATGACTGAATGAAACCACAAAGACTGATCATGTCCAGAGAGTGTCGATGTCCAGAGAGTGTCAGTGGGGACACCGCTGCCCCACACACCAGCATCATTTAAAATGGTCACCACCTGTCCAGAGAGCAACTTGGCAATATCTGTTGACACTCTGAATGCCCAAACCATTCAGCCCAGCAAGTCCACTTCTAGGAACCTATGCTACGGAAACAACCCCATGCAGACACAAGAGTTTAATGTACGAGACTCCACATGTCAGCATTTTCCATAAGTGAGAAAAATGGTAACAACCCAAAAGTTCAATAAGTAAACGGTCACATATTGTGCAAGTGTCAGAGAGAATAATGCTGCTTCCAGCTTTATCCAAGTCCCTCCAAAGGACATGAACTCATTCTTTCTTATGGCTGCATAGTATTCCATGGTGTATATGTGCCACACTTTCTTTATCTAGTCTATCATACATTCTGCAGGTGTATTCCAGAACTTAAAGTAAATTTTTTTTAAAAAAGAATAATGCTGCTATGCACAACGGACAAGGGATCATGGCTAAGACACACGGCTGGGGGATCGAACTGCAAATCTTATTTACAATAGGATCTCATTTTGTTGAAAAATACTTTTAAAACATGTATTTGTGTAAAAGACAAGTAAAATATTTCCACAGACAGAAAAAAAAAATGGGAGGAGTCTCCACCAAATTGTGAATAATGATTATCCTTGTGGGCACTGAATGGGGCAGTGGTGAAACTTGGGGGGAAGCTTTCATTTTCTATTCTACATGATGCATTTCTGTAAAGTTCGAGCCCTTATAATTAGTACATTTTAATTTCATAATCAGAAAAAATATTTAAAGGATCTTAAAATCTAGCATGTTAGACGCCAGCCCCCATTGATGGAGCCAGGGTCCTTCTCAGCCCCAAATTCCACTGCCAGAAAAATGGCACCTTTCTCCTCCAGAGATACAAGATAATTGCTAGAAGACAGCATTTTTAAAACAGAGATATCAAGCCAGGTGCGGTGGCATGTACCTGTAGTCCCAGCTACTCAGGAGACTGAGGCGGGAGGATTGCCTGAGCCCAAGAGTTCAAGTCCAGCCTAGAGACAACATAGCAACACCTCCATCTCAAAATGCAAAACAAAAACTACAGATGGCAGATCTATTTAATGACTAGCTCTGGTGGGGAGTGCTGCCCCTCAGACCTTGACCTACCCAGGCAGCCTCTAGTTATTAAAGACTTCTCAGTATTGGAGAATGAAACAAAATAGACAAGCACTTTAAAATTCACCAGAAGTTCCCAAGGAATTTGCTTCCACGCATAGAAAATAGTCAAGTCCGTTCTTCCGAAAGCTTGCTTCAAAGTCCAATTGCGGGGAATTGATGTAGATGGTTCCATTTTAACTTCTTCAGCCAGAGGAAATCTAAAAATTCCTCCTTCCAGCTCAACAGAGCAAATCCACCTATTGCTTCTGCAAAAGGAGGACAAAGATCCTCCTGGGGCCGCAGAATTCAGCAGCTTTTCCTTGGATTCCTAGGGCAACCAACAGCTCCGGGACACCAGGCCAAGCTTCAAAAGGCAGCCTGCCAGCCATCAGACTCCCAGGCACCTGTGCAGTCCCAGGCGGTTGAGGAACTGGGGGAGGGCTTGGTTTCAACCTACTTGCCAGATCACCAGCAAAATAAGACATGTTCAAAAGAAACAACTGCACATAAGCCAGGGCTCTGGTCCCCAACCCATCAGGTCAGCGGCCCAGCCCCTCAGTGTGCTGGTGAGTGGGACAATCAGAAAAGGCCTCTCTCCCTGGAATAACTAACAGTCTCTCTCCAGCCCCACTCCCACTGCCTCGTGTGTCATGGGAAGTCTCTAAAATTCTCCACGGGCTTCCCCACACGTTCTTGATTTCCTCTCCAAACACCACCAGCCAGCCTAGGAAGCTGGGTCACAGGGAGTCTGCGTGCTGCAGACACTGAGGGGTGCTGCAACGCTGTTTGCTGGACACAGGGAGTCTGCGTGCTGCAGATAACGAGGGGAGCCACCAACACTGTTTGCTGGATGCTGCTCAATGGTGTACCATCAAATGGGTGGAAGGGAAGAGGGAAAAGGAAGGAAGAGGGGAGGGCAACCCCTCACTCTCACTGTCAGTGGGTAATAAAACCTTTCCAGATGTCAATCAAAAGCCTTAACATTTTGCCCAGCAATTCTACTCTTGTAAATTTATAGTAAGGGATCATGAATATCTGCCAATAAAAAACAAAAAACACAACTACAAGGATATTTATTACAGCATTCATTCATAGCAGAAAAACATTCTAAACAAATTTAATGTCCAACCCTGGGATCCAGCTCCAGAAAGGACAAACTCGTATGGCTGGGTGTGGAAGAAACCGTCCATGAGTGTGGAAAGTGCTCCTCATATACCGTCCAGGAGAAGGAATGCTGGGAGCCGGGGTGCCCAGGAACAGGGAGGAATCGTGGGCAAACAACAGGAGGGCCCCCGGCGGGTGGAGTCTGGTATCTCAAAGCTTCCTCCTTTCGCTTTCTGCTATCTCTGTTTTCCAATACAATGAATGAATTCATATGTGATAACTAAAAATAATGTTTTTTAAATAAAAGTGTTCTCTCTTGCCAAAAATCGCTGTAATGCTAAACTGCTGAGTTGAGGCATATGAAGTTGCCTATATTGGATCACTTTTTGACATACAGAAATAACAGTTTCATATGGTTCAACCTAATTTTGTCACAAAATCCGGATGAGTGGTAAGACCCGTAGGAATCACTTCCTCTGACTTGTCCTTGTCCCTCCTCAGGGACAAGTGAGGAGGCTGTGACTTGCCCAGGGCCCCGGCAGTGTAGGTCTTCCGCCTTCCAGAAGGGTCCTTCCCACCACTGGCCCACCACAGAGCACTGCCTGTCCCTCACCCAGCACCTCCCCTGTGCCAGGTCCTGGCTCTGTCATGACTCACATCATCTTGCAAAGTGGATGTCATTGCCAGCCGCAAGCTGGACTGTAGGGAGGCAGTGGGGTCCCAGGAAGGCCCCTCTGACTCTCCACTAAACCGCAGCTGTCCCTGCTGACTCCACAAGACCACGGGGTCCCCGCCCATTTACAGGACTGCAGCTCTGCCCTCCCTGGGCAATATTTCATTTCATCCTGGGCCTCCACCACAAATACAGGCGCTGACGCTTATGTAACTTGAAGCTGAAATGGCCATTTCAGTGGCCAGGGCTGTTTTTCTGTGTCCCCAGCAGGCCACCCTTTCTGCAGGAACAAAGTGGATCGACCAGCTACTCAGCTAGGCCATGGCCATAAATGCTCAGGTGCCAGCCCAGTTCATGAAGATGTTGGCTCTCTTTTGCCTCCTCACTGGACGGTCAACCGCACTTACAACAGCTTTGGTCACTATCGTCTATCGTGACCAATATCACCCCCCAAAAAAACATGGCCTCTGTCACTGACTATAAGTGAGCCCAGGGGCTGATCAGGGGATCAAGTATCACAGGACATATTCTTCTTTTCTAGTGAACATAAGATAAAGCCAGAGGCCAGGGACACTGCTGCCGGCATCATCAGACCCATGGAACCTGGCCGGCACCACAGAAAGTGAACTGGGCCACAGGACGTCAGCAAACCAGGCTTTGATGTTTTGTTTTCAAAATCTTCCAAGCTCAAGTCACTGGGCTTCTCTCTCTCCCAGGGATGGCCCCCAGCACCCAGGCAGGCTGCATCTGAGAAACCGGTCATTTTCAAGCACCCAGAAACTTGGGGCACTAAAACATACATATTCTAAATACTAACATGAGCTTACCCCCCAGTTTTCATGGGAACAGTAAAGAGGAACCGAAAAGGATGACAAAGGTGAGGGTCCTGAGACAGATGGGGGAACAGTGAGGTTTGGAGCCAAGGTCCCACCACCAGGGACATGGTGGAGGGACACAATCTGCCTTCCAACAATTAATAGACTTCATTTTTAGAACAGTTCTAGACTTACAGAAAAACTGAGCAGACTCCACAGAGTTCTCATATACCCACAGCCACCTTCCATGATTATTAACATCGCCATACATCAGCACAGCACATGAATCACAATTAATGAATCTCGATCCACCATTATTAACTACAGTCCATACTTCATTGGCATTTCCATAGCTTCTCCCTAGCGCCCTCTTTCTGCTCCGGGACCTCCTGCAGGACAGCACATCATGTTCAGCTGTCGCGTCTCCTCAGGCTCCCTCCACCTGAAAGGGGAAGAGGGCCCTCCTCTTGGCTGTGACAGCATCTCAGAGTGTCCTTAGTTTTGATGGACTTGATATTTTGAAGAGCATTGGCAAGGTATTTTGTAGAATGCCCCTCAACTGGAATTTGTCTGGAGTTTTCCTCATAATTACGTAGTGGTAACGGATTTGGGGGAGGACGGATACAGAAGGAAAGTGCCCTCCTCCCTCCACAGCACCCAGGGCATGTGCCACCCACATGACTTGCTGTTGGCGCCAACTGTGGCCCCCAGGCTGAGGCGGTGTGTGTTGGGTTTCTGCTTCCCCTTTCTGCACTGGGCTCTGTGGACAGAGGTCACTGTGTGCAGCCCACATTGGAGGAGCGAGGATGGAAATGCACCCCCCTTTACCTTCGGGTTTTTATGAGCCCCCATCTGTGATGCCTGCTTCACTCAGGCCTGAATCTTCCCTCCTGTTGCCATACCTCGCTGGAGCCCCATCTGGCCCTTTATTCTTCCCCTCCCCCACCCCAGACCCCCAACATACACACACACACACACACACACACACACACACATCAAAAGCTCCCCGAGGGCAGGGTCCAGGCTTCCCGATGCTGGTTTGTGTGTGTGCCAGAATCTGGCATGATGCCCTCGGCACTGCAAACACTGGAATGCTCACTCCTGAGACGTCCCTAACCCCGCAGGGTGGCCAGGCAGCAGTCCACAGGCCAACATGGGCAGGGAGAGTCTCTGGCCACAGTCCAGCTCCCACATCAATCATCCAGGGCAAAAACAGTCAGGGGTGTGGCCACGGCACAGGGAGATGAGAAGGGGCTGCATCCAGGACCACTCAACCCTCCCCCAGGTGCAATAAACAAAGCGCCACCCCCCAACCAAGAACATGGGAGATGCAGCTGGAAAGCATCCAGGGCACAGAGAAGTCATGCGTCTGTGCTTCTGAACCACACACAGCACCACATACTGAAAACCCACCCCAAATCCCAGCTGTGCTGAAGGCAAGGACAGGCCCATAGGAAGAGGGGCTTTCCATAGTGCAAATGCCAGCCAGGAGACCATAGAGAGAGCCTGGCCCAAGCCACAGGGCCCTGCCGTGCCACGCTGGCTCCCACTGGATCTGGGAGGGTGGGGCGGGGCTCAGACAACCCCAAACCCCAGAGCTGGGTGGGGGCTGGGGGTAGGGGCAGCACCACCAGGCCCACCCCTCAGACACCCTTTCAGATCCTCAGGCCACGGTGATGGCTGATGAAGCCACTGTGCTCCCCAAGCACCGGACAGAGCCAAGCGTGCCTGCAGTATGGCTGAAGACACAAAATCTTTCTGAGGTTCTAGAGTGACCGCATCACATGACACCAGCTTGCTTCACGCACATCCCTGGAAATGACCACCGGAACAGTGCTGGGCTTGGTACTCTAGTCTCTCTGACATGGGACGGGGTGTGGAGCTGTTGAAACCATTTGACCACTTTCCTGGAGCAGCTACCGAGTTCCAGGTGCTGTGCCAGGTGCTGGGATCCAGGGGTCAGCCCCAGCCAGGGGCAGGGCAGTGGGCCGCATGCATGTGGACAAGGGTAAGTTGTAAATATACAATTTACAATACATATTACAAGGAGGACCTGGGTGAAGGGGTGAGCAAATGAGTGAGTGCCTGCCTCTCTGCCAGGCAGCCAGTCAGCCACAGGACAGAGACACAAGAGAAGTCCCTGCAGGGTGAAGAGGCTGCAGATGGGACAGGACATCCTGACAGGGAAACAGGACACACAGGGGCGCCGCCCAGGCTAAAGGGCTCAAAACGCAGGGAAGCGGCCCCCGACAGCTTATCCTAACATTTGTAGAAGCAGCCACAGCAACAAAGGGCACAGCAAAAAAAATCACCACATTTACAAATGTCACCAAACACACCACAGTAGTAAAATGCCAAGGTGATGGGGAGAGTCTGTCGGGACAGCCCCCTTGGCTGGAAAGAAGATGACAAAGCCACAGGGAGGCTTCAGTTTGAGCAACTGTGATGTGTCACCAAGCATAAAGTGACCTGAGTGAGTGGCCAGGGCAGTAGATGCTGGTCTCTGTCATGTGGGACCCTCAGAGCCCGAGAGGGCACAAGCGACATTCCCTGAAGATCCACCCAATGCTGCCGTCACCACGACGCTGATGCACGGTGCCCAGCATTGGTGATTTGCACTGGGGAGAACAGCACCTGTCACCCATTCCCACACAGCCACACTGCCAGGCTGTTCAGGTCTGATGAGCCCGAAGAAGCCTGAGTCCAGGCGGAGGAGGCTGGGAAGAAGGGTTGGGAGGACCCACGGGGCGCAGGGTCAAGGTCTGGTGCAAACAAAGGCTCTGCTTCTGCCACCCGTGACCACGGCCCAGTCCCCCTGTCTGGGGCTCCAACTCCTCACCTAGAAAGGAACTGACACAACATTGAGGTCCTCTCCCCCAGGGGTCCCTCACCTCCTGCTCTCCGACCCTCCACTCCTGCCCTGCCTCCTCATCTCTCCCGACACACTCTCCCACACTTCACACCACTGTGTCGCAAAGCATCTTGGGGGAAAGACTGGTTTTTTCATAGTATATTACAGATCTGTACTTTTGCAAAATAAAATAAAACTAAATTACTACCTAAATGAATTTTTTTTAAAGACATTCCTCACTTTATTATCCGATCCAACACACAGAGGCGACCACGAAGGTCCCTACATGCTCATTCTGCATATCTACACCCTTTGCCCTGTGAATCGGAAACAGCCCGCAGATAGCACGCTTGCAGGAATGCCATGACCAGGCCTGCACGCGTGTCCAGTCCAAGGTCTCCCAGTGCCTCTGTGGGAGGCTGAGGAGGAAGTGAGCTCACATGCACAGATGAGCTGTGCAGAGCAAGGCCGGGCACACACGACGCCCTGAGCATACGGAAGCCTCCAACCGGCTGCAACGCAACACGGCTTCCACGAAGCCTCAGGTGAACCCACGCCATGGCTGTGCTCACTCAAGCACACTGTGGCCCATGAAGCTGAGTGGTTACGAGGTCAACAGTCGTCAGACAAAGAGTCTCTCTCCTCTGAAGTCAGCGACATGGCCCTATCCTGGTGGGCTCACAGCCAGAACAAGAGCTCTGGGGGCAACCCGGAAGGGGCAAAGTAGAGTCCAGAGGAATGAGAAGTTCACAGGTAGATGAGGCAGGGAAGGCAGGTGGGGAGAGACGTAGGCAAAGGAGATGGGGCGCCTCTGGGGACCTGAGGGGTTGGGCCCTTGCCTGGGGAGGCAGGTAGCCAGGTGGTGCCATAGAACCTCCACCCAGGACTTCTGGGCTGCGAGGACATGGGGCTGCCCCCGATGAGTTCTCCATGCGCCACATCTCCCCCCGACTGCTCTTCTTAAAGCTCTTTGGTTTCCCTCTCAACTGCAACCACATAACGTTTGATACTTAAACATTTGGTTACTTGTGTCTAGTTTTCTTTAAAAGCACAGCTTCTTTTATATGCAGAAATAAAAATACATTTCCTGCAGATAACTTATCCACACCAATTAAATCTATATACATCTTAGCGTCCTACTCGGGTTTACATACCCTGATCTCACTTAGAAAATATAGTGTGCATCTGAATATTTAGTAGCATTTGTTGTAATGGCAAAATCTAATTATCTCACATTAAGTATAATCTCAATTTTGATAGTATTGTTCTAGCAGTAGAAGAAGCCATGACTCATTCCATTCAAATTTCACCTTGAAAACTCCAAGATCATGAACTGCTCTGTTTTTATACTTTTTCTTGAAATATATACATACAGAAAAGTTCCATAGCATAAATGGAACCTTCCCATGCAAACCAAGATGGGGAAAGGGGACATCATCAGCACCTCCAAAAGCTGTGCTTCCCTCCCCCTGGGCCTCCTATCAGTACCATCTCCCGAAGGCAACCTGATTTCCACACATGACAGTTGTCTGTTGCCCTTCCTAGACACAGAATCATGCATTACACACTCTAGCATCTGGGGTTTTTTGCTCAACGTTACGTGGCAAGCCCCATCCACACAGCTGCCACATTTGCAGAGTGCTCATTCTCGGCCTGCCGTACAGTGTGCCCTGTGAGAAGACCCTCGGGGTACTGATCTATTCTGCTGCTGATGGCCATCTGGTTTCTTTGCACTTTGGCAGTTACCATCACGCTGCTATGGACACTTTTGTGTGTCTCTTGATGGCTGTATCCATTTCCAACGGTTGCTGTGACAAATGACCACAAAACTGGGTGGCTGAAAACACATTTCTTCTCTCGCAGTTCTGGAGGCTAGAAGTCTACATGCAGTTTCACTGGGCTGAAATCAAGCTGTTGGCAGGGCCACATTCCCTCCAGAGGCACCAGGGGAGAATCCTTTACCTGGCCCTGTCCAGTTTCTCCCAGCTGCCGGTGCTCCCTGAGCTGTGGCCGCATCACTCCAATTTCCGCCTCCTTGGTCACATCTCTCTCTGCCTCTCTCTTATACGATCCTTGAGGATGGCATTTAGGGCCCACCCAGATAATTCAAGACAATCTCTTCATTACAAAATCCTTAAACACATCTGCAAAACCACTACCACATAAAGTAACATTCACAGGTTTCAGGGATTAGAACCTGATGTCATTTGAAGGTCACTAATGCCCATATGCCCATTTCACTCCATTTCATTTGGATTGAGACTGCTGGTCATAGAGTATATGTAAGCTTGGCTTTAGTTAATTCTACAAAAAAGCTTCCCAAAGCAGTTGTACGAATGTCTACTCTGACCAACAATCAGAGGTCCATTTGTTCCACATCCTCACCGACACCTGCTATTTTCTGCTCTTTTTCTCTTTTTTTTTTTTTTTTTTTTGAGACGGAATCTCGCTCTGTTGCCCAGGCTGGAGTGCAGTGGTGCAATCTCGGCTCACTGCAACCTCCACCTCCCGGGTTCAGGTGATTCTCCCACCTCAACCTCCCGAGTAGCTGGGGTTATAGGCGCCCGCCACCATGCCCACCTAATTGTTTTGTATTTTCAGTAGAGAAAGGGTTTCACCATGTTGGTCATGTTGGTCTCAAACTCCTGGCCTCAGGTGATCCACCCGCCTCAGCTTCACAAAGTGCTGGGATTACAAGCATTGAGCCACTGCACCCAGCTTTTTCTGCTCTTTTGATGTTAGCCATTCTGGTGGGTGTGGAATGGTGTCCCATTTACAATTCATTTTGCATCTCCCTGATGACTAATGGAGTGGAGTACTTTTTCATCTCTTTAGTGGACGTGTGTGTGTGTGTGTGTGTGTGTGTGTGTCGTGTCTTTTGCCATTTTCCTACTGGGTGTTCTCTCATTTTCTTGTTGATTACATAGTGCATTATTTTAAGATGAGTCATTTGCTAAAATAGATTCCACTAAGACACTGGCAGATGGAGGCCTAGTTTCTGGTGTCAGGGCCGGAGATGTGAGGTCCAGTTGTGTCCAAGCAATCAGGTGACATGAATTCTGGACCTTGAACACCCGTAATGGACCCTAAGCCTATGCCAGCCTGGAAGGTTCCAATAAGGAACATGATTGAGAGTTTGGGGACCACTGTCAGGGACTGGATGGGTGGGACAAAAATCAGTCCCAAATTAATGTATTATAACTCCAGTTACTTCCTTGAAACTAAATCTAATTGTATTTAAAAGGGTGACCACTGGGAAGTAAACTCTATTTGGATTTCTACAAATATGGGTGGGTTTTATGGGACTTTTTGGGAGCAGCCACTGCTGACCCAGTCAGCACAATGATAGCCCATCTCCAGAATCAGGCACTGCCCCCACACCATGACAGGCGAGCCAGGCAGTGATCCCTGCTGTGAAACACAATGGATTAAATACACCAGAGTTTGGTTTCTCTACATCACAATAAAGAAAGAGGCCAGGCGCGGTGGCTCATGCCTGTAATCCCAGCACTTTGGGAGGCCGATGTGGGCGAATCATGAGGTCAGCAGATCAAGACCATCCTGGCTAACACGGTGAAACCCTGTCTCTACTAAAAATACAAAAAATTAGCCGGGGGTGGTGGCGGGCGCCTGTAGTCCCAGCTGCTGGGGAGGCTGAGGCAGGAGAATGGCGTGAACCCGGGAGGCGGAGCTTGCAGTGAGCTGAGATCGTGCCACTGCACTCCAGTCTGGGCGACAGAATGAGACTCTGTCTCAAAAGAGAAGAGAAGAGAAGAGAAGAAAGTGGGTTTGGGACATCAGTTGACGTGAACTACTAATATAATATTAGATATCTGATTAAAACCATCAAGATGACAGAAAGGTCTACTCACAGAGGTGCTCTCCACCCCCAACCCCCGCATCAAATAGAGCTCCCTCTCCTTCAAATCAGATATTTTTTTTGAGACAGGTTCTCACTGTCACCCAGGTTGGAGTAGAGTGACGCAGTCACAGCTCACTGCAGCCTCAACTTCCTGGGCTTAAGGGATCCTCCCACCTCAGCCTCCCGAGTAGCTAGGACCACACACGTGAGCCACCACATCCGACTAACTTTTCTATTTTTTTGTAGAGATGGGGTCTCCTTACGTTACCCAGGCTGGTCTCAAACTCCTGGGCTTAAGCGAGCCTCCCTCCTCGGCTTCCCAAAGTGCTGGGATTACCTCATGAACCACCATGCCCAGCCTTCAAATCAGAATTCTAAGGAGCCTAACAAGCAGCAGGCCTTTCCAGTTATGGCGCATGAAAGTAACAAAGGCAGCCTCAGCCAGCATCCAGCGCAGTCCCAGCAGACAGAGATAATGAGGTGGACATGGGCCTCATGGGAGGGAATACTGCCCCCCACCCCCATGCCATGCCAGTGAGAAAAACAGACTGACTGCAGCCCCAAAACATACAGCAACTTACCCACGAAACAGGAACCTCTGATGCCTGACATTATCAGGTAAGAGATATTTCTGGCCCAGCAGCCCCCAGAGGATGAACAGCTCCCTCCGCCTGAAAGGGGAAGAGGGTCCAAGCTGCAGGCGCCCTGGCACATCGAGGCCATGGACAGGAGGCACCCGAATGTCTCCCCAGAGTACCCCTGCTGCAGAGGCCTCTGGAGCCCATCATCCTGCGGCACTGCTGCTCCCGCTCTCTTTCCCAAGCCCTGTGCAGTCCCCTCTCCTGACGCAGGACCAGAAAGCTACTGGGAGCCCCGTAAGGACAGCCTGCGTGCCCAGCCAGGCTGAGGCCAGCCACCGGAGGCCAGCAGCAGGGAGGCCACACCTGCGCTGTCACCCACACCCCTGCACACTGGAGCTGCCTGGGGACCCAGGCCTCCCTGTGTGCCGAGGGTAAGTTGGCGGAGCTGCACAGGTTAAGGCTGGGTGAGCCAGTTAATAATGTGATGAACGGTTTGTCATGGATTTTGTCGTTCTTTTAGAAAAACAGGGGCAAGTTAATCTAGAAATCCTGTAAATCTCTAAAGGGTAAAATTAAACGTCCTCACTAGCAAGGCTGGGACTTGGCAGCAGCAGCCGCCTCCTACAGAACATAGGGAGCGGGCTCTGGAGCCCCCCAATGACGCAGGAGCTGCCTTGGCCAGACACCTGCCCCCGCCACCCTCCTGTGTTCTTACTGAGCCCCTCCCCACCCCATGCAGTGCATCTTCCACCAGCACCTCCCCGCACCCTCCCCTCGCCTCTAGATGCACCCCTGAACATGCCCCTAACGGCGTCCTTCTCCCACGCTCTGACCTGTCTGCTAGGGAAGCCAGCTGCAGAAATCACTCTCCTAGAGTTCGCTTGGTAAACTATGCGTTGTTATTGGCCCATCTGCTTCGCTCCCAACCCACAGCAAGGACTCTCTAGGGCCACCAAGCTCCTAATCGTCAGCAACTGCCCTCCAACCCCCATCTCCAGCTCTAACCTACACAAACCACATAGTCCCCCCTGTGCCCAGGGTGCCCCATTCCAGGCTGGCCCTTTGCCTGGAGGGCTCTTCTGGCCTGGGCTCTGAAGGGGTAAACCCACCCACTCTTATAGGATGGGGTCCATGATCCACCCCAACCTACCATGGGGCTCTCACATCTGCCAGACTGTGCCTCTCTAGGAGGGCCTTGGACCCAGAGCCAGAATGGGGCTCTGATGCCACTGCACATTCTCCAGCAGCCCCCTCCATGCCCTCCCTCCTGATCCCACCCAGCTCTAAACTGGGAACAAGAAAGCTGGAATACAGTAGCTGCTCAGAAAATACCTACTGAGTAGATGGGTGGATGGATGGACAGAGCTCCAGGCAAAGGGACTCGGGGGTAAGAAAAGTGAAGGGTACCTGCCCCCGGTTCTACCACTGCAGAGTCCTTGAGTGTCAAAGGACTGAGAGGTGAATGACAGGCAAGGTGAGACCTACCATGTTAGTGTCCCGCACCCCTTTGTTTCCACTATTAGATTAAGCCACCCTATGTGACAGATAAAAGGAGTAACACGTACGGAGTTAGACCAGGGTTGCCAAAGTGAGGGGTGGGAATGCTGCCAGTCCAGGGGTCCCCCACGGCAGCTCCCCAGACGAAGTCAAGGCAAGTTGGAGATGAGGCTGCCTCTAGGTGTATCAAATCAACTGAAGCAGCACCAGTCGTCAGTGCTGATTAAGCACAGGCACGCCTGTGATCAAGAAGAAAACCATTACTTAATAAAATGCAATTAATTTAGAAGCTGAAAACTGCGAAAGCCCAAGGGAGAGACATAATCAGGAGTTCTTGGTCTGGAGGGGCTTCTGCTCTCAAAGCTTCCAACCCAACACAGCACAAAGATGTCTTCCCCAACAACCGCACATCCAACCTGCAAAACGATGACACGCTCCTCTCCAAGTACCTGAACCTTAGGACTCAAAGGGTAGAGAAAGTTCACAGGCAGAATCTTCACAATACATGCACAAAAGAAAGGCACTTCTACTAGGAGCTGTGGGTCAGGAAAACCTCGACTTCACCCAATGCCATTCCCGAGACAATCAGCCATTAATGTGACCCACTCAGTCCTGCCTCAGGGGCTCAGAATCTAGCAGTCAGGCCAGATGGGAAGTGCAGGGACCTGCGGCCAAAATCGGTCCATTCATCACCCAGCTGACGGCTTTCACAAGTACTAGCCAGAATCAGTAAGAGGCTGGAGGTAGTGCCAGGTGTCTGAAACCCAGCAGGCAAGTTGGTAAAACACACACACACCCTAAACCTGGTGACTGCACTGACTGAGTGCTTTACTGTAGCAGAACAGTTGCACACATCTCATCTCCTCCATCCATAGTAACTCAGTGGCTGGTGAGGAATGGGACACAGATCTCCACGTGCCCTTCTCAGGATGAGTCAAGACAAACTCTGAGCAGTGACGCTCTACAGCTGGCTCACACGTGGAGGCAAAGCCTGGCTTCCCAGAGCTTCCAGTTCCTAACACATGCCTGGCCCCACTGCACCACACCCGTGACAGCTGCCACCAGCTCCGGATAATCCAGACAGATGCTAGAGCACATGGCTCACTTATTACAGCAAAAGACTGAGAAACAGAAACTATGTTTTATTTGCACAAGGCACACACTTGCTTCCAGAGAGACCTGAGAAATCCATCATCCCTAAATGCACGCATTCACTCAATTAGTGGTTTTCCTGTTTTTGCAACAATGGATTTTTCCAAGACAGTTGACAATTAAACCAACGGTGGGAAACCATAAACTGTACTTTACTAAATTAACAATGCATACAACAGTTCGGAGGAATTCATATTTACAGCTGCCCTGCTGGAGAGTCAATTCCAGGAATGTAAAACCAACCAAATAAAAAAAATTTTATATATATATACACATACATACACACATATATACGTACACATACACACACACACACACACATATACACACAGTTATGCATCGCTTAATGGCAGGGATGTGTTCTGAGAAATTTGTCATTAGGCAATTTCATCATTGTGCAAACATCATAGAGCATACTTTATACAAACCTACTCCACACCTTGGCTATAGGTTACAGGCCATTGCTCCCAGGCTACACACCTGGGCAGCATGTTACCACGCTGAATACTGTGGGCAACTGTAACACAAGTATCTATCTAAACATAGAAAAGGCACAGTAAAAATATGGTATAAAAGATAAAACATGGGCCAGGCGTGGTGGCTCACGCCTGTAATCCCAGCACCTTGGGAGGCCGAGGTGGGCGGATCATGAGGTCAGGAGGTCGAGACCATCTTGGCTAACACAGTGAAACCCCGTCTCTACTAAAAATCCAAAAAAATTAACCAGGCGTGGTGGCAGGTGCCTGTAGTCCCAGCTACTCGGTAGGCTGAGGCAGGAGAATGGCATGAACCCGTGAGGCAGAGCTTGCCGTGAGCTGAGATTGAGCCACTGCACTCCAGCCTGGGTGACAGGGCGAGACTCCGTCTCAAAAAAACATATATATATATTATATATAACACAGTACCCCATCTAGGACACTAACCATGAATGGAGCTTGCAAGACTGGAAATTTCTCTGGGTGAGTCCATCTGTACACTAGCGTAGACTTTATAAATATTGTACACTTAGGCTACATTAAATTTTTTTAAAAAATAAAGTAACTGCACTACAACTTTACGACAATGTCACTAAGCAATAGGAATTTTTCAGCTCCATAATAATCTTATGGGACCTCTGTCATATATGCTATCATTCCCCAAAACACTGTCATGTGACGCATGACTGTACACATATATCTCAACTGAAAATGCCAAATGTCAATAGTGTTCTCCGACTCACTATTTACTAATGAGAGTTTCCTCAGAACTGTCCTTGCCTGAGAGTTTCAGAACCAAGCATCTCTCTGCGCAGTTGATTCTAGGGACAACAAGTGCTAAGAATCCATGTTGGCTTCAAGTGCAAAACGGAAAACACCTTCATGTCCCACCAACCATGTCAGCCACCTTCCTGGAGGGCAAGCTCCCAGACCCTCTCCCCATCCCTGTGAAGGGCCCATGTCATCTGTGGCATTTCCATGACTCTCTGATGCCAGCCATCAGTCTCTCGGCACGTGTTGAAAATTAGCCTCTGTACTTGCCCACCAGTGGTCACGAGTCCTAGTCATGCCCACCCCGTGAAAAACAAATCTGATACAAAATGGGCCCCAGCAGGAGACAGGGAGAAAACATGGGCCTCACACTCTCTCCAGCTCAGGCTCAAAGGCCAGCACTGCCCCGTCACAGCAGAGTGTTCTTAGGCAACCCACAGCTCAGCTACCTGTCCCCAGCCTCCTTGTTGCAAAGTTAAGACAAGACGTGCCTTCCAGATTTGTCGGGAAATTATTTAAAATGACAAACAAAGAAGGATGAAACTCAACACACAGAATTGCCCAATGATGTGCATTTCATTCCAGTGGTTTCGCCATCAAAACCATCTTCAAATGTTGGAGTGTTTCCGTTTCCAGAAAACTAGAGATGAAAATATTTTCAGTCACTCAATGCAGGAAGTTCAACCACATATTTTTTTTCTCTTAACTTTGATCCTTGAAACACAAAACAACAGACATAGCACCTTATATTAAAACAGCCCCTTAGAGTTTATGACGTGCCTCCTCTGCATTCTCTCACTAGGCCGTAGCTGTAACTCACAAACCTGACCCTTAAAACTCTCAGGACAGTAAGAGAAGCCACACAGGCCCAAGGCTACGTGGCCACACCAAATGACTTGCTGTCATAAAATATCTTGCATCAGTTAAATATTGCATCTCATTTGTGCCTCAAAACAACCGCAGGCAAGAGGCCTCGTGCGTGTATTGCAGATGCTGAGAAAGACTCTCAAGCCAGGTGACTGGCCCTGGGCCCCAGGGATTAGTGGCAGGGCCAGGCTGGAACTGAGCTCCTGTTACTCCAAATCCCATCCTCTTTTCCAACCTCCCAGTCCCTTTCTCATAAAACTAAAGCATCTCCTCCAACTAGGCCAGGACACAGGCAAGAGACAGTCAGGCAGGCGGAGGCTTCTGGAAGGTAAAGCAGAGTGGCTGGGAGCCCTGGGACAGAGTCTGACATTACATACAAGACAAGTTTGGAAAGATCCAGATGGAGTGGGAAGGGAATCTGGGCGTGGGGGTGCCTCCTTCCAAAGTGCATCCACATCCGAGGTGACTGCAGGGAGACACAGAGCTGACTTTGGCAGCAGGGACCGCCTGGGTGCAGAGAACCCAAACAACTGAAAATCCAAAAAGGAATCTTAGTGCAGAATCAGAAAGCTCACTCTTTGGGCTGCTTACCTTCCCAAACACATTCTCCTCTGGCCTATGTGAAACTGACGTTGCACTGTACAATTCTACAGCTCTTTCCTGACTGCCCACTGAGTGAGGGTCTGTGCTACATGCCAGGAGGATCCAAATGTGAACACAGCTAGGTTCCAGCTCTGGGACGCGGGAAAAGGAGGCACAGGGAGCAGGACATGTGCTGCAAGGAGACTACTGCTCCCGTGTTTCGTTCACTCACTCATCCAACAACAGCGCTAAGGCTCTGCTGTGTGCCAGGCACTTTTCTAGCTACTGGGGATCCAGAGGTGAACAAAGTCTTTTACAATTGAGTGGTAAGAGACTGACAATAAACAAACAAGTAAATAAATAACACACTGAATGGTGAGTACTAAGGAGAAACACAAAGCAAGGTTAACAAGAGAAACACAAAGCAAGGTTAACAAAGCCAATTTATGTAGGGCTTTCAGGGAGTGGGCAATAAGTGAGGGGCCAGCCATGTGAGCATCTGGGGGTGGCTCATGCCAAGGGGGTGGGAACAGCAGGTGCAAAGGCCCTGAGGCAAGAGTGGCCTGACAAATCTGAGGACCAAGGAATAAGAGGGAAAGAGCCCACATTCAGTTGGGATCTCCAGGATGGACATGCGCCAAGATGACAGGTGGGGATGGGGTGGGGACAACCCAGGGCAGATCTGGGCAGTAAGCCTGTCTGCCTGGAGCCAGGGCAGCCTGGAGGGGCCATTCTTGGGAGCAAGTGGGGGAACTTGAGAAAATCCAGCCGAGTAACGTGGATGTGGAGGGAGCACTGGAAAGCCACTGAAGGCCTGGGCAATGGTGACACACCTGGCCTGGGCCAACTTGCAGAGTCAGGAGTACCCCACAGCCCCCAACCTGGGAAACCTCACAGCCAGCACAGAAATCACAATGCACACAGCAGTGGCACCCCACCAGTACGTAGGGTTCCACAGAGTGAGCCTGGCTGCATGATCTTGAGGTCACCTACCTCCCAGGGCTCCCTTGTGTGTCTGGACAGGGAGAGAGGGGAAGATTGGCTTCAGGGGAGGCGAGAAAAGACGGTGCCCACGACAGCTGACTCAGCCTGTGCCAGCAGGCTGCTCTGAGACACGAGCTGGACCCAACCCAGGCGGTGGGCGGCAGGGGGTTGGGGAGGAACTCTGGGAAACGAAGGAGCCAGAGAAGCCTCCCTGTGGGCACTCGGGCCAACCACCACCCAAGGGAACAAAGAGCACCCCCAGCCCCCGCTGGGCACACAGGCTGCCTCCTGGTGAGCAACCCTCTCAAACTTCACCCCCAGCCCCCACCGGGCACACAGGCTGCCTCCTGGTGAGCAACCATCTCAAACTTGACCTACATCGGGGAGGCCTGCCTGGTGGTCAGTGGCTACCTTACATCCTACCTGTGCCTCCACGTTCCCAGTCCTCACAGCCACCTGGCAAGGGTGAGGAACTGAGACTGCATGGGGAGGGCACGCAGCCTGTGAGTGATACAGCCAGGACCGCCCGCCACCCAGGCCCAGAGCTCTCTCCACTCTCCCCATTCTCTAAGGACCAGGCTGCAAGGCAGGGCATGTGATCTCTGCCGAAGACATTCGAGCCACCCAGTGATGTGTGCTGGGTCTCGATCCCCACCGACCGCCAGTCCTCTCCTCCCCTGGACAGTAAAGGTTTCTCCACGACTTCGGACCATGGTGTCACCTGAGGCCCACACCTGTTGAGTCACCGGGGCAGGTATGCGTGGCAGAGGACAGCCAGGAGCGCCGGAGAGGAGCTGAGGCCTCGAGGGGGTCTCTGAAGCCAGGCTCAACCCCCACTCTCCCCACTCCAACAGCCCTCACCACAGCCACCGCCGCCCAATCCAAACAAAGCCCAGCCTGATGCCAACCTCACCATCAACTGTTTTTCCTCTGACTTCCTCAGTTTTGTCTAGGAAAAATCAAGGTGTCTTATCACCCCTCTCAGCTTCCAGGGGTGTGATCAGTGTCTTTTACAATTATCTCTTATTTTTATCCAGTATTTCTTAGCTCAGTTGGCAAACTAGGTATTTATGCACCTCCATTTCACAATCCATCCCCACCAATTATGCCTGTAAAACTAACATTTTGTTGAAAAAAAGAGGTTAGAACTACTTAAAAAGGTTTTGTAAACAAGTTAACTAGCAGGCCACAACTTGAGTCTAGGGTGTCAGAGAAAACATGCAAGGTGGAAGAGAATGAGGAGCTGACGGTCACCAGTTTCACCTCCTTCCAGCGCCCACCCAACTCTCCTGCTCACACACACTCACACCCCGTGGGACTCAGCCTGCAGCTCCTCCCATCCCAGGAGCCCAGGAGACCGGCAGTAGGGAGGGGCACAGACCACACTTCCTAATAAATAAGAGGGAAGACTCGGTGCCCCATCGCTAATGCCATCACCCAGTCCCAGCCCAGCCATGGAGCCCACTCCAAGGGCCCCCCTGACAGTGCTGCTAGAGCCCACCGAGGGAAGGCTGCCGGCACACAGCCACAAGCTCCAGCTTTACCCACTCACGCCCTGGACATTGCCTGGAGCCCCAGCGTTCCAGGTCCGTGTCACCCTGGCCCTCCTGCCTGGCAGATCCTAAGCTCAGGAGACCCTCTCCAGCCCAGGCTGCAGGGGGAAGCAGCCCCCACGGTCACCCAGGAATCAGCACAGAGGGCAGGGCATCCTGGACGCCCTGGACTGGGAAACCCAGATCCTGTCCCCTGCGTAGTGGCGACACACAGGAGAAACCCCTGCCTCACCTCATTGGAGGGACCCTGACCCAGAGGCCTGAGAAAAAGCCACCTGCAGGCTCCTGGCACCTGCCAACCTGCACCTTAGGAAAACTCGTCCCACTTCAACCTGCAAAGCTCTCGGGTCATTATTTCTAAAATCACTGTCCTTTCTCAAAGAGGAAGGAAAACAGAAAAATAAAACAAAAACAAAAACAGAAAGAGGCACAGGAGGTTGAAGAGGCCAGAGGCAGTTTAGCCCAAAAACAGTGCCAGACGCAAGATGCCGAGTTCGGGGTGCCTCACCCTCCACATGCCCATTTAGGAGCTGACTGCACTCAACCACAGATTTATGTCTGGTGCCTGCCAGGTCGTATCTGAATAGATCTGAAAAATTAAGCCTTCCTTCTGCCAGTAAATACGAAGTTAAGACTAGCAGGCCCCTCTAAGGCTCTGCTCTCCACGGCGGTCCTCGGCAGGCGTCGGAGAAAGGAAGTTCGCCCCCTCCCCGCCTGGGCACACCGAGGCCCGCTGCCCGGCCCATGGCGCCCTGCTTGGGGACCGGGGGCCTCGATGTTCTCCTTCACCATCTGCAGCCAGATCTCCCGCCAGCAGCCTTGCCAGGCAGTGCCTGCCATGGGGAAGGGGCCAGGCCGAGGGGCAGGTCCGCGCCGTGCCCCCAACCGGGCACCTGCAGCCCAGGAGCAACGGGGTGTGGGGTTTTGAATTGATAAGTTTTCCCCTCTGGGCCTTATTATAAAGGGAAAGGGAAGGGGGCGAAGATCTGGGCTTGGGTTCTCTGGGGGCAGCGAACCCAGAGGCGACCCCAAACTCAGTAGTTGCCGCCCGGCACGGGGACTTGATGCCGGTGCCAAGCAGCCCGGCCAGCCCGGCAGGAGTCGAGCGGACAGCCCCGCCACACAGCGCCTCTTGTCCGCGCCGGGTGGCCCCTTGCCGCGGTGCCCCCCGCGCGGGATGCGAGAGCCGCCGCCTGGTCCCCGCCCCGCCCGCCCACCCGTCGTGGGAGGGGGAAGCGGCCGGTCAGAGAGGAGTGGGGCCGCCGGGCTGTACCCCCATATCCCAGCGGCGGCCGCCCCGCAGCCACGCTGAGTCGGGAGGGCAGCGCTCTGGAGCGCTCGGGCCGCAACCTCCGCGCCGCCCCCCACGCGTCCGGGTCCTCGCGGCGCCCCGGGCGGCCCCAGGCTGCCGCCGCCGGCAAGTCAGGCAGCCCAGGTTCCCCAGCTTACCTGGCCAGGGCGCTGGGCTGCCCGGGTACGCCGCCGTCCCCGCCCCGCTGCCGCCGGCTCAGTCCGCGAGGCCGAGCTCTTTGTGAGCCCGCGCCGAGCCGCACACCGCGACTGCTAATGAGCCCGGGAAGCTGAATAGCTTCCCGAATAGCGGCGGGCGCGCCCCGGACGCAGCGTACGGCACGCAGGGCCGCCTCTGCCGGGCGCACGCGGCGCGGCTGCGGGGCGCATCCCGCACCGGCCTGCGGCTGCCGGGCCTGCGCCCCCGCCCCGGCCGCTTCCGCCTCACCCGCGCCGGGCACACTGGGGCCGGAAAACGATTCCCGGCTAGATCGCGCGCCGTGAAGAGAGGGAAGACAAAGATGCGTCCGTGCCGGGCGTGCGCGAGGTCCTGCGCCCCCTGGCCCCGGCGCTGGGACAGTCTGCAGGGCAGGAGGGTGCACTCGGGACCCCGGGTCCCCCCGGGCCGGTCTCCGGGATCGGGGCTGGGACCCAGGCGCTGGAAGGCGCGGCGCCCCGAACGCCCCGGGCCCTGGGGAGCACACAGATTCCCGGGCGTGCCCCGGCCGTGCTGGCTGGGGAGCTGCAGGGGTCTGGTCCCGCAGGTAGAGCCAGTGAACGCGAGGCTCCGCAGGTAGAGCCGGTGAACGCGAGGCTCCGCACCTTGCCCCGGCCGCCGCGCCCTGCTTGCTCGGCCCCGCGCAGCTGTAATGGGGGACCCTAGAGCGAAGAACCCTCGAGCGAAGAACTCTCGGGGATCGCGGCCTCCGAAGGCCCCATCCGGCAGAGGAGGCCCCCTGCTGCCTCCCCACCGCAGCTCCCCTAGGCGCATGCTGGACTCCCAAGTCTTCCCTGGCGGTCCCCGGTAACCATCCCAGCACCCCGTTTCTGATACTCTGTGCTGCTTTAGCCCCCAGCCCCAGGGCCTCACTCCAGGGCTTTCTCTCCTTGCTGTCCTAAATGGAGAGAACCCTGACCTCCGCGGGGCCCTGGGGAGCGTACACTCCTAGACACTCACATGCATCCCCAGGGGAGCCAGTCTTCCGCCCCTACAGCGCGAGAAATGCCCTGGAGGCCCTCGAAGGTCGTGCTGGAGACTCCGGTGTCACCTTTGGCCCTCTGGCCCTTTCACTGAGTCCCAGGCAGATGTGATGAGCCATGGGAGATGCACAGGATGCCTTGTCTGGGCAGAGCGGGGGCTCAGGGGCCTCCCTCCCCCCAAATCGTGGTGATTTGCCCTCGTTTTCTTTTCTCCTGTGGCTGGATTAGGCGAAGCTGTGGCATGGGAAGTTCTGCCCAGGTCAGAAGGCACAGAAGGGCAGGGGGACTTGGGAGTGAGGACAGCGCATCTTCCTGCTGCCCTGAGGGCCCGAGCTGAGACCCTAAGGAGAAGGGGCTGGGGGAAGCCGAATCCTGAGATGGACTAGGGTTAGATACACTGTGGACTTGGCCTCTCCACACCCTGCCCCCACCAAACATTCACAGGTTTCCAGGGCCAGAGCCGCCAGTGGGGGCTGCTCCTGGTAGGGGAGCTTTGTAGCCACAGGGCCAAACAAAGGGGCAAAGGCCAGGGCAGGCCAACGAGGTTCCTGACCTATGCCCCTCCGTACTCAGATGAGCACACCTTCACTGTCTACTTTCCACCTGCATAGACATTCTGCTTACCTGGCTAACACAAAGTTCATCCAGCCTCCTGTGGCCCAGCCTTTCACCAATGCCAATAGTGGGAAGCAACAATTAAGAAGAAGTGATTCTGAGAAGATAAATGCAGTCATCTTCTTGCCTTACTGTTATGTGGTCACATCCCATAGGAAACCAGACACCTGTGCCTGAAGCTGATCCACACAACACCCCCCACCTCCTCAAACCCCCACCCCCATCTGTGTGAACGTGTGTGGGCCGGTAAGTTGCATGCTGTTCCTTCAACAGCCTCCCTTGAGATCTTCCCATGAGCAGGCTCTGGGCCAGTCACTGGAAATTAAACCCCATCGCAGCACCCGGGAGTGATAGTGGCTGAAGTCCTCAGTCCACAAGATGAAAGGTATAGGCCTAGGGCCAAGAACAGTGGCTCCCACCTATAATCCCAATACTTTGGGAAGCTGAAGCAGGAGGCTCGCTTGAGCCCAGGAGTTCAAGACTGCAGTGAGTTGTGATCGTGCCACTGCACTCCAGCCTTGGTGACAGAACAAGACCCTATCATTTTAAAAAATGAAATAAATTAAATAAATTTAAAAATAAAGGTACAGGCCTGCCCCCAGCCTCACTCAGGACTCCTAAATCTGGTGAGCTTGAGCCAACTGCCAGTATTCAGAGAATTTTTGAAGAATCATTAGGACAAACAGTTAGTGCATGTGAGGCTTAAAACCTAGATGACAGGTTGATAGGTGCAGCAGACCACCATGGCACACATATACCCATGTAACAAACCTACACGTTCTGTACTTGTATCTGGGAACTTAAAATTTTAAATTTAAAAAAAAAAAGTATCTTGGAATGGGAAAGGCCTTTCTAAGTATGCAACAAAATCAAAAAGTGGTAACAAAAAAACAGCTAAGTTTGACTTCAAAGAAACTCTGGCATGGCAATCACTACCATAAGCAAAGTCTACAACAAAGGGGAAAAAATTATTTGCAATTCATATCACAAGCAGCTAATTTCCCTAACACATAGATAGCATCTAGAAATTGATAAGAAAAAAAAAATCAAAAGAAGGCATCACGGATCATCACCAGGCCCCCACCTTGGCTCACACCTGTAATCCCAGCTACTCAGGAGGCTGAGACAGGAGGATCACTTAAGCCCAGGAGTTCCAGGCTGCAGTGAACTATGATCATCCCAATGCACTAAGCCTGGGCAGCAGTATGAGACTGTCTCTTAACAGAAAAGACAAAGAAACAGGTAAAGGGTAAGAAGCAGACAATTCACAGGGAAGGAAATACAAATGACTTTTAAACATCTGAAAAGCTGTCCTCCCTTATTCATAATAAGAAATGCAAATTAAGCCAGGCATGGTGGCTCACACCTGTAATCCCAACACTTTGGGAGGCCGAGGCAGGTGGATCACTTGAGGTCAGGAGTTTGAGACAAGCCTGGCCAACACGGTGAAACCCCGTCTCTACTAGAAATACAAAAATTAGTTGGGCATGGTGGTGAGCACCGGTAATCCCAGCTACTTGGGAGGCTGAGGCAGGAGAATCGCTTGAACCTGGGAGGCAAAGGTTGCAGTGAGCTGAGATCGCACCACTGCACTTGAGCCTGGGCAACAGAGTGAGACTCCATCTCAAAAAAAGAAAAAGAAATGCAAATTAAAACTATGCTGAGATGTCATTGTGTTCACTGATCAGAGACCCAGGAGTTCAGTAATACAATATATTCCAGAAAGCAAGAGGAAACTGGCAGATACCCACACTGCCCATGGGAGTGTAAATCAGTACAACTTCTGTGTAGGAAAATCAGATGATGTCTATCAAAATTACAAATGCACAAGCTCTTTGACCTAAGAATTCACTTCTAGGAATTTTTTGACTTGTATATCACACGTGCAAAACAGGCATGAGTAGAATCATTCATGGTGCTATGTTTCTGTAGTAAGTGACTGCAGACAATCTTGATACCCATGAAAAGGGCACTGTTCAATGCATGAGGGCACTTCCCAACACTGAAATAGAATGCAGCCATAAAAGAAGGAAGAAACGCATGATAAATTAACATGGGAAGTTCTCCAAGATAATTGTTAAGTGAAAGAACAAAGGGCAGAAGATGTGTGTAGTATGCCACCATGTGAGTAAAAAAAGCAAAAAGGAAAAAAGGGTGAGCCTATAGATGCTCATATACAATAATAAAGCCTTTCTGGAAGGATCACAGTAAACTGAAAAATGTTGTCACCCTTGGGAAAGAAAGTAGTGTCTGGGGCGGGGGTGACAGGAAAACTTTTCAGTGATTTTCCTTTTCCTTTACTTTTTCTTTTTTTTTTTTTTTTTTGAGACAGAGTCTCGCTCTGTCACCCAGGCTGGAGTGCAGTAGCTCTGTCTTGGCTCACTGCAAGCTCCGCCTCCTGGGTTCACGCCATTCTCCTGCCTCAGCCTCCAGAGTAGCTGGGACTACAGACGCCCGCCACCATGCCCGGCTAATTTTTTGTATTTTTTAGTAGAGACGGGGTTTCACTGTGTTAGCCAGGATGGTCTCGATCTCCTGACCTCGTGATCTGCCTGCCTCGGCCTCCCAAAGTTCTGGGATTACAGGCATGAGCCACCGCACCTGGCCAATTTTTAATTTTTGAAGTATATGATATTATCTATCTCTGAAAAAAAAATGTAATTATCATTCTTAACCCTGGTTTTTAACCCTTTGGAGGGTAAAAGATCTCTGAAATCTTTTGTCTATTGTTTTAGGGGGAAAAAGAAGAACAAGGAAGGTCTGTGACTATATGTTTGGACCACATGGCTGTGATCCCTACCACCACTTAGTGACAGCATACATGAATTGCATGCTTAATGCCGATACCATTCAGCCTAGAGGGGCTCCTGGACCAGGCCAGATTTCCTACAAGGTGTTACCAAGTGGAGTTGGAAACTTGTCACCTCCTCACACCCTAACTTATTTTTTAAAAATAACATATGACTTTCCTATATAGGACAGAAGATTAATGCATTGTTTTATAAGCTGAACAAGATGTTCCTTTACAAAACTTCCAAATGACAGAATACTAATTTTTCCTTCACTCTTTGGCTGACTGTAAAAATGTGCTTAATTAATAAAGACATGTCCTCTCTCTGTGGGGATGGCAGAATAACTTCCTTCTCATAAAGTTACTGCTTGGCACAGGCCTTGTTGGGCCTGGGAATATCAAGCTCTTAGGCTCCTCCTGCTGACTGCTCATTTTATCCTTGTGGAGTCTAAAGTGGCCTGAACCAAGAGTCAAGAGGCCTACATTCTGGTCCCAGCTAAGGCACCAGCCAGGCGGGGGGACTCAAGTAAATCAGCTGGGGCCTCCACGGTACAGTTTCCTCCTGGGTTTCGGTGAGGAAGTTGGCCTAGAAAATCCCCAAGGTCCAGGGTGTGTAAGAAGGAAATGCTAAACACCCCTGTGGGAGTCTGATTTTCTTGCCTTCAGGATTTAAGTCAGTGGAAAAATCACTAACCAGATCACACTCTAATAGGTTTTTCCAAGACCCACTGCTTTATTTTGGAAGACACAGAGACAGCATGGAAATGTCTTTGACAACCGTAGAAGCTAGTATCTTCCAGAAAAGTAAATACCATTGATTTATTTGGCTGATCTCAAGGCTCAAAATCCAGGCTTTGTAGAAATAAATGGATAATTGTAAACAATGGAAACCTGACCCTGGCCTTGGGAGCCACGTAGAACAGTCAGCAGGCCAGACTGTCTGTGGAGGAGCCTGAAGTATAGCCCTTACCCACCGGGAGGGCCTGTGAGGAGGGACCCACCGTGCAGGTGCTGGTGTGCTGCAACAGCAGAGGTTTGTTCTTTTCATGAGATCAGTTACCAACTGCATTTTATTTATTTATTTAGACAGGGTCTAGCTCTTTCTCCCAGGCTGGATTGCAGTGGCACTATCTCGGCTCACTGCAACCTCTGCCTCCCAGGCTCAAGCGATTCTCCTGCCTCAGCCTCCCAGAGTAGCTGGGATTACAGGCACCCGCCACCATGCCCAGCTAATTTTTGTATTTTTAGTAGAGACAAGGTTTCACCGTGTTGGCCATCCTGGTCTGGAACTCCTGACCTCAAGTGATCTGCCCACCTCGGCCTCCCAAAATGCTGGATTACAGGCATGAGCCACCGCGCCCAGCCACCAACTGCATTTTAGTAAAGGTAGGTAGGGTTGGAAAATCACCACAGTGCCGACCTTCTTTATCCTAGAGACTCTTTTGTGTAGATAACAGAGTGAAGGTCACAGAGATCGTTAGGTGTGGCTATAGGTAGCATCTATAGTATAGACGGTATGTAGAAGAAAGAGCAAAGTTCTTATTGTATAATATGGTCTAGACAGGCACTTGAGCATGTCTAGTTATGTGGACATAGAACGAGTCAGCACTACAAGTATCTTGGTGGGCCAGACAGTGATAGGAACGAAGCTGCCCTCCAATACCCCGTGTGTGAGTCTGATCCGCAGCAGAGTGTTGGAGGTAAGTCAGTGTTCACAGGAGGTCAGGCCTCCTGGGAGGGAAGGACTAAGACGGCAACTGCTCCTTTCCAAGATACAGCACAAGAAACCTTCCTGGGGGGCCAGGATGACCCAGATCAGAGCTGAGAGGCACAGAAGGGCGGACAGGCTGGTGATACATATTCCCCAGAGGAAGGGGCATCCAGGCAGGACCCCAGGACCCAGCCTGAAAGTTCCAGAGAGCAGAGCCAGAGGGGATGCTGGAAACTTTTCTGATCCTAGCCCCACAGGGATGTGTCTGGGGACAAGTGGCCAGGGATGGCCGCAGACCAGGAGCAGAGCTGTGAGCCGGGCAGAGCCCGCTGTGTGACTCACCATAGTAGGGAACAAGGAGCCGGAGAAGGGCAGGCACGACCCATCTGCAAGGCTGCCTGTGGGCATCAAGGGGCTTCCACTGTCAAGACCTGACAGCCCTGTCCTATGGCCGTGGGGCGTTTGGAAGGGAACTGAACTCCCACGGCAAGGAGCATTTTCAACCCAGGATGGGATGGCTTCCTGCTGGTAGGGCAGGCAGCATGTCAGCGATTATCAAGAAAAGAGAACGAAGCAGCACCCCCAGATCTGTCCTCCCTCATTCTCAGCCTCCTGGTTTAGAAGAACTGGCCTCTGCCCCACTCAACCCTCCTCCGTCACTTGGGGTGGGCATATGAGTTGGACCTGGCCACTCCATGTATTCCATCCCCTTGACTCCAGGGCTTAGCTGAGGGGTGGGTATGGGACCCAAGACCCTCAAGATTCCATCCCAGGACCTCACTGGAAGCACTGGCAAGGCAGCGCTCTCTCCACTGAGATTGTAAGCAGTAAGGACAATTCGAGCCTGGAGCTGCCCTGTTAGGGCGCTGGTGGGAGAGTGAGGCTACAGCAGAGGGAAGCAGAGCTGAAGGTGGACGGCATCTGTGGCTCTGGGTCCAACCCTGCCTGATCTCCCTTCCTCTAGACATTTGCGTTACTTAAGTCAGTTGAAGTTGAGCTCCTATCTCCTGTAACCTTAAGAGTCCTCACTGGCTGGGCGCTGTGGCTCACGCCTGTAATACCAGCACTTTGGGAGGCCAAGGTGGGCGGATCACGAGGTCAAGAGATCAAGACCATCCTGGTCAACATGGTGAAACCCCGTCTCTACTTAAAAAATACAAAAATTAGCTGGGCATGGTGGCGCGCACCTGTAGTCCCAGCTGCTCAGGAGACTGAGGCAGCAGAATCACTGGAACCCGGGAGGCAGAGGTTACAGTGAGCAGAGATCACGCCACTGCACTCCAGCCTGGTGACAGAGTGAGACTTCGTCACAAAAAAAAAAAAAAAAAAAAAGAGTCCTCACTGATATAGTGAGAATCATGGTGGTTATTTGTTGTAGCTATAGGTAGTAGGAAGACACAAAGCTGTGGGGTTCCAGAAAGAGCAGCAGCATTCATGGTCACAGTGCCTATTTCAGTTCCTGAAACAATCTGATGTGAGCAGCTCTCCTGGAGCCTTAGAACGTGTCCGAGAAGGAACGGAAGGAATTGGGTGCATTAAGTGCGTGGCAGTAATGGCTCAGGGAGCTTTTTCGAGAGCTGCCTTCCGAGGCTGGACTGGCTGTCATGTGGGGAGACACAGAAGTGTGCTGGGGCCAGTGCTGCAGAGGGGTCCACGATGTGGAAGGGTGCCATAAGGAGCAGCTTCACAATGGCTAGTGCTGGGCTGCACAGTGGCTTTCAACGTTGCGGGAGCTCGCCTGATGGCCCTGGTGAGCCACACGTGGGAACTCTAAGGACAACTGCACAATGTGGCTTCTCCATGGGCGCGAGACCGTGACCTGAATGACCTCACCCCAGGCTCCCAGTTCATCTCACCTGTTCTTCAGTCCTGCTCGCGCTTGGCTTATACAAAAGACACCACGTTTCCTAGTCTCATCTGAGAACTTGGGGCCTGACCCTGTATGTCAGTGGCTCTCAACTGGGGGCGATTTTGCAATGATCTGGAAATGTCTGCAGATGTTTTAGGCTGTCACAACTTAGGGGAGTGATGCTACCAGCATCTGGTGGGTAGAGTTCAGGGATGTTGTTAAACATCCTACAATACAGAGGACAGGTGCCCACCCACTCAATGAACTGGTCTAAGCCAAGATATCATGTCAAGATGTGCTGAGATTAAGAACCACTGCCATTTTTTTTTTTGAGATGGAGTTTCACTCTTGTTGCCCGGGCAGAAGTGCAATGGCACAACCTCCACTTGCTGCAACCTCTACCTCCCAGGTTCAAGCAATTCTCCCAGATAGCTGGGATTACAGGCAAGCGCCACCACGCCTGGCTAATTTTGTATTTTCATAGTTTCACCATGTTGGCCAGGCTGGTCTTGAACTCCTGACCTCAGGTGATCCTCCCAACTTGGCCTCCCAAAGTGCTGGGATTACAGGCGTGAGCCACTGCACCCAGCTCCACTGCCATAGTATCTTCAAATATGTCCATTTATTTACATGGAAGAAAGTCTTTTTTTTTTTTTTTTTTGAGATGGTGTCTCACTCTGCCGCCCAGGCTGGAGTGCAGTGGTGCCATCTTGGCTCACTGCAAGCTCCACCTCCTGGGTTCACGCCATTCTCCTGCCTCAGCGTCCCAAGTAGCTGGGACTGCAGATGCCCACCACCAAGCCCGGCTAACTTTTTTTTTGTATTTTTAGTAGAGACAGGGTTTCACCATGTTAGCCAGGATGGTCTCGATCTCCTGAACTTGTGATCCGTCCGCCTTGGCCTCCCAAAGTGCTGGGATTACAGGCGTGAGTCACCGCACCAGGCCAGAAAGTCCAAATATATAAAAGTTAATCACACGTAGTGAACGACTTAGAACGAGAAAAAAACATTGCTATATTTCCACAGTATGGGACGACAGAGACCCAGGTAGTGATGGGGCTGTGGCCCTAGCCTTGGGGGTCCAGCCAGAGACTCTGCAGGAAGCCCACCCTGGATGAGGCAGGGCTCCCATGCAGTCTGCCCAGTCGTCCTGCGCCGCTGCTCCTGAGCAGAGTAGGCACCTGTAAGTCATATCCGCCATCCCATGCCTATCCTCCCTCTCGGTACCCCCAACCCAGGCCTGGAGAGGATCATCCCAGATCCAACAGCAGATGCTGTCCCCCACCGGGAAAAGGAGAGGGCTCAGGGGACGTGCATGCACTCTTCTCCCAGGGGCATAGTTGAGTGCCTGATCCACTGGGCGAGGCCCAGGGCCTCTGCCTGGCCAGGCCTGAGGGACTGCAGTGCTGGGTGACAAGGACAACCCTGATGCCTGCATTAGGGCAGATGACAGATAGGTGGTTACCCGGTGAAGAGAAAAGCTGCAGGGAGGGCTTCCTGGAGGAAGTGTGCAGGCTCTCAATGTGGAGCCCACCCCTCCTGCTCCTCCTCCACTGCCCTGTCCTGGGCTCTGTGCCTCCACCTCCTCCCCAGTGCCCCCCCCTCCACCCTCACCCTGCACCAATGACCACACTGGGTCTGGGCTCATCTCCCTGGGTCTGACTGCCTGTCTTGAAAGCATTCCTGGAACCCTTTACACAGAATTTAGTGACCCCAGGAAGCCGTCTTAGAGTTTCCAGAGCGAAGGATTTGCGGCATTGTTCCCCTGCAGCGGGGTTGCTTTCTCTCTGCTGTGGTCTCTTTGATGCTTTCTCAAAGATGCTTTTGTCAAAGCCACCCCCCACAGAAAGCCAGGCCTTGGAGGCTGGGAGTTCCAAATGGGCCAGCAGTGGCGCTCCCCACCACCCTAGGCTCCGAGGCAGGGGAGGGAGGCCAGTGGCCCTGCTCCCCACTGCTCCGTGAGGTCCCCGCTCACAGCCTTCTCAGTGCCGGGAGCTGTTGCCCTAAGCGTGCTTCCCACGGGGCCCTCGGCTCTCCAGGAAATCCTTCACTGACTGCCAACCCACTGGGCCCAGTCCTGAGGGCTGCGTGCTCATGCCAGCCTGCACTGGCCTCCCTGGCTTTTACCACAGCTTGCAATCCTTTATTTGCATGATTAGCAATTCTCTCTCTCTCTCTCTCCCTCCTTCAGAGGGACTGTACCTGCTTGGACCCCCCACCCCACGCATCACAGCTCATGCCACGATGCCCAGATATGAGGAGGCCCTAAGTATAGGTTCTGATGACTGAATGAATGAATGAAGAAAAATATTTCAGAAGCACTTCAAGGCCTTCTTGTTCCCAAAGATCTGTCTTATCAGCCTTGCATAGTGCCTTCAATTCCCACCGCTGATAATCTGTTTAGAGAAGGCATTGTGTCCAGCTGGGCCCTTCCATCATGGATCATAGGTTGATTCATAAGCTCAGTGGGAACCCAGGGGCTTCAGCAAAGATTGGCAGAGAGGACAGAAGATGGGGCAGGGACTGGGGACAGGTGAAGAGTTCAGACCCAGACTTGGTGCTGCACTGCAGGGCTTCACCCGACTCCAAGCTGTCAGCCTCTCCTGGGGAACTGGATGGGGGCGGGGACTGACTCCAGGCTGGGGTCTCACCAACTTCCCAGGCAGCAGGAATACTGGAAGAGTCTATCCCAGGCCTCATTTATTTTGCTGTGAAGGCATTCACCTTATGCATGTGCCTTAGAAATAGGCCTTCCCAGGCATGTTGGGATGAGATCGTTCTCATAGGTGTGGAGGCAGCAAGAGAGAGGACATGGGAAGAACGAGCCTCACCTTGTGAGTTCCAGATGCCTTCAAGTCACAGACACATGCTTCCTCTGGCAGGAGGCGCTGGGGAAAGGGTGGAGTCTTTTGAGTTGTCTGAAGCTCATTCTAATTATTGGTCCCCCCCAACCCGACTGTTACTGAGCGACACCTTTTCAGAGGTGCTGGAGGTGTCAGTTCAACCACTGCAATAGGACCACTCAGGATCAAGTTTTCTTTTCTTTTTTTTTTTTGATGGAGTCTCCCTCTGTCACCCAGGCTGGAGTGCAGTGGCACGATCTCAGCTCACTGCAAGCTCCGCCTCCCAAGTTCACGCCATTCTCCTGCCTCAGCTTCCCGAGTAGCTGGGACTACAGGCACCCGCCACCACACCTGGCTAATTTTATGTATTTTTTTTTAGTAGAGACAGGGTTTCACCGTGTTAGCCAGGATGGTCTCGATCTCCTGACCTCGTGATCCTCCTGCTTCGGCCTCCCAAAGTGCTGGGATTACAGGTGTGAGCCACCATGCCAGGCCAGGATCAAGTTTTCAATTGAGAATCTGTCGCTATTTTAATCCTGTACATAACCACAGGGTTGTATTATGCTTGGGAATATTTTGTGCATTTAGGAGACCAAGTCAGAAATTTTATGTAAAGACACATGCAGGCCAGGCGCAGTGGCTCATACCTGTAATCCCAGCACTTTGGGAGGCCGAGGCAGGTGGATCACAAGGTCAGGAGATTGAGACCATCCTGGCTAACAGAGTGAAACCCCGTGTCTACTAAAAATAGAAAAAGAAATTAGCCGGACGTGGTGGCGGACACCTGTAGTCCCAGCTACTCAGGAGGCTGAGGCAGGAGAACGGTGTGAACCTGGGAGGTGGAGCTTGCAGCGAGCCGAGATGGTGCCACTGCACTCCAGCCTGGGCGACAGAGTGAGACTCCGTCTCAAAAAATAATAACAATAATAAAAATAAAGACACGTGCTAACTACTACTCGGCTCAGGAGAGTCCAGGTTGTGCCATATGTCATCAATTTTAAGACACTCTATGTTTTACATTTTAGCACCTGCTGAATTGTGTCCACACACACACACACACACACACACAAATCAAAGTCCTAACCCTCCAGTAGCTGTGAATGTGGCCTTGTTTGCAGAGAAGGTCTTTGTAGATGATTGAGTGAAGTTGAGGTCATGAGAGTGGGTTCTCATGCAATCTGCCTGGCATGCTTATAAAAAGGAGAAATTTGAACACACAGAGACAGTTGCACGAAGAAAAAACAGAGTGGACACATGCAGGGAGAATGCTGTCTACCAGCCAAAGAACTTCTGCAGCTACCGGAAACCAGGAGAGGGGCCTGGAGCAGAGTCTCCCCGCAGGCCTCAGAAGGAACCAACCCTGTCTGCACCTTGATCTCAGGTTTCCAGCCTCCAGGACTGTGAGATAATAAACATGTGCTGTTCAAGCCCGCAGTTCACAGTACTTTGTTCTGGCAGCCCCAGAAAACCAGACAACATCTCTGAAACGAAGGCACCAGCACCACCTGGCAGCCGACATCAGTGTTGCCTGCCCCATCCTGTGGGCACCCTCTGCCAGCTTTTCTTCCAGGCCTGTACCTCCACTCTCCTTGGATAATTACCCCTCACACGACTGCAGTGGCTCCACCCTCACCAGCAGAACGCTGGCATTTCCTGGGAGTATACAGCTCCTTTGCCCCCAGGCCTGGAATGGGAGGAGGAACATGGAAGCCTTCTTACCCTGAGGTGGGACAAGCGCTGAGCAGTCACTGACTCCGGAGCTCCCCAGGGGATCAAGCAAGGCTGGGAATCGCACCTTCCTCAGTCTCTTCTACCATCTGTCCTGCTTCTCTAGGGAGTTACTTGCACTGGGATGTTTATCTCTGGTTCTGCTTCTAGGGCACCAGACAGACCCAAGAACCTTGGTAAGGAAGTGGCCTGTGAGGCTGACTCTGAGGCTGGGATTCTAGAGACAGGTGACTCGCCAGGCAGAGGGCAGGAAGGCCTGAGTCCCAGCAGTGAGTGGAGGGCCGAGACTCCAGCACGCTCCCCTGGCTGCAGCTCTGCCAAGCTGGAAGCCAAGTGGAAGGGCATGCCCTGAATGGGGCAATATTTCTGATGATTGAAGCCAGGAGGGAGGTGAGAGAACAGCATAGGCTCAGGTTGATTGACAACCCACTGAAGGCACATGGCTGCATGTGAACTCCTACAGCTGGAGGAGGAGACCTGGCCCAGGTCATGTGAAGAGAAGCAGGACTTCAGCGATGGCCAGATACACGGCCTCAGCACTCTCCCATGCCAGTCAGGACTCTGATAGGGAAGAAGTGGAGCCTCCTTTCGGGGGGGCCCTGAAAGACAGTGGAGAAATAGAATCCTCCCATGGGCAGAGCCTCAGGCAGAGCGCCTGGTCAGTCACTTTGAATGGAGTGAGGAATGGCCCAAGATTAGCTATATTTATGGGCAATAGCAAATAGCTTGGCTGCTTAGTCAGGGTCTAAGGAATAAGGCTGGACATTTTTGACAAGGTGGCCACATGTGGACGGACCCCTGGGAGTGAGCACCACGTAAAAGGTCGTGATATTGCACATCAATGCCCACCAGAGAAGAAACATGAAACCACCAACCAGGCAGGCAAGAGGACTCATCGGGTCAATGTCTACCAATGCCTCCCCCTCAGGCAGCCCAAGGCTTGCACAAGGGGCCTGTGAAGAGTGGCCATGGTGGCAGAGAAGGAGGCTATGGATGTCCCAACAGCATGGACTTCCTCCCACCAAAGCTGAGCCAGGACTATCACTGCAGAATGTCCGATCTGTCAGCATCACAGACCGTGCTGAGCCCCTGTCAGCCACCACCCCTCAAAACCACCAACCAGCCTGCTTAGTCCATGTGGGGTGCTGTAACAAGCTATCATAAACTGAGTGGTTTCTAAACAAGAGAAATGTATTTCTCACAGTTCTGGAGGCTGGGAAGTCCAAGGCCAAGGTGCTGGCACATCCAGTGCCTGGTGAGTTCTTGATTTCTATTCATAGATGGCGCCTTCTAGCCATCCCCTCACATGTTAGAGAGGCAAGCCAGCTCTCTGAGGCCTCTGTTGTAAGGACACGAATCCCATTCATGAGGCCTCCACCATCAAGACCTAATCAAGTCCTGAATGCCCAACCTCATAAACACCATCATATTGGGAATTAGGTTTCAACATGCAAACTTTTTGGAGACACAAACGTTCAGACCATAGCACACTCAATGGCAAAACAATTACACGAGACCTCTTCAGCTTTGAAAATTACAATTCACCCTGATTGGGGTCGCCATATATTCCAGAAATAGATTTGCATTTTTTGCCAGGACCACTAGTTAAGGATTTACCAACGTGGGATCCTCGGACCCATGACTGCCTTTCTGGCAAGGGCAGCGTAGCAATGGGAACGTGGCCATAAGGTCCACACCCATGCTCCCGCCAGATTCCACACCAGCCAGAAGTTTCTGGCCTGATGGAGCGTAGGCTTAGCCTTCTGAAGTGACAGGCTGGCTGTGTCTGTATCCAAATTTCTTTTTTTACATAAGGACATCAGTCATTGGCTTAGAGCCCATCTAAATGACCTTATTTTAACTTGATCGCCACTGTAAAGACCCTATCTCTGAGATACTGGGAGTTAAGACTTCAACATAAGAATATTTATAGGGACAAAACTTAACCTGTAACATGGAGGGAGTTGTTCAATATATCATTTATAGCCTCAGGACCAACTGCAGCCACAGGTCTGAAGCTCATCCCACGAAGCCTCCCAAGCTAGATTTTCCCCATAGACAATGACTGTTTGTATATAATGAATTAATAACAACAAGAGGTTAAGGCTGGCATCTTCCCCACTTAATCATTGGACATCCATGCCCATAAGTCACTGAACATCTGAGATAATTTGGGCAAATGATTGAGCTATTCCGAGAGAAGGGCTATTCAGGACTTCTACTCAGAGTGCCACTTCCTGGTATGTGACAGATGGCAGAAGACACGACTCCTGGAGAGGAGTTGAGGCAAGACTTCCCTGGAGCCATCTCCTAGGTTCTAGGGGAAGGTGAGTGTATCAGTATCCTGCCGCTGCTATAACAAATCACCACAAACTCCAGGGCTTAAAACACAAATGGATCAGTCCACAGTTCTATGGGTTAGAAGTGTGACATGGGTCTCAATAGACTAAAACCAAGGTGATGGCAGGACTCTCTTCCTTGTGGAGGCTCTAGGAGAGATGACTTCCTCACCCTTTCCAGCTTCTTCTTTTTTTTCTTTTTTCTTTTATTTTTTTTTGAGACAGAGTCTCACACTGTCACCCAGGCTGGAGTGCAGTGGCGCTATCTCGGCTCACTGCAAGCTCTGCCTTCCAGGTTCACGCCATTCTCCTGCCTCAGCCTCTCGAGTAGCTGGGACTACAGGCGCCTGCCAATGTGCCCAGCTAATTTTTTCGTATTTTTAGTAGAGACGGGGTTTCACCGTGTTAGCCAGGATGGTCTCGATCTCCTGACCTCGTGATCCACCCGCCTCGGCCTCCCAAAGTGCTGGGATTACAGGTGTGAGCCACCACATGCAGCCACCTTTTCCAGCTTCTAGAGGCTGTCCACATTCATCTGAGTAGACGCAGGTGGAGTTGCGAATCTTGAACCCTGAGCCTGTCTGAACCCACGTCTTTGCTTTGCTGGTGGAAACTGCCAGCTCTCCCATATCTAAAGAGCTTAAATACTTAAATACAGCTCTTACTTAAATACCCTGTGGTTGCTCTCCTCCCTGGACCAGGTCTGAGAGTGGGCAGCGTCACTATTGAGATGGTTCCCCTGGTTTCATGGATGATGGTGGAATTCCACAACGGCAGGTAGCAGTTCTGAACCACCAAAGACAAGGGGGTGTATTCGTTGTAATGGGCAGGAAGACAGAGATCACCAGAACGCTTTGACCCACATGACCTTTGCCAGTTGCTAATGGGCCTCAAGGAATGAAATACATACAGCAAATTTCCACATTGAAACTAGTTCACAGACTCAGAGTCCCTTGATTTGAAGAGGAGGCTCAGTGTCCCAAGGAAGGACACTGTGACATTGTCACAAATATGTGCTGTAAATCTTCGTCCACTTCTTCCCCATAGGGACATTTGGCCATGTATGGAGGTCTTGTGTGCGTGGAAAAAAAAGGACATGCCACGACCTTTTGGGGGATTTCTGGACATGGGCTCTAAAATGACATTAAATCTTATGAAATTTTGGCCGGGTGCGGTGGCTCACGCCCATAATCCCAGCACTTTGGGAGTTCGAGGTGGGTAGATCACAAGGTCGGGAGTTCAAGACCAGCCTGGCCAACATGGTGAAACCCCATCTCTACTAAAACTACAAATATTAGCCTGGTGCGATGGCAGGTGCCTGTAATCCCAGCTACTCGGGAGGCTGAGGCAGGAGAATCACTTGAACCTGGGTGGCGGAGGTTGCAGTGAGCCGAGATCTCATCACTGCACTCCAGCCTGGGTGACAGAGTGAGACTCCATCTCAAAAAAAAAAAAATTATGAAATTTTTAGAATATTCTTAGGAAGCAAAATGCCAGTGTGTGCTATCAGTCAAAGTCGGGGTTTATGGTAGTCAGGTGATAATGGAGTTTTGCTCCAAATCTGACTCACAGTGGGCCCAGCAGGTCTGCAGGTCTACCCCATGGTTATGCCCCAGTTCTGGGATGTATCTTGGGAATGAATAAGTGCGGCCTCTCAAAGAGTCCCCACATGGGGGCTGGGCACGGTGGCTCACGCCTGTAACCCCAGCACTTTGGGAGGCCGAGGCGGGAGGATCACGAGGTCAGGAGATCGAGACCATCCTGGCTAACATGGTGAAAACCTGTCTCTAATAAAAATACAAAAAAATTAGCCGGGCATGGTGGCGGGTGCCTGCAGTCACAGCTACTCGGGAGGCTGAGGCAGGAGAATGGCATGAACCCAGGAGGCAGGCTTGCAGTGAGCCAAGATAGCGCCACTGCACTCCAGCCTGGGCGACAGAGGGAGACTCTGTCTCAAAAAAAAAAAAAGAGTCCCCGCATGGGCTGCCCTGACCCATGGGATGAGGGCCATTATAGTAGGGAGGGCCGAAGAGCTGCTCCTCCCTCCTGGGTTAGTGAACCAGGAGGCGCTGTGTGCAGGGAAGCCTCAGACACCATTGTCACCACAACAGCCTGGAACAGAGCGGGGTGGGATACCCGTTACGGCCCCCTCTTTGCCCTGTGTAGATGGAATATGAATCTTGGAAAATGACAACAGATGGTCATAAGCTTGACCTGGTAGTGGCGCCAATTGCAGCTGTCATTTCAGAGATGGCTTAGAAATACTCCAGATGTGTTTCCAGACTAGAGCAAAACAGCATAGTCCCTGACACCTAGTATGCTTTGGGTTAGTTAACTCTTTCTTTTCCCCATTTCCTCATATGAACAAAACTGGTTAACATTTTAGGTTCCAAGTGAGAATGCGACTGAGTTGACACAATTGTGCAATAATACGGTACTGATGAGACTTCCTCCAGACGCAGGGCAGGAGGGTATGGTGGTGGCTGCATGGGGTAGCTCCTTGCTTGCTCTCCAGACCTCCCCACTGCTCTGCACCTGAAAAACTGACCTCTGAGGACAGACCCATGGGATCCCTGGCCCTCTGGCCTCCAGCTGGGTTTGCCCAGTGGGAGATACTGAAAAAGACTGCAGGGAGTGGAGGGTGATGCTGGTGCATGTGGTCCTAGCTCTCCTCCTTCCCTAGCACTATGAATTGGCCCTGTTGTCCTACCAGAGACTCTAGCTCCTGCACTCAGCTCTCTCCCCCAACTGCAGGCCTCGCTGGATTCCAGTAATCCTTCCCTTCACTTGCTCCTTTAGGCCTGGGAGTGCTCATAGCTCTCCAGTGGTGCTAGCCCCAAGGGGCTATTTTGTTGATGGCACTTAACCCTGCCCCGCCTTTGTAAATAGTCCTTTCACTAAAGACTCCTCATTTATCCCATCTGAAAGTACCATCTGTTTTCTACTGGGACTCTGACTGATTCAAGGAAGAGAATGGATTCCTCCACCTAATATTTATTGGGTAGTTACCATGAAATTCATGCTAGGCATTGGGGATGTCATTGAAGCAAAACTAGACATGCTCACTGCCCCCTCAGAGCTTTCTGGGAGAGATGGCTATTAATCCAATGACCATTCAAAGGGAAATTACAAATGAGGCATGCCCAAGGAAGGATGGGAACGCGGTACTGTGAAAACTCCTCGTGGGAGAGTGGGTGTTCTTCCCTTCCATTTGAGTTGGCATTCCAGGCAATGGAACAGCATGTGCAAAGACCTGGAGCTGTCAGGAGTAAAGTGCTTTTGAGGAATTTGAGAGAGGCTCATGCAGAGGAGGCTGGAGAGGCAGGAGGGTGTGTGAAGGGCATCCCAGGGAAGAACAGTAAAGCCTCTGGAGAAGGTAGTAGGTGGCCGTGAAAATGGCCCTGATGGCCCATGCCTCCTGAGATCCATGGTCTTGTGTAATCCCCTCCCTCTGAGTGTGTGCTGGACTACCTGAGTTACTTCTAGTGAACAAAATACTCCAGAAGGGGGCCAGGCGCAGTGGCTCACACCTGTAATCCCAGCACTTTGGGAGGCCGAGGCGGGTGGATCACGAGGTCAGGAGATCGATACCATTCTGGCTAACACGGTGAAACCCCGTCTCTACTAAAAATACGAAAAAATTTAGCAAATTAGCCGGGCGTGGTGGTGGGCGCCTGTAGTCCCAGCTACTCAGGAGGCTGAGGCAGGAGAATGGCATGAACCCGGGAGGCGGAGCTTGCAGTGAGCCGAGATCACGCCACTGCACTCCAGCCTGGGCAACAGAGCGAGACTCTGTCTCAAAATAATAATAATAATAATAATAATAATAATAATAATAATTCTCCAGAAGGGATGGGATGTGAATTCTGACACTTGTTTACAAAGGAAATACTATGACTTCCATTTCTGCATGCCCTCTTTTGTTCTCTTTTTCTTGACTCACCAGCTGCTGCATGGTGGGGACACTCATGCAGCCTGTGGGGTGGCCCAGATACTGAGGAACCCAGGCCTGACAGCAACCAGGTGGGTGAGTAAACTTGGACATGGATCTCATGAGGACTGCCCTGTGAACACTACTTCCATGTGCATGCAAGGAGCTTCTCCAGCCCCAGGTGAGCCTTCAGGTGACAGCAGACCTTGCTTATAGCTTAACTACAACCTGCCAAGGACTGTGAGCCACAGGCATCCAGATTCCTGACCAGCAGAAACTGGGAGATAATAGATGTACATCGTTTTAACTGCCATGTTTTGGAGTAATTTGTTATGCAGCTATAGGTAACGAATACAGAGCATATTCCGGAGTGGGATGGCATATTTCTTTTCTTTTCTTTTCTTTTTTTTGAGACGGAGTCTCACTCTGTCACCCGGGCTGGAGTGCAGTGGTGCGATCTCAGCTCGCTGCAAGCTCCGCCTCCCGGGTTCACGCCATTCTCCTGCCTCAGCCTCCTGAGTAGCTGGGACTACAGGCACCTGCCACCATGCCGGGCTAAGTTTTCTGAAATTTTTTTTTTCTTTTTTTGAGACGGAGTTTCCCTCTATTGCCCAGGCTGGAGTGCAGCGGCGTGATCTCGGCTCACTGCAAGCTCCGCTTCCCGGGTTCATGCCATTCTCCTGCCTCAGCCTCCCGAGTAGCTGGGACTACAGGCGCCCACCACGACGCCCGGCTAATTTTTTGTATTTTTAGTGGAGACAGGGTATCACCGTGTTAGCCAGGATGGTCTCGATCTCCTGACGTCGTGATCCGCCCACCTCGGCCTCCCAAAGTGCTAGGATTACAGGCGTGAGCCACCGCGCCCGGCCCTATTTTTTTTTTTTTTTTTTTTTTTAGATGGAGACTCGCTCTGTTGCCCAGGCTGGAGTGCAGTGACGCGATCTCGGCTCACTGCAAGCTCCGCCTCCCGGGTTCACGCCATTCTCCTGCCTCAGGCTCCTGAGTACCTGGGACTACAGGTGCCAGCCATCATGCCCGGCTAATTTTTTGTATTTTTAGTAGAGATGGGGTTTCACAGTGTTAGCCAGGATGGTCTCAATCTCCTGACCTCATGATCCGCCAGCCTTGGCCTCCGAAAGTGCTGGGATTACAGGCATGAGCCACCGCACCCGGCCTGTATTTTTTTTTAATAAAGATGGGGTTTCACCGTGTTAGCCAAGATGGTCTTGATCTCCTGACCTCGTGATCCACCCGCCTCCGCCTCCCAAAGTGCTGGGATTACAGGTGTGAGCCAAGGCGCCCGGCCAGGGTGGCATATTTCTTTCCTTCAACAAATACTGACGGGCTGCTATATATCAGGTACATTGTGGGTATTGACATGTGTATTAGTTCACTTTGCGTTGCTATGAAAAATTACCTGGCCCGTCATGGTGGCTCAGGCCTGTCATCCCAGCATTTTGGGGGGCCAAGGCAGGCGGATCACCTGAGGTCAGGAGTTCGAGACCAGCCTAGCCAACATGGTGAAACCCCGTCTCTACTAAAAATACAAAAATCAGCTGGGCATGGTGGCACATGCATGTAATCCCAGCTACTTGGGAGGCTGAGGCAGGAGAATCACTTGAACCCGGAAGGCTGAGGTTACAGTGAGCTGAGATCGCAGCACTGCACTCCAGCCTGGGTGACAGGGAGAGACTGCATCCCAAAAGAAAAAGAAAAAAGAAAAAAGGAAATACCTGAGACTGAGTAATTTATAAAGGAAAGAAGTTTAATTGGCTGACAGTTCTGCAGGCTGTATAAGAAGCATGGGGCTGGGCACAGTGGCTCACGCCTGTAATCCCAGCACTTTGAGAGGCCAAGGTGGGTGGATCACGAGGTCAGGAGATTGAGACCATCCTGGCTAACATGGTGAAACTCCGTGTCTACTAAAAATACAAAAAAATTAGCCAGGCGTGGTGGCAGGCGCCTGTAGTCCCAGCTACTCAGGAGGCTGAGGCAGGAGAATGGCGTGAACTCAGGAGGTGGAGCTTGCAGTAAGCCAAGATCGTGCCACTGCACTCCAGCCTGGGCAACAGAGCAAGACTCCCTCTCCCAAAAAAAAAAAAAAAAAAAAAAAAAAAAAAAAAAAGGCATTGAACCAACATCTGCTTGTGCTTGTGTTAAGGCTCCAGGAAACTTTTACTTACGGCAGAAGGCGAAGGGGGAGCAGGTGTGTCCCATGGTGAGAGAAGGAACGAGAGGAGGAGGTCCCAGTCTCCTAACAACCAGTTCTCCTGTGAACTCATGACTGCAGGGAAGGCAGCAAGTCATTCACGAGGAAACCGCCCCCATGACCCACACACCTCCCACTAGGCCCAGCCATCAACACTAGGGGTCACATTTCCATATGAGACTTGGAGGGGACACATGTGCAAGCTATATCAACATGATACATTTTATACATTTTTGTGTAGTTATATTTTGAATGGGTAACACAGGAATGTGGTTTTAACATTTCAGGCCAGGTGGGGTGGTTCACACCTGTAATCCCAGCACTCTGGGAAGCCAAAGCTTGAGAATCACTTGAACCCAGGAGTTCAAGACCAGCCTGGGCAACATAGCAAGACCCTGTCTCTGTTTTAAAAGTAATTAAATACAATTCTAAAGTAACAGTAAAGGACATAGGAAAAAGTCTCCTCTCCACAGACACCCAGTTCCTTTAGTATGGCTTCATATCATCAGTTTCTGCTGTCCCCTTCCAGAAAGATTTTATGCAAGTGGGAGCAAATATGTATTGGTTCTCAATACCATTCTGCAACTTGCTCTTCTCACATAACAGTTTATCTTAAAGAACATTCTGTGTCTGTACGTAGAAGATTCCTTCATTGTTTTTCACAGCTATATAGAATTCCATTATATGAATGTATCCTCCTACCTTTTCACCCATCCCCTACTGATGAACACCTAGGTTATTTTACAAACAAAGGTGCTGAATAACCATCACTATATAACATGTTGTGTGATCAGATAGATTCTAGAAGTGGGTCCAAAAGCATATGAGTGTCTAGCTTTGATAAATGTTATCCAACTCCCATGACAAGGTATGGTGGGATAGAGGCTTCCTTGTTTTCATGGCTGTGACCGGCAGATGAGAGTGTCTGCTTCCCCAACAATTGTCAGCTGTGTCATCAAATGTTTTCATGTCACCAGTCTGACCATGGAGAAACAGCATTTCAGCGAGACCTGAGAGTGTCCTGCCCTTATTTACTTATTTATTTTTTGAGATGGAGTCTAGCTCTGTCGCCAGGCTGGAGTGCAGTGGTGTGATCTCGGCTCACTGCAACCTCCGCCTCCCAGGTTCAAGCCATTCTCCTGCCTCAGCCTCCCTAGTAGCAGGGACTACAGGCGCCCGCCACCACGCCCGGCTAATTTTTTGTATATTTAGTAGAGACGGGGTTTCACCATGTTAGCCAGAATGGTCTCAATCTCCTGACCTCATGATCCGCCCGCCTCCGCCTCCCAAACTGCTGGGATTACAGGCATGAGCCACCGTGTCCGGCCTGTCCTGCCCTTCTTATGTGTGAGGTAGAGAATCTCCTGACATGCTTAAGAGCTACTAACATTATCTGTGTTAAGGTTATTGTTAAAAAAAAAAGAAAAGAAATCACACTGGCTGCTGAGTGCAGAATGGATTGGATTGTGTGGACCACAGCGGATGCACACAGATGAAGGGGGATGGGGAGATGGAGTGCAGCACATGGACTGAGAGCTGTTTGAAAGGCTCAAAAAAGAGGCCTTTGTGAGCCCTGTGTGTGTGTGTGTGTGTGTGTGTGTGTGTGTGTGTGTGTGCGCGCCTGCGCACACGTGCTCTCAGATAGAAAGTTGCCGAGGGAGAGGCAGTGCCAGCATTGGCCTTCAGTCTCTGACTCTTGCATCTTGAAGAAAGATGGTGCCCTTCCCTGAGACATCCAATGCTGAATGAAGGCCAGGCTTGTGGGAAAAGCTCAACTATGTTTTCTGCTGTTGCTATGAGAACCATTAACTTCTTACATTTACTATACGCCGTGCCTTCCTCCTACACCTTAGCGGGGTTTTAAATTTTAACGCATGTCTTGGATTTAGCATATTTAAAATACCAAGCTAGCAAATCACATACACAAAGAGTATGTCAGGCCATCTATAAAATGTTGATTATTTCTCTGATTGTCTACATAGTACTGAGGGAGCATTTGCAAGAGAAGGTGGTGGAGGCTGGGAATCACCTGGAGGGGCGGCCAGCCCTTGATCTGGCTGCTTAAGTAACTCACACAAACAACACAGGCAGACAGGGCTCCCTGGAATTGGTTTTCTTCCATCTGCAGCCTGTGAAGTCAGTTGAGGCATCTGAAGTTCTTCAGTTTTTCACTTCTATGGGGCCTTCTGATCCAGGTGTGTGGTATTAATGTTCTCTAGGTGCCTGTACTAGATCCCATCCAACTCTCAGAGTCTGCTGTCGAAGGGATCTCAGAGGGAGTAACTACAAAAAAGAAAGTAGGGGCTGGGTGCGGTGGCTCGTGCCTGTAATCCCAGCACTTTGGGAGGCTGAGGCGGGCAGATCACGAGGTCAGGAGACCAAGACCATCCTGGCTAACAGGTGAAACCCCATCTCTACTGAAAATACAAAAAATTAGCTGGACGTGGGGGCAGGCACCTGTAGTCCCAGCTACTTGGGAGGCTGAGGCAGGAGAATCGCTTGAACCTGGGAGACAGAGCTTGCAGCGAGCCGAGATAGCACCACTGCACTCCAGCCTGGGCTGCAGAGTGAGACGTCATCTCACAAAAAAAAAAAAGAAAGAAGTAGTAACTTCTAAAATTATATGTGTATATATCTTCTTGGATAAAAGAGACCATCCCCTTAAATACCAGCTAAATTTAACCAATGGTATTATGGTCATTTAGTGGGTTTTCCCCCAGAAGCCCACACTTCTCCCCATCCTCCAGTTCACACCATTAGCTGTGAGCATGATCCCCATGCCAGTGAAACCGGAGAATAAATATGTCAAAGTCCTGGCTTCGATTCTTCCAAAGTCAAGGTAAGAGAGAAACAGGAAAAACAGCTCCCTATTCCTCTCTCTAGGGTGGTGGTTCTGAGACTGTGGTCCCTCAACCAGCAACACTGGCCTCACCTGGTACCTGGTTAAAAATGAAAATTCTAGGGCCAGGCCCAGTGTCTCGTGCCTGGAATCCCAGTAGCTTGGGAGGCCAAGGTTGGGGGATCTCTTGAGGCCAGGAGTTGGAGACCAGCCTGGGCAACATATCGAGACCCCATCTCTACAAAAAGTTTTTGAAGGCCGGGCGCAGTCAGTGGCTCATTGAGGCCTGTAATCCCAGTACTTTGGGAGGCCGAGGTGGGTGGATCACGAGGTCAGGAGTTCAAGACCAGGCTGACCAACATGGTGAAACCTTGTCTCTACTAAAACTTCAAAAATTAGCAGGGTGCGGTGGCAGGCGCCTGTAATCCCAGCTACTCAGGAGGCTGAGGCAGGATAATTGCTTGAACCCAGCCAGCAGAGATTGCAGTGATCCAAGATTGCACCACTGCACTCTAGCCTGGTGACAGAGTGAGACTCAGTCTCAAAAAAAAAAAAATTTTTTTTTGAATTAGCTGGGTGTGGTGGTGTGCTCCTGTTGTCCCAGCTACTTGTGAGGCTGAGGTGGGAGGAGCTCTTGAGCCCAGGAGATTGAGGCTGCAGCCAGCTATGTTCGCACCACTGCACTCCAGTCTGTGCAACAGAGCAAGAGCCGAAAGAACGAAAGAACAAAAGAAAGAGGAAGGGAGGGAGGGAGGAAGGAAGGAAGGAAGGAAGGAAGGAAGGAAGGAAAAAGAAAGAAAAAAGAAAGACAGACAGACATGGACATTCTTAGGCCTCACTCCAGACTTACGCAGAATAAGACATTCTGGGATGCAGTGCCAGGAAATCTGTAATTTAAAAACTCCCCCGGTGGTTCGATTGCACAACTGACCTTTGAGAACCACTGAATTTTGACATCCTAGGGCTGAGAGAAATCCCCAGGCCATCACGTGGGGTCAGTAAAGACAGTGAGGCTGAGTGGTCTCAGGCAGCGGCCTCACAGAACTGCCTGCAGCCCTCGTGGGAGTGGCTTGGCCACTCCAAGACAGGACACAGCCAGCTGGGTAGGCTGGGCCCGGGACAAGTTGATGCTGAGACAATGGAACTTGCACCAGAGATCCAAAACCCTGGAAGGAGTGGACACCTCAGCCAACACCAGTGTGGAGGGCTGATTAGGCACAAGAGAAGACCCTCGCGGTGTGGCCAGAGTGAGCCGGAGGACCCGGACTCAGGCCCTGACGCCGCTGCGCCTCTGCCATCCTCACTCCGGTCTGGATCCATATTGAGCTCCTGGCCTGCGAGGTCTTACTATTTCACAGAGTAGACAGACAAAAGCAGTCCACTGTTGGCCGGGCACGGTGGCTCATGCCTGTAATCCCAGCACTTTGGTAAGCCAAGGCAGGCAGATCACCTGAGGTCAGGAGTTTGAGACTAGCCTGGCCAATATGGCGAAATCCTGTCCCTCTAAAAATACAAAAATTAGCTGGGAGTAGTGGCAGACGCCTGTAATCCCAACTACTCAGGAGGCTGAGGTGGGAGAATCACTTGCACCCGGGAGGCAGAAGTAGCAGTGAGCCGAGATGGCACTGCTGCACTCCAGCCTAGGCCATAAGCGTGAGACTCTGTCTCAAAACAAAAAACAACTACAAAAAAATTCCACTGTCAAGATGGCAGCGTGACCACGTTACATCTCTTTCTTCTATAGAACATCATTAGACATGGATTTTATATATATATATATATATATGTTTTTTGAGACAGAGTTTTGTTCTGTCACCCAGGCTGAAGTGCAGTGGCATGATCTCGGCTCACTGCAACCTCCACCTCCCAGGTTGAAGCGATTCTCCTGCCTCAGTCTCCTGAGTAGCTGGGATTACAAAAAATACATATATTTTAAAGCAGAGTAACAAATACATAACTAAGCATGGAGTGGAAAGAGGGGACCCCTGTGGACTTGATATTGTCTTTCTTTAAAAAAAAAAAAAAGAAAATGTGCAAGGTGGATGTCTTCCTGTCACTTTGCACAGCCTACTGCCATAGTGCCTGAACCCCAGACCCCAAACTCACTGTCCTGCTCGGGGAACCCCAGGCCACACTGGACATTGAGGGCACCCCAAGCACTCTCCTATCCTCACCTCGCTCCTGCAGTAAATGGCTAAATGAATAACTCAGAAGTGAAGCCAAAAAGAAAAAGAAAATGCACATGGGGAACAGAAGAGGCGAGCAGAGGCCACAGCCATCTGCAGCCTGGAGGCCTGGGCTGATACACTGTGAAGAGATGTCTCCAGGGGCTGCCTGTGGGGAGCAGTCTGCCATTGAGAACACACCTAGAGAAGCCTCTCATAGCAGACAAGGGCAGAACCAGAAATTAACACGTGGGGAAGTTATATACCACAAATAGACAGGACAATCCGTGGAAGAACCGAGGGAATGGTGATAGCAGAATGTCAGGAAATGACTTTATAATATGTAGACCTTAGAGAAATAGAGGAGGAACTGAGACAAAAATCAATTTGAATCCCTGGAAATAAAAAATATAGTGACTGAAATTAACAATTCAGCAATTACTGAACTGACAGCTGGACAGAACTTGTACAGAGTTGTGTGTGTGCCTGTATGCACATGCTCACGCACTCATACAGAAAGAAACTTCAGAATATCAAGGAAAAAGAGAAAAAAGGTGTCAGGGAGAAAAGATGATAAGTAATGCATTAAAAAAATGAAAATCAGGGGCCGGGAATGGTGGCTCACACCTGTAATCCCAGCACTTTGGGAGGCCAAGGCAGGCAGATCACGAGGTCAGGAGATCGTCCTGGCTAACACAGTGAAACCCCGTCTCTACTAAAAATACAAAAAAATTAGCCAGATGTGGTGGCGGGCACCTGTAGTCACAGCTACTCAGGATGCTGAGGCAGGAGAATGGTGTGAACCCAGGAGGAGAACCCTTGCAGTGAGCCGAGATCGCGCCACTGCACTCCAGCCTGGGTGACAGAGCAAGACTCTTGTCTCAAAAAAAAAAAAAAAAAAAAAAAAAGAGAGAAAATCAGGCCAGGCTTGGTGGCTTACACCAGTACTTTGGGAGGCCGAGGCAGGCTGATCGCTTGAGCTCAGGAGTTCAAGACCAGCCTTGTCAACATGGCGAGACCTCGTGTCTACTAAAAATAAAAAAATTAGCCAGACGTGGTGGTGTGCACATATAGCCCCAGGCTGAGGTGGGACAATTGCGTGAGCCCAGGATTTGAGGTTGTAGTGAGCTATGATCATGCCACTGTACTCCAGCCTAAGTGACAGAGTGAGACCCTGTCTCAAAAAAGACCCCAAAACCAAACAACAAAATAACATAAAAATCAAAATATATTGGATTTCATTTCTTAGCTATATTCTGCATATTAAAAACACACATTAAAAATGCAGGTCCAGGCCGGGCATGGTGGCTCACGCCCGTAATCCCAGCACTTTGGGAGGCAAAGGCAGGTGGATCACCTGAGGTCAGGAGTTGGATACCAGCCTGGCCAACATGGTGAAACCCGTCTCTACTAAAAATACAAAAATTAGCCGGGCATGGTGGTGGGCGCCTGTATTCCCAGCTACTCGGTAAGCTGAGGCAGGAGAATTGCTCGAACCCAGGAGGCGGAGGTTGCAGTGAGCCGAGATTGCACCACTGCACTACAGCCTGGGTGACACACTGAGACTCTGTCTCAAAAAAAAAAAAAAAAAAATTGCAGGTCTAGGCAGCACTCCCAGTGATCCCACACATCTGTCCCTTGATTCAACAGTGTTAGGATAGGACAGACCTGAGGACTCCCTTTCTTCCAGCCTCTCCTAACCTCCAATCTTCTCTCCAATTGCAACCTCCAGGACCATCTTCTCAGCCATCTCCTGCTTCCAGGACCAGCCAACACCGTTGTGTTAGAAATAAGGTTAGCTCCTTATTGCCAACCAACCACAAGCTCCCAGATTCGTCAGAATGATTCCACCGAGGAGGAAGCTGCAGTCAGCTGCCTGGTCCATGTGCATCGGCGGGTGTCCTGCACTTACCATTCCCTGGGCTTCTATTTCAACCACAATGAGTGGCTCTGGAGCGCTTTGGCTGCTTCTTCCATGAGTTGGTTCAATAGAAGCACAAGGGCACAGTGTGTCTCTTGGAAGTGCAAAACCAGCTGCACCATCTTCCAAGGTGCACAGAAGCCATCTCTAGATGAGTGGGGAAAATCATGGATGCCATCAAAGCCACCGTTGCCTGGAGAAGAATCTGAACCAGGCCCTTATGGATCCGCATGCCCTGGGATCTGCCCACACAGACTTTCATCTCTGTGACTTTCAGGACAGCCATTTCCTAAATGGGAAGATGAAACTCTTCAAGATGATGGGCAACCACCGCAGTTACCTTTGCTGGCCGGCCAGCCCCCAGGCCCACCTGCACCAGTCTCTTTTCCAAAAGCCTACCCACAAGCACAACCAGGGCCTCCAAAGCCCAGCAGCCTTTGAGGGGTTCCTCTGCACCTCCTGGTATCAGGGCTTCTGCCTGACCCTCTCTCTCCAGCCAGTAGGCAGCTTTTTAACCACCCTCCAGCCTTCTCCCAAGCCGTGGACCAAAGGGGAAGAAAGTTTTTGCAGCAAAAAAAGAAAAAGAAAAGCAGGATATGGAAAAATTGACAGTAACACAACAGAGAGCTCAGAAATAAATCCAAACATATCTGGTCAACTAATTTTTGACAAGGGCATCAAGAGGACACAATGGAGAAACAATAGTCACTTCTTGGCCGGGTGCAGTGGCTCATGTCTGCAATCCCAGCAGTTTGGGAGGCCGACGCAGGTGGATCACCTGAGGTCAGGAGTTCAAGACCAGCCTGGCCAACATGGTAATTACATTTTTTATTTCCAAGAATTCAAATAGATTCTTGTCTCAGTTCCCTATTTCTCTAAGGCCTACACATTACAAAGTCCTTTCCTGACATTCTGCTATCGCCATTCCCTTGGTTCTTCCATGGATTGTACTATTTGTGGTGTATAATTTCCCACGTGTTAATTTCTGGTTCTGCGCTTGTCTGCTATGCTAACGTTGAAGCAAGGATGATAATAGAACCTCCCTAAAACTGATGCTGTCCTTGTCCAGGAGCTGAACCCACTTTTGTAAGATGAATGAAAGGCCACAAGATTAGGATTTGGTGCGTGGGGGCCTGAATTCTGTGAAAATACAGGCATAGTTTCTGTAACCCCTTACTGCTCAGGAGTCATGTGGCCAGAGGTCACAAGATTTGTGTCTTCCCCAGTGCCTCCTGTAGATAACATCACTATTGTGGAACCTAAAATTGGCCTTTTGGGATGTTTCTCAGACTTACCCCACCTGGACTCAACCTGTGGCCCCACCCAGATGTGGACTCAGTGCATAAGGACTATTTCCACACCCGTATGATTGCATCCCCAACCACTTGGGGTAACATCATTCATTCATTTGCACGTGGAAATCCAGTTTTCCCAATACCATTGTAATTCCCTGGTGGGTTCTTCCTGCTTGCTGCACAGACAAAACCAGTTCACTGAGGCCATGGTATTGCAGTAAGGAGTTGAATTAACTCAATGCCAGCCACATGGAAGGACTGGAGTTATCACTGAAATCAGCCTCCCCAAAGGCTCAGAGGTTAGGGTGTTTCAAGGAAAGTTTTGTGGGCAGGCAGGGGACTCAGGAATGGGTGCTCTTTAATGGTTAGGACTTCTCTAGGTGTGTTCTGAATGGCAGACTGCGCCCCGCAGGCAGCACCCGGAGACATCTCTTCACAGCGTATCAGCCCAGGCTTCCAGACTGGCCTCTGCTCGCCTCTCCTGTTCCCCATGTGCATTTTCTTTTTCTTTTTTGGCTTCACTTCTGAGTTATTCATTTAGCCATTTACTGCAGGAGCGAGGTGAGGATAGGAGAGTACTTGGGGTGCCTTCAATGGCCAGTGTGGTCTGGGGTCCCCGAGCAGGACAGTGAGTTTAGGGTCTGGGGCTCAGGTGCTATGGCAGTAGGCTGTGCGAAGTGACAGGAAGACATCCACCTTGCACATTTTCTTCAGTTTTAAAGAAACACATTACCATTTCAGTTATATTTGTTTTATGAGACACAGTTTCGTTCTGTCGCCCAGGCTGGAGTGCAATGGTGCGATCTCGGCTCACTGCAACCTCTGCATCCCAGGTTCAAGCGATTCTCCTGCCTCAGTCTCCCGAGTATCTGGGATTACAAAAAAACAACATACATTTTAAAGCAGAGTAACAAATTGATAACTAAGCGTGGAGTGGAAAGAGGGGACCCCCGAGGACTGGAAATGGCAACGTTAGACTATGAACTAAATTTCTCCCATGGCTGATTTGGCCTATGCCCAGGAATGAGCAAAGACAGCAGACCCGTGAGACTGGAAGCAAGATGGAGTCGGCCATGCTAGACTTCTCTCACTGTCATCTTTGCAAAGCTGGTCTCACCATTTATTGAAGTGAATTTTCTTTTTTCTTTTTTTTTTTTTGAGACGAAGTCTTGCTCTGTTGCCTAGGCTGGAGTACAATGGTGGGATCTCAGCTCACTGCAACTTCCGCCTCCCGGGTTCAAGAAATTCGCCTGCCTCAGCCTCGCCATGCCTGGCTGGTTGTATTTTTAGTAGAAATGGGGTTTCACCATGTTGGGCCTCACAACACACATCAGTCCATCTCCTCTCCTGTTTGGCAGGGATGGTCACGATCCTCATTTCCCAGTTAAAGAAGCCAAAAGTCCATTATGGGGTTTCACCATATTGGCCAGGCTGGTCTCGAATGCCCGAACACAAGTGATCCAAGCGCCTCAGCCTCCCAAAGTGCTGGGATTACAAGTGTGAGCCACCACACCCAGCCAATTAGGAGTAAATATCCAACATTTAGCCAGGTGCAGTGGCTCACTGCTTAATCCCAGCACTTTCAGAAGCTGAGGTGGGAGGATCACTTGAGCCCAGGAGTTTGAGTCCAGGCCTGCCAACATAGTGAGACCCTGTCTCAACAAAACATTTAAAAATTAGCCAGGCATAGTGGTGTGCGCCTCTAGTCACAGCTACTTGGGAGGCTGAGATGGGAGAATGTTTGAACCCAGAAGGTCAAGTAAGCTGTGATTGTGCCACTGTACTCCAGTCTGCATAACAGAGCAGACCCTGTCTCAAAAAAAATAAAATCCAAAATATATAAATAATTGATACAACTCAAAACAAATAACCCAATTTTTAAAATGTTTTTAAAAAAGAACTCGAATAGACCTTTCTTTAAAGAAGACATAAAAATAGCAAGTGGGTATCTGAAAGGTGTTCCGCATTGTAGGTCATTAGGGAAATGCAAATCAAACCCACTGAGATACCACCTCACACCCCTTATGACCATTATCAAAACGTCAAAAGATAAATGTTGGCAAGAGTGTGGAGAAATGGGAACTTTTGCATACTATGGATGAGAATGTAGATTGATACAGCCATTCTGGAAAAGAGTATGAAGATTTCTAGAGAAATTAAAAATAGAACTACCATATGACTCAGCAATCCCTCTTCTGGACATGCACCCAAAGGAAATGAAATCATTACTTTGTAAAGATACCTGTATTGTCATGTTCATTGCAGCCTTAATCACAATAGCCAAGATATGGAAACAATCTAAGTGTCCATCAATGGATAAATGGATAAAGAGACTGTGGCACACACACACAATGGAATATTATTCAGCCCTAAAACAAACAAGGTCTTGCCATTTGCCACAAGATGGATGAGGCTGGAGGACGTCATGCTAAGTGAAATAAAGCATACACAGAAAAGCAAATATTGCATAAACTCATTTATATGTGGGATGTAAAAATGTAAATAAATAAATCTACAGAGATAGAGAGCAAAACATTGTTTACCAGGGGAGGTAGGAGAGGGGAGGAATTGGGGACATGGAGGCCAAAGGACACAAAGTAGCAGGTATGAAGGATGAACAAGTCTAGAGATGTAATGGATGACATGAGGACTGCAGGGAACAAAATTGTTCTGTATGTGAAATTCATGCTCAATGAGTAGATTTCAACCGCTCTTGCCACAAAAGCAACAAGGAAATGGGGAACTATGTGAAACGATTGGTGTGTTAATTTCTTTCAGTATAGGAATCTTTTTACAATCTATATATAACTTTTAACATCATGTTGTAAGCTTTAACTATACACAAGAAAATTTATTTTTAAAAAAGAAAAATTGACAGTCAAAGACTGACAAAGCAAAGACTAAGTAAATAAAAACAAGGGTAACTGTATTTATAGCTGTTAAATGAAAAAAAAAACAACAAAAAATGAGCCACCGACTGAGGCAAGTGCCTGCATCTATAGAGCTTTGTGGAGCTACAATTTGACGACACCCCCGGAAAAAACACAAGCCACAGAAACTACTGTGACCCGTGCTTTCCAAAGAGGGTTTTGGGAACTCAGTATGTAAGGGGAGAAGGCAGGCAGGAGAGAAGAAAGGGAGGGGGAGCAGGCAGTGAAGGGGTGGTTACATTCTTAGGAAGCTCTAATTAGTGCTCAGTAAATCTTCATTTTACATAAGACGAGGTAAACATTTGAAAAGAGGGAGGAAAGAGTCAATTATGAAGCCATCTCAGGATAGCCTGAAGAGTGCTTGATCTCATGTTCTTGTTCTGTACCTGGGAAGATAAACCTGTATTCAACATTGTCAGTGTCAGATTGAATAGAACTCAGTGTCACATCTTAAACTGAGGTTGCAGAGCCAGGGTTACAACTGGCATATGCTTATTTTATAGGGGGACATGGATCCTGAAAGATTTAGGGGCTAGCAGGGAATGTCCCTGTGAACAGTTTGTAAGGGGGGCCATATGGAGAGGTATGTGGCCTTTTGTGGTAGTGGGGACCTGGCTTATGTCTAATGCCATCACACAGGGTTGTGAAATGGCAGCTATCTCTTTGGGGAGAAAGAATGGCAGTTTTGCATGACTAAGCTCCCAAACTTACGTCTCCCTTACCATAACAGGTTTGGCGTTCCAAGACTTTATTTTCTTTTACATATTAAAAAAACTCTAATGAAAGAGGTATATGAGAGATAAAGAGGGTATTTCCTAATGATAAAAGGGTGCAACCAGCAGGGAGAAAAAGGAATTCTAAATGTGTTTATGCCTGGTAACTTAACCTTAAAACACACAGAACAAAGCTTAACAAACGAAAAAAAGAAATAAGTTGACGATGATTGTGGGAAAGTTTCATATCTGTGTCTCAGCCACTGAAAAATAGACAAACATCAGTAAGGAAATAGAATCTTTAAAGGATGCATTTAACACGCTCCGTCTAATTGAGATACGTGGTACACTACGCTCAACATGCAGAATACATATCCTTTTCAAGTGCAGAAGCAATATTTATAAAAATTAATCATATTTTTAATCATTGAGAAGACACAAATTCCAAAGAGTTTTAGTTATACAAATATTTAATCACAGTGGAAGTGTAAGTTTGGAAATTAAGCAAAACATTTTTAGTATGGTAAAGGGATGAATAAAATCAAAGTTTGCTTTTTTGAAACACTGATAAAATTGATGGCCCCCAGCAAGATTGATTAACAAAACAGACAAAAGGCACAAATTCTAACCGCACACCTTATAAGTATTAAAAAGATAAATGAATAATAGAACAACTTTGAAATTTTAGATAAAATGAACAAATTGATTCAGCAAACACAGGTTACCGAAATGAATATTCATATATATGTAATTGAACCTGTAATTAAACACCTTATAAAGAAAACTACAGTCTCACATGGCTTAATAAGTGAATTCTTTCCAAATGCTTAAGGAAGAAATAGCACACATCTTACATAAACTCTGTCAGAAATAGGAGAAGAAACATTTCTCAAATTGTCTAACCAGCATAGCTTTAATACTTCATATTAAAACCTCACAAGTCTGGGTGCAGTGGCTCACGCCTGTAATCCCAGCACTTTGGGAGGCTGAGGCGGGTGGATCACGAGGTCAGGAGATCGAGACCATCCTGGCTAACACGGTGAAACCCCGTCTCTACTAAAAAAATACAATAAATTAGCCAGGGGTGGTGGTGGGCGCCTATAGTCCCAACTACTCGGGAGGCTGAAGCAGGAGAATGGCGTGAACCCGGAAGGCGGAGCTTGCAATGAGCCGAGATCATGCCACTGCATTCCAGCCTGGACAACAGGGCGAGACTCCGTGGCAAAAAAAAAAAAAAAAAAAAAAAAAACACACAGAAAAACTTAGACTCCACTTTCTCTTGTGAACGTAAGTACAAAACTACCAAATGAACTAGGAGCAAACCCATCTCAACCATATATAATATGGTATTAATCATTTATCACAACAAAGTTGATTTAATTCCAAAATGCAATGTTCAACATTCAAAAGCCAATCACTGTTAAGTTACCTTATCAACATAAAAAGATAAGAAAAAACACTGCTCAATCAAGAAAGAAAAAAGCAATTGATACAATTCAGTACCTATTCATAAATCTTAAAACCTGTGTAACAGAGAGGAAGCAACATGTGAGTTAAACACTCCCCCAGCTGAGAATAGTGACATAACTTATTTGCAGCCAAAAGATGAAAATTGCAGGCCAGGCGCAGTGGCTCATGCCTCTAATTCCAGCACTTTGGGAGGCAGAGGTGGGCGGATCACAAGGTCTGGAGTTCAAAACCAGCCTGGCCAACATGGTGAAATCTCGTCTCTACTAAAAATACAAATAGAAATGAGTCGGGCGTGGTGTCATGCGCCTGTATTCCTAGCTATTAGGGAGGCTGAGGTAGGAGAATCACTTGAACCATGGAGGCGGACATTATGACAGTGAGCCGAGATTGTGCCACTGCACTCCAGCCTGGCAACAGAGCAAGACTGCGTTTCAAAAAAAAAAAAAAAAAAAAGGATGAAAATTGAATTGCAGTATAATTTTACAACTTTTGAGAAATCTGTGTTTTTCAGCTAAAAAGAGACAAACTCAGCCTTTTGACCTTTCATCTTTCCCTCCTTGGAAGGCAATCCAAGGCCTGGAAAAACAGCAGCCACATTGTGACCACAAGAATAGAAACCAGGCTAAGGAAGTATCAGGAAACTGAAAAGAACCCTGGACTGCCTTCCTCTGCACGTTTTAAGTGACAAAAATGAAATCTATATTTCTTTAAGTCACTGAATCAGATTTATTCTTTCTGTGGCTACATGTAGCCCTAAATGATGTATTAAATACTAAAATAAATACTAAAATACACACTAAAATACTAAAATTTTGGTCTTGACTCCTGATCTCAGGTGATATGCCCATCTCAGCCTACCAATGTGCTGGGATGACAGGCATGAGCCACCACACCCACCTCAAAAGCTTTGTGTTTTAAAATATATTAGACATATCTCTAGTTTAAAAAAAAAAAAAACTTAACAATAATGTAGGAGAATAAGAGAAACTTTTTCCAAAAAAGAGAAATCACTGTGATTATTTTATCTTATTGGAATGTTGGATAATATAATCTGCTTTACTAATCATTAAGCACGCTGTAAATTTTCCATTACAACAGGATTTGTACCTCAACTAAGGTGATAAAGTTTTAAAGTTTAGAAAGTGAGTCCCTCTCCCTCTCCCTCTCCCTCTCCCTCTCCCCACGGTCTCCCTCTCCCTCTCCCCACGGTCTCCCTCTCCCTCTCCCTCTCCCCACGGTCTCCCTCTCCCTCTCTTTCCACGGTCTCCCTCTGATGCTGTGCCGAAGCTGGACTGTACTGCTGCCATCTCGGCTCACTGCAACCTCCCTGCCTGATTCTCCTGCCTCAGCCTGCCGAGTGCCTGCGATTGCAGGCGCGCGCCGCCACGCCTGACTGGTTTTCGTATTTTTTTGGTGGAGACGGGGTTTCGCTGTGTTGGCCGGGCTGGTCTCCAGCTCCTAACCGCGAGTGATCTGCCAGCCTCGGCCTCCCGAGGTGCCGGGATTGCAGACGGAGTCTGGTTCACTCAGCGCTCAATGGTGCCCAGGCTGGAGTGCAGTGGCGTGATCTCGGCTCGCTACAACCTCCACCTCCCAGCCGCCTGCCTTGGCCCCCCAAAGTGCCGAGATTGCAGCCTCTGCCCGGCTGCCACCCCGTCTGGGAAGTGAGGAGCGTCTCTGCCTGGCCGCCCATCGTCTGGGAAGTGAGGAGCGTCTCTGCCTGGCTGCCCATCGTCTGGGATGTGAGGAGCCCCTCTGCCTGGCTGCCCAGTCTGGAAAATGAGGAGCGCCTCTTCCCGGCCGCCATCCCATCTAGGAAGTGAGGAGCGCCTCTGCCCGGCCGCCCATCGTCTGAGATGTGGGGAGCGCCTCTGCCCCGCCACCCCGTCTGGGATGTGAGGAGCGCCTCTACCCGGCCGCGACCCCGCCTGGAAGGTGAGGAGCGTCTCTGCCCGGCCGCCCCGTCTGAGAAGTGAGGAGACCCTCCGCCTGGCAACCGCCCCATCTGAGAAGTGAGGAGCCCCTCCACCCGGCAGCCGCCCCGTCAGAGAAGTGAGGAGCCCCTCCGCCCGGCAGCCACCCCGTCTGGGAAGTGAGGAGCGTCTCCGCCCGGCAGCCACCCCGTCCGGGAGGGAGGTGGGGGTCAACCCCCGCCCGGCCAGCCGCCCCGTCCGGGAGGGAGGTGGGGGGGTCAGCCCCCCGCCTGGCCAGCCGCCCCGTCCGGGAGGTGAGGGGCGCCTCTGCCCGGCCGCCCCTACTGGGAAGTGAGGAGCCCCTCTGCCCGGCCAGCCACCCCGTCCGGGAGGGAGGTGGGGGGGTCAGCCCCCCGCCCAGCCAGTCGCCCCGTCCGGGAGGTGAGGGGCGCCTCTGCCCGGCTGCCCCTACTGGGAAGTGAGGAGCCCCTCTGCCTGGCCGCCACCCCGTCTGGGAGGTGTGCCCAGCAGCTCATTGAGAATGGGCCATGATGACAATGGCGGTTTTGTAGAATAGAAAGGGGGGAAAGGTGGGGAAAAGATTGAGAGGTTGGATGGTTGCCGTGTCTGTGTAGAGGGAGGTAGACATGGGAGACTTCTCATTTTGTTCTGTACTAAGAAAAATTATTCTGCCTTGGGATCCTGTTGATCTGTGACCTTACCCCCAACCCTGTGCTCTCTGAAACATGTGCTGTGTCCACTCAGGGTTAAATGGATTAAGGGCGGTGCAAGATGTGCTTTGTTAAACAGATGTTTGAAGGCAGCATGCTCGTTAAAAGTCATCACCACTCTCTAATCTCAAGTACCCCGGGACACAAACACTGCAGAAGGCCGTAGGGTCCTCTGCCTAGGAAAACCAGAGACCTTTGTTCACTTGTTTATCTGCTGACCTTCCCTCCACTATTGTCCTATGACCCTGCCAAATCCCCCTCTGCGAGAAACACCCAATGATCAATTAAAAAAAACAAAACAAAACAAAACAAAAAAAAACATTATATTATCGACTATACCTTAAATTATAATAAAAAGTTATATATGTAAAAAAAAAAAAAAGTAAGTGAAAGCCAGCCCCGCCCCTCTCCCAGAGTGGGCGGGGACAGCAGTTCCATGGGAGGCTTTCCTTGTGACATCACAGGACCTTCATGACCCGCAGCTGCCTGGCCCCGCCTCCTTTCCCTTTCATCTTTCTCATTGACCAATGGGCTTGGAGCATTAAGGCCACGCCCCTTTTCCGCATTCTAGTGCAGCCCCGGTGACGCCTCCTGTGGCTCAGTCACATAGCTGTGTGGTACGTGACTGGAGGCATATCACTGTCCTCGCCTGGATCACGCCAATGTGACCCCAACCCCACCACCCTCCCCACCCCATGATGTCCGAAAAAACCCAACAAAGAAAATTGGCTGGGACCAAGAAAAAGGTAAAACGCATCGGATTGCAGCACCCCAACCCCAACCCAGCCCCAGGTCCCCTCTGATGGCAGAACAGCTGCCAGAATCCGTGTCACTCCAGAGGCACGCAGGGCCGGGCCCCCCCCAGTGCCTCTGGGCTCCCCCAACCAAAATCTTGTGTCAGCCCCAACCCCTCAGCAGTCCTGCCCCTGCCCTCACCGGTCACCCCAGGGTGACTTTCAGCCGGTGACTCGTGGGGCTCCCTGCTTTGTACTCTGCCCTCACCTCCTATTGTCCAAAAATGGATCTCCCTGGGCCCTTCGGGCTCACGTTCCCAAGGAACCGGATGCCCCAGCACCTGCCCTCACCAGTCACCCCAGGGTGACTTTGGGCAGGTGACTCCTGGGGCTCCCCACTCCATACTCGGCCCTCACCTACCGCTGCCCCAAGCCTGACTTCCCTGGGCTCTTTGGGCTCACGTCTCCAAGTACCTGGGTCCCAACCCTGTGACCCCATGCCAATCTCAAAGAGGCAACTTGGGCACAGCACTGATGGGATAATGGGTTTGGTTTGGTTTTCTCCCAGGCTTCTACTCTCCAGAGAGACTTTAACAGTTTTTTCTAAGTTCTCCACTTCATATTTGAATTCTCCATGGTTCTGGGACCAGAGTGCCCATCAGTCAGTGATCTTTGAAGTGAGATTTGCTCATCTTCTGTGCAAGAGATCTTGGGAAACTGGACTTGACAACTTGAATCTTCCTCATCTCATCTCAACCTGGGGTACTTTGAGTGCCACAGGATACATATGGGGCATCTTTCTGAAGCATCAGTTTTCCTTGATTCTCGTGGGAGACACAAAACATTAATGTTCTTAGGGATGATAGTCACATAGATTTCAAAGAGTATACAAGACTTCTCTCTGAAATGCAGCTTGGGTTGTCCTCTTTCTGTTTAATTCCCACATTTAACAGAAAGGCTGCCTTCTGCCCTGAGGATACATGACTCTAAGAGGATGTACGACTGTAAACCACACAGTGTACACCTTCCTGCCTACTTTTTACTTTTCTACCTCTGCCTCTGGTTTTGGTCTCTGGCAGCTGCTGATTTGTGGCAACACCCCAGAGCTCAGAGTCAGAAGACTGAGTTTCAGTTCCATTATTGCCTTTCTTTTAGCCATGGTATCAATCCCTCTCAGTCACTAAGTGATTGCGACAACACCTCGTACAGTCGTTGGTGGCATTAAGTCAGATCGTCTATGAGAGTATTTTGTATAAACTGTAAAGTGACTGTAGGAGCTTGTAGTTCTCATGAGTATCACTGCTCCTCTTTTCCACAGTTTACAGACTATCATCAGTGGAACAGTGCTGGTGTTGGTACCGGAGCAACCGACACCAAAAAGAAGAAAATAAATCATGGCGCTAACCCTGAGACAACCACTTCGGGGGGCTGCCACTCGCCTGAGGATGTGAGTCTTGGCTGGCCGGTCTCCTGAGGACAAGGGGCACAAGGGGGAGGTCGAGGGTAACTGTTAAGATTGTGGAAGGAAGAACTGCTGGGTACTGGCTAAGAATTCTGGGTTTGAGTCCTACTTCTCTCTCCAACTGCGAGGGACACGGTTTAGGGAAAATTGCTCGAGCTCTTTGGGCCTCTCTTTTCACATCTGTAAAATGGGGATGGTAATGTTTTACTTACATGTGTGAAGCTTAAATCAGATTTGTTGCTGTTGTTTTTGTGTTAATCCCTAGTCCAGGGCCTGCTGTAAGCTCCCCTCCTCTTTGGGCTTCCGTTTCCTGAGGAGGTAGAGTTAGAGTATCAGAGGTTCTGTTTGCTCTGAGAGTCTGAGATTTAAAGATTCACTAGAATGGAAACCTTGGGGCCAAGGGCTCCTGTCTGCCTTTTCCGTCCTATATCCCAGCAGTGAAGAACCGTCCCCGGCCCCTATGTGCTTGCTCAATGCTTGTTGAATGAACACATCTTTCTCCATCACAAGCTGGCAGAAGGGTGGGCTTTTCTCACACTCTTATGTCGGAAGGTTTATGTTACTGTCTTTTCCAGAGAATCTAGTTTCAGACTTTCAGTTCTGTGGCTGTGGGCAAAAGCCAACAAAGACCCAAATCCTTTTTCTTTGGGCGTTAAGGAAAGTTGACCAGTTTGTGTTCCCATTGGGTCTGAGAACTTTGCCCTTAAAATCCATTCCTGACCCCTGCCTACCGCTTCCTGGCCTGGGGAATAGAGTCGAGGGACCACCCTCAGTCACCTTCCTTTGACTCTCCCCACAGAAACAACAGAACCGAGCTCAGCTGAAAGAGGTAACATGGTTTCTTTCTTTGCTCACGACATGACCGCTGGGTTTGGGGGGCACTCAGATGTAGAGGCCCCAGTCTCGTCTCGCCTACTCCCAGCTTGGGGAGGAAGGCTCACCTCCCAGCTTCCACCCCATCCCCACAGGGTCCCTGATAACCTGGTCCCATGGGTGGGCCTGTCCTGGGACAGTGGGGCCATTCTGGGGGCATGTCTCTTGCTGTGCCATCTCTGCCTCCCTCTAGTAAGAGCTCTGTCTTCCTCTTCTTTTCTATAGGAAAATAAGGCAAGCCACCAACATCAGCAAGCCCTAAGGAGGCAGCTAGAGGTGAGTGGAGGGTGTGAAGTTCCCTCCTGTCCTCTGGAGAAGGTTTCTTTGCTTCTCTTTCAGCACTTGCTTTTCTTGTCTCCCAAAGGCCCAGGATCATACCATACGAATCCTTATGTGTCAGAAAACTGAACTGGAGACAGCGCTCCATGACAGCCAGGATGCTGCCAGGAAATTTGAAGGTGGGAATCTGGGCACCCCGTCATCCTTCAACCTGGCACTTTCACAGGCCTTTGGGCTGCAGCTCAACCTCTCTCATTCCAGAAGATTCCAAGGATCTGGCAGCCCGCCTGCATCATTCCTGGCACTTTGCAGGAGAGTTACAGCGGGCTCTCTCTGCTATGTCCGCAGAGCACGAGAGGGCGGACAAGGTGAGTCCAACCACCTACCCGGTCCCCTGGGAGCCCAGCTTCGCAGATGGAGGAATGAGCCTAAAGGTCCCTTCTGCAGGATGCAGTGTCCTGCCCAGAAGACAGCATGGGCCATTTCTTGCTGCTTTTGTGCGTGGTTGTTAGAGGCAGGTTGGGGCTGAGTCAGCTGCTGTGGGTGAGTTGCGGGGCGCTGTGGGGAGCGAGCACTGGACACAGAGCTCGGAGGCCAAGTGCCCACCCCACCCATACTTGGCTGTGGCCTTGGTCAAATCCTAGGCGGAGTTGAGGGTACTTGTACCATGAAGGTACAGAAGAGTATCTTTAGTATGTTACCATTTGTGTAGAGAGAGGGAACACATGTACGTGTGTGTGTGTGTGTGTGTGTGTGTGTGTGTGTGTGTGTACGTACGTATTATGGTAATATACATAAAACATGTTTGTAAGGATTCATAAAAAACTCAGGAGAGAGGAACAGTGTTGGGGGAAGATATTTCCCTTCTGTACCTTCTGAGGTTTGGACTATGCCAATGTATCATTCTTTCAAAAATCAACAAAGGATTAATTTCCTCCTCCTTATCTGTGCCCCTACCCCCAACCAAAAGAATGGGCTTAGAGAATCAGATATACCTGGGTGTTGAAATCCCAGCTCTAAGTGATCTTAGGCAAGCACTTAACCTTTAATACCCCATGTTTTTCATCTACACAATAGAGGTGATAATGATAACTGTCTCCTGTGGTGGCTGTGAGGATTAAATGGGATTGTTAGCATAGTGCCTGGTGAAGCACTCAAGAAAGGTTCCAACAGTGGTAATAATAACAGTAATAGCAATAACAATATTATCTGATCGCTCTGGGCCCCTGTTAGCCAGCTATCAATTCAGTCTCTTTCTCTGTGCCTTCCACCCTTACTGAGTTCTCCGAAAAACAAGTGAGAGCCAGGTGCAGTGGCACATGCCTGTAATCCCAGCTACTTAGGAGGCTGAGGCAGAAGAATCGCTTGAAGCCGGGAGGCGGAGGTTGCGGTGGGGTGAGATCGCGCCATTGCACTCCAGCCTGGGCAACAAGAGCGAAACTCCATCTCAAAAAAAAAAAAAAAAAGAAAAGAAAAACAAATGACACCACGGGTTTGGAAACGCCTTGAGAACATGTCGGGTGTGACGGAGAGGAGCAAGTGTTACTGTGGAGTATCAGTGTAGCTGTCGTTACTGGTCGTCCAGCTGCTCCTCTGCCTGCTGTATCCTGACTTGACCTTTCTCTGTTTGCAGTACATCAAGGAGTTAACAAAGGAGAGGGAAGCCATGAGTCTGGAGCTGTTCAGGAACATGTAGGATAGGGGAGGGGGGGATGGGAGGTCTGAGAGCCCTTAGCGTGGGTGGTGTGCTGGGAGGTGGGGGGTACAGGTGAGCATGGTAGGGGGTCATACAGGTTTACATGTGTGTGCAGGGAAGCTCCAGTGCCGGCTGTGCCACTGACTCATGGGGTAGCCTCAGGCAACTCATGTCTTCTCTCTGGCCTGCCACCTGGGACTTTTAATTCCTGGGGTCCCTTCCAGTGCCACGGTTCTGTGGTTGTGGGGCGAGGGTAGAGGGTCGATCACCAAAGCGGTCCTTTCTGTTCTTCGTTCATTCCTTTCTCTACTGCCTCCGGCCATAGCATAACCAATAAGGAGCTGAAGGAGAAAAATGCCGAACTACAAGAAAAACTTCGACTGGTAGAAACTGAAAAGTCTGAGATCCAGCTCCACATCAAGGAGCTAAAAAGGAAACTGGAGACGGACAAAATCCCGCTGCCACAGGTGAGCGGCGGCAGCCCCGGGGGTGTGGGAGCCGCATCCGGCTGGGACATGGTCTAGGGATCATGCAGGGTGTGGGGAGGCTCCAGCCAAGAGCTGGAAAATTTGGGTCCTTGTTCTGGTCCCACCACAGAATCCTCTAGAGTGTGCTAAAAATCTACAAATTGGGACCATGCCTGGGAAATCAGAACCTCAGGGTTACGGCTTAAAATTTCTTTTTAAAGAATCATAGACGAAAACCGTTATTTTATAGATTACATTTATATACCTAGCTTATGACTCTATTTCCTTTTGAGGTTCAAACCAACACTTTGCAGGAGAAGATGTGGAGGCAGGAGGAGGAGCTACGGGATCAGGAGGAGCTACGGGATCAGGAGAAGCTACGGAAGCACGAGGAGAAGATGTGGAGACAGGAGCAGAGGCTGCGGGACCAGGAGAAGGAGCTGCGGGAGCAGGAGCAGCAGATGCAGGAGCAGGAGGAGCAGATGCGGAAGCAGGAGGAGCAGATGCGGAAGCAGGAGGAGCAGATGCGGAAGCAGGAGGAGCAGATGCGGAAGCAGGAGGAGCAGATGCGGAAGCAGGAGGAGCAGATGCGGAAGCAGGAGGAGCAGATGGGGAAGCAGGAGGAGCAGATGGGGGAGCAGGAGGAGCAGATGCGGAAGCAGGAGAAGCAGATGCTGAAGCAGAAGGAGCAGATGCGGAAGCAGGAGGAGCAGATGTGGAAGCAGGAGGAGCAGATAGGGGAGCAGGAGGAGCAGATGCGGAAGCAGGAGGAGCAGATGTGGAAGCAGGAGGAGCAGATAGGGGAGCAGGAGGAGCAGATGCGAAAGCAGGAGGAGCAGATGTGGAAGCAGGAGGAGCAGATGGGGGAGCAGATGAGGAAGCAGGAGGAGCAGATGGGGGAGCAGGAGGAGCAGATCCGGAAGCAGGAGGAGCAGATGGGGGAGCAGGAGGAGCAGATGCGGAAGCAGGAGGAGCAGATGGGGGAGCAGGAGGAGCAGATGCGGAAGCAGGAGGAGCAGATGGGGGAGCAGGAGGAGCAGATGAGGAAGCAGGAGGAGCAGATGGGGGAGCAGGAGGAGCAGATGGGGGAGCAGGAGGAGCAGATGCGGAAGCAGGTGGAGAGGCTGCAATTCAAGGAGGAGAGGCTGTGGGATGAGTATGAGAAGATGCAGGAGGAGGAGGAGAAGATCCGGAGGCAGGTGGAGAAGAGGCGGGAGAAGAAGGAGAGGATGGGAGAGCAGGAGAAGACGCAGGAGGAGCGGTGCTCAGAGCCCTGCCTCCCTCCCTCCAAATATCCTTCTGATATGAGCCACCCTGGCAGCCTGGAGCCTGCACGAGAGGCCGGGAAGGGTTATTCCCATGACAACCGCACTGCACAGATCATGCAGCTGCCCCCTGGAATGAAGAACGCCCAGGAGCGCCCAGGCTTAGGCAGCACCTCCTGCATCCCATTCTTCTACGGAGGAGACAAGAAAAAGATCAAGATCATCAGTATCTAAAAAGAACGGTCAACAAGGCCTACAGAAGTGTAAGCCGCCATGTGACCTTGTGAATACAGTCTGAGAACAAACTTGAAAAAAAGAAAATTTATTTTAAATTGTGGCAAAATACTGGCCGGGCACGGTGGCCTGCACCTGTAATCACACCACTTTGGGAGGCCTAGGCGGGTGGATCACCAATCCCAGCTACGTGGGAGGTTGAGGTTGCAGTGAGCTGAGATCACACCACTGCACTCCAGGCTGGGTGACAGAGTGAAACTCCCATTTCAAAAAAAAAAAAAAAAATTCTACCTGAGGACTCTAATATCTATGTATGTTTCTATTGTTTTTTTTGTTTGTTTTCTCCTTTTGTCTTGCGTTGTCTTGTCTTATGGCATGCCTAGTAAAGTTTTATCTGCCTCCAGAGAGTACTGACTTTGACTTTATGGCACACAATTGGCGTTCAAGCAGATCGCCTTCATCTAGTTTGGGACTAAGCTGGCTCAAAGCAGGTTTTAGTTTTTGTGACAGCTGGTCTATTTTTTATTCTTTTGGACTCTTAGGGGTGGCCCTTCCAGGATCCCCACCAAGGTCTCATCTCCTTACTGGGACCCAAATTCTCATTATGTCATTTCAGCCCTGTGAGAGTGCCAAACATTCAGCTAGGCTCTCCAGCCTCTTAACTATCACTTCATACTCAGTTTCTTAGCCTCTTAGCCCTCTACTGTTGACCGATCACCAAATGTGGGAAAAGCACTAAGGACTGTCAGGATCACCTCCTAGGCCTGGTCACTCAAGTCCTGGCTGAGGTCCCCAATTACCTTCCAACAATTGTTTTTGATGGTGGGGGGAAGGGGGGACACATTTTTGTCCAGTTTTTCTAACTGTTCCTGTGGGGAGGCTAGTCTATAACAAGCTACTCTGCCTTTAATGAATGTTGAAAACCTTTTTTTTTTTTTTTTTTTGAGATGGAGTCTCACTCTGTTGCCCAGGCTCTAGTGCAGTGGTGCAATCTCTGCTCACTGTAACCTCCACCTCCTGGGTTCAAGCAATTCTCCTGCCTCAGCCTCCCAAGTAGCTGGGATTACACGCATATGCCACCACCCCTGGCTAATTTTTATATTTTTAGTAGAGACGGGATTTCACCATGTTGTCCAGGCTGGTCTCGAGCTCCTGACTCATGTGATCTACCCGCCTCGGCCTCCCCAAGTGCTGGGATTACAGGCGTGTGCCACTGCATCCAGCCCATCTGTCTTTTTAAAAATGTTTCTAATTTGAGGTATAATTTATATTCCGTGAAATGCACAGATCTGGTTTACATTTTGATGACTTTTAACAAATGCATTACCCATGTAACCCACCTCCTTTGAAGATATGGAACATTTTATCATCCACAAAGTTCTCCTGTGCTTTCATCCTGTCCGGCACTCCCCCAGCAGCTGATGAACATGCTGAGGACATTGGTACAGGATTCTGGCCTCCCCAAAAGAGCTGCTTTGACAAGCCTGCTTGCCTTACCCAGCACTAAGGGTTCTCTCAAAATTTCCATCTTTAAACTGCTTGTACCTATAACCCTCCCACATCAAATCCATAGATAAACCAGCCCACAGCCTAATATTTACTGTATACCCAAGCTTTCAGAAATACGACTCCCAGGAGTGGGGACTGGTGGCTGCATCCCCTCCTCCTCCTGGAAGCCTCTACCAGCCTACAGAGCCCACAGAGTAGATCTCACCAGGCAGCCTGAGCCTGAAAGTGCCGTGGAGCCTCCTGCCGGTTCACCCTCACTACGGTGGCAGCTGCACGGGAGCACCTGGGCTCACTCATTAAGCAAGAAGACATTGGCTTGATACTGACACTCCAACCCCAGCCTGGGCGAGCCTGGCTGAAAGGCCCCTTCCTTCTGGTCAGACTGTGGGGAGACGCGGCGGAGCATACACACTCTACTGCCCTCCTCATGCTTCAGCTGTGCTTCCTTCTTAACAGAGGGAGCCGCTCATGGATTTGGCCAAAGCCTTCCCGAGGGCTGTAGGTTTGACAGGCTGGGTGTGTAGGGGCCACCGTGCTAGAGAGAGAGACTGGTGTGTCAGAAGGCAGCCACCTGGCCAGAGGGGGGTCAATCCCCTTGGTAACCTCCTTCCCCCAGCTGGACACAGAGCCCTGCACTCTCCACATGTGACTGCTCCCCTCAGAGCTGCCACCAGAAGAGGGGTTCTAACCCTGTGGGTGAGGACATTGTGTTACTTTACAGTGGGCCATGGCTCCCTCTGACATCTCCAACTCAGAGGCAGTAGAGAGAAGATGAGAAATTCCCTGCGCCTCTAGTCCTAGCTACTTGAGAGGCTGAGGCAAGAAGGTCACTGGAGCCCAGGAGTTCAAGGCTGCAGTGAGCTATGATTACATCAACGCATTCCAGCCTGAGCGACAGAGTGAGACCCAATCTCAAAAACAACAATAATAAGTTAAACATAAATCTAACTACCACATTATTGGCCAGGTGCAGTGGCTCACACCTGTAATCCCAGCAATTTGGGAGGCTGAGGCGGGTGGATCACGAGGTTAGGAGATGGAGACCATCATGGCTAACACGGTGAAACCCAGTCTCTACTAAAAATACAAAAAAATTAGCCAGGCATGGTGGCGGGCGCCTGTAGTCCCAGCTACTCAGGAAGCTGAGGCAGGAGAATTGCGTGAACCCGAGAGGCGGAGCTTGCTGTGAGCTGAGACGGCGCCACGGCACTCCAGCCTGGGTGACAGCGAGATGCCATCTCAAAAAAAATAAATATGTAAGCATTCCACATTATTGACCAATTCCACTCCTAGGTATAGACACAAAGAATTAAAAGCAGACACTCAAGACACTCGTAAACCAATGTTCATAGCAGCATTACTCACAACAGTCAAGAGATGAAAGCAACCTGATTGCCCACTGATGAAGGGATAACATGTGGCTTACATATATAATGGAATAGCATTGAGCCTTTAAAAGAAAATTCTGACACATGCGGATGAACCCCAAACACCTAAGAAGTTCAATAACCCAGTCACAAAAGGACAAATACTGTATGATTCCCCTTATAGGAGACACCTTGAGTAGTCAAATTCTGAGACAAAAGTAGAATGGTGGTTGCCTGGGGACAGAAGGAGTTAGTGTTTCATGGATACGGAGTTTCAGTTGGAGAAAGGGCAAAAGTTGTAGAGATGGATGGTGGTGATGGCTGGGCAATAATGTGAATATACTTAATGCCAATGAACTGTACACATAAAAATGATTAAAATGGCAAGTTTTACGGTATGTATATTTTACCACGATATTTAAATTTTTTTAATTACATTTTTTAAAATTGTTACCAAAAAATACGAATAATCCATCCAAGTTATTTAGAAAAGGAGCGTCAGATCAAGCTTTCCAAAGTGCCAAAACTCAGATTACCTGGTTGCTTGACCCACACCCAGGTCTCCAGAATTGACTTGGCCCTATATACAGGTGCAGGAGTTTCGTCTTCATTTTTTTTCTCTTTGTCATTCAGATCTTCTTTCTTTGTTCCACTTGGTTCGACACTACCATCTGCAGAATTAAAAAATTTCTTAATCTGTCACCGCTTTTCAGAATGTCATACCATTAGTCTCTGCAAATGTCCCTCCCCGAAAAGTTACAACACACATGATTAACTGAATGGCATGCGGTGTCCCCCACCCCAGGGCTGTGAGCATGCGTGACTAATAAACTGCTATTTCATCTGTCCAGTGTCGGTGTCCTACGTTCAGCCATCCCATATCCCTAGGGCAGGAATCTTCTAGGGTTATAAACAGAACTTTAATCAACCTCTCCTTGGTTATTTTACTGGTTCCATGATACAGCTTTTTCCGTGCAAAAGATCTGAACAGAAACTTCACAGAGGATACAAGAGTGGCAAAGAAGAACACGATATTCAGCATTCTTAGCCATTACGGAAGTGCAAATTAAAACCACAATGAGATCCCACTAGACTTGTTAGAATGGCTCAACTAAAAAACACTGATAACACCAAGTGCTAACAAAGACACAGAGCAACAGAAACGTGACAGATTGCCAGTGGGAATGCAAACTAAAACAGCCACTTCGGAAAACAGTTCAGCACATGACCCAACTTTCACACTACTAGGTCTTTATCCTAGGGAAATGGAAACTATATTCACATAAAATCTGTATAGTAATGCTCACAGCAGGATTACAATTGGGAAAGAAAAATGGAAACAACCACAAGGTCCTACAATGGCAGAATGGATAAACACCATGTGGTACATCCAAATGATGAAATACCATTCAGCAATAAAAAGAACTATTAATACACAGAACAGCACATAAATCTCAAACATATAACTGGGAGTAAATGAAGATGGTTTCAAAATGTTACTTAAAATATGGTTCCACTCACATGACATTCTCAAAAAGAATACCCCATACTGATGGAGAACAGATCCGTGGTTGCCAGGGTATGAGACCAGGGAACACGTGATAAAAAGGAGCAGCACAAGGGAGCTTTTGGGGTGAAGAAAATTCTCCATCCTGATGATGATGGGGGTTACATGAATCTATAGAGGTCAAAATTTACTGAACTACATACCACAATAAAATAAATTTCATATAAGTTTTTTAATAAAAATATGTTGGCTGGGGGGGTGCGGTGGCTCACACCTGTAATCCCAGCACTTTGGGAGGCCGAGGCGGGTGGATCACAAGGTCAGGAGTTCGACACCAGCCTGGCCAACATGGTGAAACCCTGTCTCTACTAAAAATACAAAAATTACCCAGGCTTGGTGGCACGTGCCTGTAATCCCAGCTACTTGGGAGGCTGAGGCAGGAGAATGGCTTGAACCTGGAAGGCGGAGGTTGCAGTGAGCCGAGATCACACCATTGCACTCCAGCCTGGACCACCGAGTGAGACTTCATCTCAGGAAAAAAAAAAAAAAAAAAAGAAGAAGAAGGAAAATATCTAGGTCCAGGGAGGACAGCTGGAATACAGTCTGGTGGAATCATGTCAGAGCAGGGAGCTGGGTCTGGAGGGCTGGAGCAGGGTGCGGCCCCACTCTAGGAAGGAACTAGGAAAGGCATCCTGGGTGAAGCAAGAGCAGAGTCCCGTTCTGCAACAGGTGAGCATTTATCCTGATCTGAGAAACTACATGCAAATTTAATACGTCTCACTTAGCCTCTTATTTTCCTTAACAGCATGGAAAATGAGAGGACAAACAATTCAGAAGGTTAAGACATGAAATACATTTAATTCAGAAATCATACACAGAAAGGTAGGAAATGAATGGGGGAAAAAAGCAGCTAATGGAAAGTGAAAATGGGCCAGATGTGGTGGCTCACTCCTGTAATCCCACCACGTTGGGAGGCCGAGGTGGGCGGATCACTTGAGGTCAGGAGTTTGAGACTGGCCTGGCCAACATGGTGAAACCCGATCTCTACTAAAAATATCAAAATTGGCCCGGCATGGTGGCAGCCACCTGTAATCCCAGCAGCCCGAGAGGCTGAGGCAGGAGAATTGCTTGAACCTGGGAGGCAGAGGTTGCAGTGAGCTGGAATCTCGCCACTGGACTCCAGCCTGTACAACAGAGTAGGACTCTGTCTCAAAAAAAAAAAAAAAAAGTGAAAATAACCTAACATGTACTATGCAAAGCATCTGGCCTAACAACAATACATTACCCTTTTAAATCTTTACAAACAACCTTGAAGGAGGCAGGCTTTGTTGTCTCCAGTTTACCAAGGTAGATAGACATCTTGGGTCACAGAATACACAGCAGAACCCAGCCAGGAACACAGCTCAGGTGAGAACACAGGTGCTGGCTCTAAATGCCAGACTCTGCCCTACGTGTGTGTATGTGTGTGTGTGTTTGGGGTCACTAACCACAGCCCAGGGGCCAAACCCAGCCCACAGCCTCTTTGTGTATGGTCTGAACGCAGAGAAAGTATTTTATTTTTGTTGTTCTTTTGAGACAGAGTCTTGGCTCATCACAACCTCTGCCTCCCAGGCTCAAACGATTCTCCCAGGTTCAAGTGATTCTCCTGCCTCAGCCTCCGAGGAGCTGGGATTACAGGCGTGCATCACCATGCCCGGCTAATTTTTTGTTTTTAGTAGAGATGGGGTTTCACCATGTTGGCCAGGCTGGTCTCGAACTCCTGACCTCAGGTGATCCGCCTGCCTCAGCCTCTAAAAGTGCTGGGATTACAGATGTGAGCCACCACGCCCGGCCACTGTATTTTATATTTTTTAATAACTGAAAAACAATCAAAAGAAAAACAGTATTTTGTGACTTGCAAACATTCTGTGGACTTCATCTTTTGGTGTCCATAAATACACTTTACAGAATGAACGTCCCCTGCCCGCTGACGTGGTATTGTCTGTGGCTACTTTGGCACTAAATCTGCAAGGTCTCATGGCTATGACAGAGACCATAGGGTCCAGTGAGACCTTAAAATATTTACTATCTGGCCCTTTAGAGAAAGTAGGCCACCCCTACCCTACAGCTGGCTATAAATTTTACATATTAAAAAAATGCAACATTCTTAATTTTAATCTCAGTACACTGGAACACTGCTCATCTCCCTTCTTCAAGATGAAAAGCTTCGACAGTCACCAGGAAGCAGACAAGAACCCTAAGTACACCTCAAGAGTTATTCTCAGGAGCATAAATTACAACACTTTACAACAGCAAAAGCAGGATGAAGTCACTGGAGGCCACGAAAACAACCAAGAGTAATTAGCACCACCAGCTCAAAGACCACACCACATCAACTTCAAAGTTGTCTACTCTTCCTTTCACTACTGTAGGGTTCAAAGTATACATAGAGAAAATCGAACACATACTACCCAAACACATTGCTTATGGAATGCTGCAGAGAAGGGAAGCGAGACCTCCCATTGGCCAGGTGTGGTGGCTCATGCCTGTAATCCCAGCACTTTGAGAGGCCAATGTGGGAGGATCACTTGCACCCAGGAGATCAAGACCAGCCTGGCCAACACAGCAAAACCCCATCTCTACTAAAAATACAAAATACGGCTAGGCGTGGTAGCTCACATCTGTAATCCTAGCACTTTGGGAAGCCAAGGTGAGGGGATCACTTGAGGTCAGGAGTTCCACAGCAGCCTGGCCAACATAGTGATACCCCATCTCTACTAAAAATGTGGCTCACACCTGTAATCCCAGCACTTTGGGAGACCGAGGCGGGTGGATCACAAGGTCAGGAATTCGAGACCAGCCTGACCAACATGGTGAAACCTCGTCTCTACTAAAAATTCAAAAATTTGCCGGGCATGCTGGCGTGCACCTGTAATCCCAGCTACTCAGGAGGCTGAGGCAGAGGATCGCTTGAACCTGAAAGGCGGAGGGTAGTGGTGGCGGGCACCTCTAATGCTAGCTACTCAGGAGGCTGAGGCAGGAGAACTGCTTGAACCCAGGAGGCAGAGGTTGCAGTGAGCCAAGATCACGCCACTGCACTCCAGCCTGGGCAACAGAGCAAGACCCTGTCTCAGAAAGTAAAATAAAAAATTCATAGTCTTAATAATGGAAAACAAAAACATTTACTGAATGTCAAAACATCTCCCTAAAAACCCCAATCAGTTGGATTCTACATAAAGAACAATTATGCTCTGCTTTCTAACCATGATTTTTAAAAGAACAAAGGACAAAAAAAGTCATCAAATGTGGTCCAGGCACAGTGGCTCACACCTGTAATCCCAGCACTTTGGGAGGCCGAGGGTGGATCATGAGGTCAGGAGTTCAAGACCAGTCTGGCCACTATGGTGAAACTCTGTCTCTACTAAAAATACAAAAATTAGCTGGCCGTGGTGGAGGGCACCTGTAATCCTAACTACTCTGGAGGCTAAGGCAGAGAACTGCTTGAACCCAGGAGGCGGAGGTTGCAGTGAGCCAAGATCATGCCACTGCACTCCAGCCTGAGAGACAGAGCAAGACTCCCTCTCAAGAGGAAAAAACAGAAACAAAAATTCATGAAATGTAATAAATAAAATATACACTTTGGATTTTTCCATGTACTTAGCTTTTCTTAGAGCATCTTTTAGAATTATTGTTTCACAAAAAACACTTTGGGAAACGTTTTAATTTATTAACAAATACTGGAGGGCTAGGAAGAAGAGGTTAAAACTTTTCAAAATATACAGAATGAATTACTGATACGTGTTAAAAAAAAAAAAAAAAAAAGGTTGCTGACTCCTGTCATGGAAGGCACTGTCATATGGACACTCCCAGCCTCAGCATCCGGAGGTCCAGAAAGGGAAAATTTCAAGTCAGAGAGAACTCTATACATACCATTTGTTTGGAACCTTCGGCCCTTAAGATCCCAACATTATGACCTCAGTTTCAACACAATTGTCCTTAGTCCTTGTATTGGTTACAAATACAAAACAAACAGCTCAACTGAACTAACTCTTTTCTCTCCAGAAACACAAACACAAGACCTCATAAAAGGAGTGAGTTTCTAGCAGCCATAATTACTGCAACTTACTTCTCCAATTTTCCCCTCGACAGTTAACTCAACAGCTCAAAAACTATCAGTAACAAACAACAGTCACCATGATATGGTTAGGAGTGTAGCAGATTTCTCAACCAGTAATAATAATTAAGAAAAAAATTTTCCCTATTAATAAATCTCATTTCCTGCACTTGCAAGAAACTAATTAAAAGGCAGCCGCGCACGATCTACAAAAACAGCCATAAAGACTGTTACATTTTAAGTTACAGGAAACAAACCTGCTCCTCTAATATAGCAAGATACAACTGACTTCCCCTTACATACCCTAAAAAAAAGCCTTACACGAGAAATTTAAACATGGAAGCAGAAATACACCAAGAAAGAGACATGTCAAACCCCACCTGTATATCTGTTTTCAACCATTCGGTGTCAAGGCGAGCCTGGGCAGCCAAACACAAAGATTCAGAGGGCATCTTTTCTCCAGCTTCCTCCCAGGTCTCAGGCCTGCAAGTAAACACACATGTTGAAGACCTAACGCTTCTTAATATTTTACAAAGACACTCCCGAAAGGTTTAATGCAGGAAAAAAAAAAGAGACAGAGAACAAAAAGATGGGAGAGAAGAGCTGGGGGACGGGAGTGAAGTGGAGAGAGGGAAAGAGGGAACAGATGGAGGGAGAGGGAGGTGGGGAAGGGAAAGCCGCCTTCCAAGGTAGGCAGGGTGTGCCTGGTTTCTCAGGAGGCCAGATCACAATGTCATCCCCCTGCCCTCAAATCCAAAAGGTACACACACACGACAGAAAGCCCATCGTTTTTTGTTTTGTTTTGAGATGGAGTCTCCCTCTGTCACCCAGGCTTGAGTGCAGTGGCGGAATCTCAGCTCACTGCAAGCACCACCTCCCGGGTTCACACCATTGTCCTGCCTCAGCCTCCCGAGTAGCTGGGACTGCAGGCGCCCACCACCACGCCCAACTAATTTTTTGTATTTTTAGTAGAGACAGCGTTTCGCCGTGTTAGCCAGGATGATCTCGATCTCCTGGCCTCGTGATCCGCCCGCCTCGGCCTCCCAAAGTGCTGGGATTACAGGCTTGAGCCACCGCGCCTGGCCAAGAAGCCCACAGTTTGAACGACAAATGACAGCAGCATGAATCTGCCGCTTTACCCTACAGCAGGGCGCCTGCGTGAAACAAATTACTCAAAAGGATCACCTGCAGAAAAACCCACAGCCACCACCACTTAGAGACGGAGAGAGACCGGAGGCTGAGCCGCGGGCGGTCCGCGCAGGCCCCCGTTCGGCCGCCCGCCAACCCCGCGCCCGCACCTCCTCCGACGCTGGCAGCCCCGGTGCCCCAGGCCGGGACCTGACGCGCAGGGCCCAGGCGCCTCGCCCCGCTGGCTTGCGGACACAGCCTCCTAGCAGCCGCTGGCTCAGGCGCCGCCAGGGATCCTGATGCCTCTCGCAACCCCAGCCACCCGCGCTTAGGGCCAATCGCAAGGCGGCTCCGTGGGCGCAGCCAATGGGGAAGAGGAGCGCTTCGCCGCTCCTCTGGACTCTCCCGCTTCGTGCAATGCGGTTTATCTTCCTACTTGGGAGCCTACCGGCTGAGGCCAGGGGGCAACCGCAGGCGCCAGAAGGCGGGATTTCCGCGGCACGCACGCACACCCGCACTCCTACGGAAGTCAGTTTCTCACCACCTGAATTATTTGAACTTAGCACCACTAAACGTGGAGCAATCAGGTACAGAGTGCTTCCAGATCTCATGTAATAGAAATCACTGACATCATCTATTTTTTTTTTTGAGACAGAGTCTCATTGCGTCGCCGAGACTGGAGTGCAGTGGCATGGTATCGGCTCACTACAACCTCCACCTCCCGGGTTTAGGTGCCTCAGCCTTCCGAGTAGCTGGGATTACAGGCATCTGTCACCACACCCGGCTAATTTTTGTACTTTCAGTAGTGACGGGGTTTCATCATGTTGGCCAGGCTGGTCACGAACTCCTGACCTCTGGTGATCTGCCCGCCTCAGCCTCCCAAAGTTCTGGGATTACAGGTGTGAGCCACCGTGCCCGGCCTATTTCATATTTTAAATATTAGAAAAGTAGAACTTGGCCAGGTGTGGTGGCTCACACCTGTAGTCTTGGCACTTTGGGAGGCTGAAGTGGGAGGATCGCTTGAGCCCGGGAGTTCAAGACCAGCCTGGGCAACATAACAAGACCCTGTCTATTCAAAAAATAAAATTAGCCAGGTGAGGTGGCACGTGCCTGTGGTCCCAGCTACTCGGGAGGCTGAGGCAGGAGAATCGCTTGAACCCCAGAGGCGGAGGTTGCAGTGAGCCGAGATCGTGCTACCGCACTCCAGCCTGGGAGGCAGAGCCAGACTCCGTCTCAAAATAATAATAAGCAGCAGCAGCAGCAGCAGCAGCAGCTTCGGCGGTGGAGGGCCACCCCCGGGCATTGGCCACCTGTGGAGTGACCTGGCTCTTGGCTCCCTGGCAGCCAGCTTCTGGGTCAGGCATCTTCGTTGGTGACTGCCCCTTCAGCTCTCCTGGTGTGGCCGTGAGTGGTGTGGCACTGCCGTGACCCATCTTTTTGTCTTAAAGATGCATCCTGACTTACCTCCACACTTGCACACTCAAGAATGCAACATCGTGATTAACTTGCTAAAAGAATATCACAAAAATCATAGCATTCGAAAATTTTTTGGTCATTGCAATGATCTGGATCAGGCAATGAGAAAATAAATGCTTGAAGAATGAGTACATGGAAAAGAGGACCAAGAGCAGAGAGTATGGCAATTTGATGCAAAAGAGACTTTTTTTTTTTTTTTTTTTTTTTTTTTGAGACGGAGTCTTGCTCTTTCACCAGAGCAAGTGCAGTGGCTCAATCTTGGCCCACTGCAACCTCCGCCTCCTGGGTTCAAGCAATTCTCCTGCCTCAGCCTCCCATGTAGCTGGGACAATAGGCCTGTGCCACCACACCCAGCTAATTTTTGTATTTTTAGTAGAGACAGGGTTTCACCATGTTGGCCATGGCCAGGATGGTCTCGATCTCTTGACCTTGTGATCTGCCTGCCTCAGCCTCCCAAAGTGCTGGGATTACAGGTGTGAGTTGCTGTGTCCAGCCGCAAAAGAGACTTTTTAATTCTCCAGAGGAATCTGAAAAATAAATTGCATTTTCACTGGATGCCTTGGCTGAGAGAAGACCAAAAGGCTATGGGTTGGCCCGGGCATGGTGGCTCACACCTGTAATCCCAGCACTTTCGGATGCCGAGGTGGGTGCATCACCTGAGGTCAGGAGTTCAAGACCAGCCTGACCAGTATGGTGAAACGCTGTCTTTACTAAAAATACAAAAATTAGCCAGGCGTGGTGGCATGGGCCTGTAGTCCCAGCTACTCGCAGGCTGAGACAGGAGAATCTCTTGAACCCAAGAGGCAGAGGTTGCAATGAGCCGAGATCACGCCACTGCACTCCAGCCTGGGTGACAGAGCGAGACTCCGTCTCAAAAAAAAAAAAAAGAAAAAGAAAACGCAGAGTGCATAGCACATGGTAGATACTGACACTGCACTGAGTCTCTTACACACATCGTCTCATTTTACTCTCACAAAACCCCAGGAGTTTGGTATCTTTATTCTAATTTTTGAGAAACTGAGGCTCAAAAATATTAGGGATATGTCCAAGGTCACACAATGAGTAATTTGTAGATCTGAAATGCAGACAGATCTCTCATTCTGAGCCAAGCGCTTTGACAGCACAGAAGGTAGAGAAACAAAAGTTCCCTGTGGAGTTGTGGGATGCTTATTGAAGGTAGCTCATTTGGTGTGGAAACCAAACACAAATGTGCATTAGCGGGAGTCAAGGAGGAAGGAGGAGGGAGGGGAGTAGATAATTTCATTGCAGGCTGAAGGAGGAGAATGCTAAAGATATTAATTTGTGAAAAAAAAACTTGGCAGTTTTAGTAATTTACTGGTGTGAGGAGAAATAAAGTTAAGAGTATGAATGGTGTGGCGGCAGATCATATGAGAGGTATAGTGAAAATTTACAGAATCTGCTGACCTCAATGTCAACAAAATTAATGGGGCCCAACTCTGTACCTGTCATGACCAAGTTTTAAATTTTTCTGTAGATAGGCTGTTCCTTCCAAAGCTTAGAGATTAAGCATATATATATATACATAATTTTTTTTTTTTTTTGAGACGGAGTCTCGCTCTGTCGTCCCAGGCTAGAGTGCAATGGCATGATCTTGGCTCACTACAGCTTCCGCCTCCAGGATTCAAGCGATTCTCCTGCGTCAGCCTCCTGAGTAGCTGGGATTACAGGCACGTGCCACCATGCCTAGCTAATTTTTGTATTTTTAGTAGAGACGGGATTTCATCACGTTGGTCAGGCTGGTCTTGAACTCCTGACCTCGTGATCTGCCCGCCTCAGAATCCCAAAGTGCTGGAGTTACAGGCGTGAGCCACTGTGCCCGGCCACATTTATATATTTTTAATTGAAGCCACTAGACCTCAGCATGTGGTCTAAACAAAGGCTCTTCTCCTAGTTCAGTCCATTTTCCATATCAGGTTCTCCAAAGGATGAACCCAAGAGGTTCTTGTTAGCTGAAGACAAAGTGAAAGGCTGACGATGACATGCAAATTTAGTAGAGCAAAGAATACACATTTATAGTAGAATAATACAAGAATTTTTTCCTTTCTACCATACAAAAAAAATAATGCTTACAATGCAGGTACATTAATTTTATATTAAAAATATCCTTAGGTTGACCTCTGATGTTTTGCTTTTGCACCTGCCATAAGCCTTAAGGCATTTGGCATTCCCATTTTCACAAACCTAATTTAGTAGACTAAATAGCTATGCTAAGCATTTCACTTGCTTTCTATTATTCTTTGGCTGTAGACTATCACATAATGTGAGTGTTATTGATTTTATACATGTTAATTTCTCCTACCACGTACTATAGCAAGCTATACCTTTAGCATTTTTTTTTAGGTTTTTGGCTTATAGGAAGGTATCTCCTAAACCATAAAACTTATCCCATATTATTCTTTTTTTCATAATTTATTTATTGAGCTTTGCTGTATGTAGCTTTCTGAAGTAGATTTTATAGTTTAGAATTGTTGCTTTCCTTTTTTAATCTTTCACTCTTCATTTTTATTGAGTTATGAATTAACTATCTTTATTGTAGCGGTAAAACCATTTGTAATAGTCATAGTTTGATTGAGTGTACATAAATAAATAAAACCCCTGCGTTAAACTGGGAAGTGACATCAGCCTCTTTTTATTTTTTCATTTAAATTCTGAAAACACATGGAGATGAGTGTCCTTCGTTTCTACCTTAAATGGGTTGTTACAACTGAAGGTAATAGGGTCAGTCAGTTAGCACAAAACAAATGGGCAGCTACACACAAAGAACATTTTAAAGATAAAACATGGGTATTTAGAAGGTTGCTTCCATATGTGCTATGAGTTATGTATGAGTATCAAGGAGAGAAGACAGTAACAACTACCTGGTAATCATTTATGCTCTTATGGAGAACGAGCGGTGACTCCATAATGTCCCCAAAATGAGGCAACAGTCTGTCACTGTAGCAAATGATGAGAGGGCCCTTGAGCTAGCAGGCTGGGGCACATTCTACAACCCCTTTCCTTTGTCCTGTAGGAAATTCAACTTTCACATATGAGAAATACTAAAGGAATTTTCTCAGCATTCACATAAAAATACTCTTAAGAATAAAGATAAAAAAGGAATATATCAACTCTTGTAATAACTAGAAACATGTTGCTACAAAACAGATGAAAAAAGGAATGAACATTTATACATTCCAACATAAATTTTAAGGGTGTAATAAAACATAAAGAGACCATGAAGTGAAATGCAAGAGAATGGGGAAGAGATAGCCAGAAAGTGCAATAGCAACTGGCAGAATCCATGAAAGAAATAGGATTTAAAAACAAAATCATTGTAGAAAAAAAAAAAAAAACTAAATTGTAAAGAGAACAAGGGAGACTGAACCCCAAATAATGTAAGGGTCGTAAAGGGTGTGAGAGAAGAATATGTAGTAAGTCCTCTCCCCGTCCAAAAATCCAAAAACTGTAAAACATAGGATAGAATTAGAAAAAAGTTATTGCCTATATTAAGACAAGATAGATCATCATAAGCACATATATTTACATTACTGTGTAGTATATGCTTATGTATGTTATTAGAATGTTCAACACCAAGATATATCTGTGTATGGGACTAGGACTTTAAAGATTAAGAAAGCATTATGTGAGGGCTTAAGCAAAAATTGTCAACTTAGAGAAAAAGAAAATCATTTTGGCATCAGAGTTTTCCACAGCAAAAGTTAACACCAGAAAATGGGGGGAAATATTGAGAAAGAAGAGAAGGGAGAAGCAAATGGTTATCCTTATCCTTGCAAGATATCTATCAGCTATAAAGTGTACAGTTATAAGCACCCATAATTCAGGGAACACTTTACAGAAAGTTCTTATTAAGAGAGTTACCACAGGACAAAGTTCAATCAACCTAGTTCTGAGTAGGTAAAATACTACCAGTAAGGCAAGAGGTAAGCATTCAATGCGTCATATATAGATTTAAGGGATACATGGTGTAGAAGATGTAAAAAGATATTTTACTGATGATTCTGATAATGTACAAATGATTCAACTGTAACAACCAGGAGGAGAGAGTAAAAGAAAGGGGAAAGTAGGAATTAGCTCCCTGATTGCCTCGTCTATAATAGCTGAGAGTAATGGGTTCATTTTAAATCTCAAAATTTGCCCATAATAGTATGAAAACATTAAGTGGCACAAAGGCAAATATTAAGAAATATCCTGCCACAAAAATCAAATAGTTCAGGAGAAGTTGAGAAAGTGAAAATAGCACAGAGTCTAATTTAATTGCCACTCATTGTGGGGAACCATTAGGTATTATCTAAATAAATGGAGAAAAATATAAATGCAGGTAAAATTACAAAAATAACAACCAGAAAACTACATCTTTCTTATCAATAAAAATAAATTATCATTTAACAATATAAAATATTTAATAATAATAAATACTAAATTTTACAATACATATACAAGAAATACACCAAAAGCAAATATAGCCAAATTTTTTAAAAATAAAATGGTCAACAAATACCAAACAGACAAATGCTAACAAATGAATTATCAACCTATTTTTATTGTCTTCTCCTTGCTTATTTTTTTAAATTCCTTTTTAAAATTTTGTTTAGATATTTAAAATTACTTTTTATATTATTTTCTCTAATAATTCTAACCTTCTGGTTTTGTTTCTCGACATTTCTGCTGTTTCTATCACAATATCTATTTTCCTTGAGTGTTTTCTTGTTGGTGGTGGTTCTTTTCTGGTTTTTATTTGTTTTGTTTGTTTGTTTTGGTTTTGATTGAAAGAAATACAACAATGGAAGCTCACACTACTGCAGGGTGCTTCTCCAGATTTTGCCTATCACTCATAATTCTACTTTTATTTACTTTTCAGATTCCTCAGTTAGTTGCTTATTGTACTTTTCATAGTTTTAGTCGTAATCAACATTTAAGATAGGCTACAGGGAGCTTATCCTGCCACAAAATACGAGAAATCCATCTTTTTTTTTTGTTTCTTAAAAAAAGTCATTTTGAACTTGTAATTTGTAGGAAGGAACGCAGATTTAGAGGCATACATTTTCCATGACATGGAAAAATCATTTAACAATGTTAAGTCTCTATTTCAGCAAATACAGAAAAGATATGATTCACAGGACAAGAAAGCTGACAGTTAAGAACTTACATGCAAAGGCATTTCGACAAATAATATAATCCATCCTACTCCTAAGAGAGGAAAATTTGTATTAATGAAACTTCTACCAGGTATCACTTTCACCTCAGTTAATCCACAAACATTAAATCAGCAACATTTTGTGATAAACCATATCCAAAAGAGTTAATTGATGAAATGTCATTAATAGAACAGCAGTTATCCATGATTCAGTAAAAATTCATCAATCACCCATACAACAAACTTAATTCCATCTTATACTAAGCACATACACTACACTGAAAACTGTCAACTTCTGATGATCTAAAAATGTCTCTTCTATGACCATGTGATCACAATGAAATAAAGAATACAGAAAATTCATAGATGGTCAGTTAAAAAAAAGCTTCCGTGAAGCAATAAACTTTCCTTAAAAATGCCAAAATAGTAACATAGACTGCATGATATAACACTCATTTTACTGACATAATCTGTTGAGGCATTTTGTTAATCAAATACTTTCTTTTATATATACTTATAAATGTCATACCAGAATTACACATTTTCTAATGAAATACAAAAGCATAAAAGAATCGTATTCATAAGTTGATTTTAATCATTGTCTCGGTTCAATATTACAAACAAGTGTAATTATGGTACAAGTACAAAACAAATGGTGATTAAAGCATGTCAGAAAACAGATGTTCCTGCATACAGATGGACAATCCAATTAATACTTCTCAAATAGAAAACAGCTATTTACTCCTTACTAATGAATGATATAATTATTTATTATTAATGCAGCTTGGTTTTTTAATGTCTCCATGAAGAGCTTAAATATAATTTTCCTAAAGATGCATTTGGGCCGGGCGCCGAGGCTCAGGCCTGTAATCCCAGCACTTTGGAAGGCCAAGGCAGGCGGATCACGAGGTCAGGAGATCGAGACCATCCTGGCTAACGTGGTGAAAACCCATCTCTACTAAAAGTACAAAAAAATTAGCTAGGCGTGGTGGCGGGCGCTTGTAGTCCCAGCTATTCGGGAGGCTGAGGCAGGAGAATGGCGGGAACCTGGGAGGTGGAGCTTGCAGTGAGCTGAGATTGCGCCACTGCACTTCAGCCTGGGCGACAGAAAGAGACTCCATCTCAAAAAAATAAAAATACATACATACATACATACATACATACATACATAAATAAGAAAAAAGATGTATTTGGATGGTTAATGTATTTTTAATGTATAATCATCTATTGTAGTTAAAAGATGATCAAATGTGCTGATTCACTCAGTGTCTATGTTTCAAATGCAGGACTTAAGGAACAATTTGCCATAAGCCACCAACTTATTGTTTTCTTTTAAATTATATATCTAACATGCATACATACACACACAATATATATATATATATACACAAAACATTAATAATGATGAAAATTTTGAGAATCATGAAGAATGGTATATATGTAATACATATGTTTTTTTCACAAGTTTTCCAACTACTCTACTTTTTTTTTTAGTAGAATACATTAGATACTACAAAAGAAATGAAAACAAAATGATGTGGAATAGCATGTAAACAATAGAAAGAAGTTTTTGAAGATTGTTACAACACAGCTTCCCTAGCTAATAATACCTGAGAAAACCTGCACATGTAGCATATATGTGTCGCTACCTTTTAGCATATATAATGGATTTATTAATATTTCTTCATTGCATTGATGAGATGAATAAATACAATAGTATGTATAAATACCTAGACCTTTGCTGGGTATATAGGAAATATTGTGTTAAAATAGAACTCTTCTATCTTTCTACAGAAATACACTATGCAGTGATTACTTCTGGCTGTGATACATAAAAACAGGCAAATCCCAATAGAGAAAAAATATGTATTCATGATACATGATTTGGATTTTTCCAAAGAACAAAAACTATGAATTGGGTTGCAAGGATTTCCTGTTAAGACAACAGTAGGAATAAAGACATGGAGTAGAAGATACACACATTGAGTAGGTTTAACAGGCCTAAGCAAAAGATGCACATAATGAAACATCAGGAGAACAGACTAGAAATTCCTCTAAGCCTGTTGTGAGAGCCAAAGAAAATACATCTGGATTTGACTGTTGATAATGAGGAATTTCTGAAAGGTTGACCTATCACAGTTCTGAAAAAATGCTTCTAAACAAACCAGATTCCTTTGTCAAATAGATAAGGGAAATTATGGATATGTAATGCCACTTTAGAAATTTCAAATGCACATTAACAAAGCAACAGCAAAAAGCAAACCCCATTTAACTTTGTTTAACCTAGATTTTATGAACTTATTTACTAAGCAAACTCTCCCATCTGTATTTCCCTACTTGTAATTCTTATTAAGAATCACTGTTTTGGTGTCATTGGAATTTACTTAAGAGAAATGCGGTCTAACCTCTGCTTTAAGAAGACAACTCTGGCAGAACTATCAATTGGAAAAAAGGAGAGTTTAGATGCTAGGAGGCCATTATAATAGCTCACTTGGGAGCTAATCTGTGCATGACTCTGATGGGAGAAAATAAAATTGAGAAAAAGGCATGCATTGGAGGCAACAATCCTTGGAATGTGATTGACCGTAGAGAATAATGAATGTGGAAGACCCAGAACAGGCTTTAAACAAACTTTCAGATTCTTGCCAATCTGAAAAATATTACTTCAGACTAATTTTGATTTGTATTTTATAATGAATGAGGGTATTCATTTTTTTTCATTTATTTAAGAGCTATTTGTATTTCCTTGTCTGCAAAATTCTATTTGCGTCTTTTCCTCAGTTGTCTATTGGGTTTTCTTCTTGTTCATTTCTAGGAGTTCTTTTCTAAATAAAGTAAATTAGCCTTTTGCCTGTGAATAAGTTTCAAATATTGGATCCCCAATTTGTCATATCCTGACTCTGTTTATCATATTTCTATGAGAAACTTATTCTTTTCTTTTTTTTAATGGCTTCTGGATTTTAAGTAGGAGTTATTAGATCCTGCCCATCCCAGCTTTATTAAGGAATTCTCCTCCATTCTATTTTATACTTTATATTTCATTTACAAATTTCAAGTTTGGTCCACTCAGAACTTACTCTGGTATAAAGATAACTTTTATTTTCTAAATGGCTGGGCAGTTGACTACAACCTCTTCTGGTTGGTTGAAGATCTTTTACACTAAATTCACACATGTATTTGAATCTATTTCTATTTTCTATTCTGTCTTTGTCTAATCATGTACCAGTACCACTGTGTTTTAATTAAAGATGGTATTATATACCTTATTATCTGGTAGAACTAGTATCCCTTCACTACTCTTTTTATTGTTTTCCTGGCTGACCTTGTTTCTTTTTCTACTTGAACTTTAGGATCAACTTGTCTAATTCCAAATGAAAAGCTGATTTTTTTTTAATCAAAAGCATGTTGAATGCATATGTTTATTTCTTTTTATTTATTTATTTTTTTTGAGACGGAGTCTCACTGTGTCGCCCAGGCCGGAGTACAGTGGCACGATCTCGGCTCACTGCAAGCTCTGCCTCCCGGGTTCACACCATTCTCCTGTCTCAGCCTCCCGAGTAGCTGGAACTACAGGCGCCCACCACCACGCCCGGCTAATTTTTTTTATTTTTAGTAGAGACGGGGTTTCACCGTGTTAGCCAGGATGGTCTCGATCTCCTGACCTCGTGATCCGCCTGCCTCGGCCTCCCAAAGTGCTGGGATTACAGGCGTGAGCCACTGCGCCCGGCCGTATATGTTTATTTCTTTATTTATGTTTGTTATTAGAGATAGGGTCTCACTGCTGCCCAGACTGGAGTACCGTGGCTATTTATAGGTACAATCATAGCGCACTACAACCTAGAATTCCAGGGCTCAAACCATCCTCCCACTTCAATCTCCCAAGTAGATGGGACTAGAAGTGCATGCCATCACGCCCAGTTGATACATAAGTTAACTGAGAGTTGACATCTTGATGAAGTTGAGTCATCCTATCCAAGAACATGCTTTTTAACTTGCTCAAGCCTTCTTTTGTGTCCTTGAAATAGTTTTTTCTTCACACAGGTCTCATATATGACAAACTTATATTTTATATTTTATCCTTTTTGTTGCTACCGTAAGTGGGTCTCTTCATCTTATCCTCTATAGGTTTATTTACATGAAAGCCACTGATTTCTACAAATTATTTTTATGATCAACAACTTCAGTAATAATTATTTTATTATTTGCAGAGTTTTGGGGTTCTCTTGGGTTTTCAAGTAGTTGTACAATCATAATGTCTGTAAATAGTGCTAGTTTTACTTCTTCCTTTCCAATTTTTAAATTTCTCTCTCACGTGATTGTCTTGGCTGGTACTGCAGTATAGTATTTAAAAATAGTGCTGACAGTGACATTTGTTGTCTGTTCTTGACTTCAGAGGGAACTGTTTATAGTGCTTCTCCATTAATCACTGTACTGAGTTTTGGGCAGAAATATATACACACACATACATATATATTTTTTCATGTTACGGAAGCATCTATCTTCTATCTATTCTTATTTTACTGAGTATCAGAACACTCATTTTCTTAAATGCTTCTGCCTCATCTATTAAGACAAGCCTGTAATCTTTCCTTTGACATGAAAACACTGAATACTGAATACTGGAATAAATGCCCCCCTCCCCTTGGTCAATAATTATTTTTTAACGTCCTGGTGACTATTACTGGCAAATACTTTATTTAGGACTTTTGCATCCATATTCATAACTGAAACTGGTCTGTAGACTGTTTTGTATTAATCTTTGTTAGGTTTTTTTTATCTTTAAGACTAATATGGAGAATACTCATCTTTTTTTAGGCTGGGGGGGTGGCTCACACCTGTAATTCCAATCACCTGAGGTCAGGAGTTCGAGACCAGCCTGGCCAACATGGCAAAACCCTGTCTCTACTAAAAATACAAAAATTAGCCAGGCGTGGTGGTGCACACCTGTAATGCCAGCTACTTGGGAAGCTGAGGCAGAAGAATTGCTTGAACCCGGGAGGCGGAGGTTGCAGTGAGCGAAGATTGCATCATTGCACTCCAGCCTGGGCGACAGAGCAAAACTCTATCTAAAAAAAAGTCACCTTTTTTAAAACATTTAGAACCATTTTTAAAACATTCTAATTATTTGCTTTTTATAGGTTTAGTAGAAATATTCTAAAAACAACTCACCTGCTCTTTCTTAGAGGTAGAAGAAAATAACTTCTCTCATGAACATGAGCAGAGAGGTGAATGAACATGAACATGAACAGAGAGATGAATAAAGATCTAGTTGGCTGAAAGGGTCATCGGTATAAGACTCTTTCAGCTCTTTATATTTATTACTAATGAATATATGGCTTTTTATGCACCCGAAGGACAGTTTGGATATAAAATCTTTAGCATGTATTTACTATATGATATAAAATCTTTAGCTCATATTTACTATCCTTGAGATTACAGCAATCACTCCACTCTCTTCTGGCATACAGAGCTGCCAGCCTAATTTTTTTCACCTTTTTATATACTGGTTTGATTGTTTTGCCTGACTGCCTAAAGGATTCTGCCATTACCTTTTAAGGCCAATAATTTATATGCCTTGATGCTGACAGTTCTTGATCAATTTCCCCTACCATGTGATATCCTCTTTCAACAACCTTCACTTGTTTTAAGAAAATGTTCTTGAGTATCATGAAATAAGTGCTCTGTTTACAGAAAGTTAAATAACTGTTCTGTCTGGTTTTTCTTCTTTGAGAGAAATTCAGTTTTGCCCATATTAGATCTTCTGTGCCCATCTTCTCTCTAATCCTTTCTCATTCTTTCTTGACTTTGGTTTCATTTTAATTTCCTCATTTCTACTCTGTGTTCCTGTGTGTTCTTCAGTGTTTACTCGCCCTTTGTGCTCTTTCCCATGTCGTGGTTTGATTCTTCCCTTCTACTTCTTTCCTGAATTCTGACACCTCACATCTTACCACTTCCTGTTTTCTTACCATATTCCTGCAGTTCTGGAATTTCTGCTCCAAGTGTTCCTTAGAGGAGCAGTCCCCAAACCTTTATGGCATCAGGGACCGGTCTCATGCAAGACAATTTTTCCACAGGGGAGCGGAAGATGATTTCAGGATGAAACTGTTCCACCTCAGATCATCAGGCATTAGTCAGAGTCTCCTAAGCAACGCACAACCTAGATCCCTTACACGGGCAGTTCACAATAGGGTTTGCGCTCCTATGAGAATCTAATGCTGAGGCTGACCTGACAGGAGGTGGGGCTCAGGCAGTAATACTCGCCCAGCCGCCGGCCTGTCTGCCACCCACCTCCTGCTGTGCAGCCCAGTTCCTAACAGGCCACGAACCAGTACCAGTCCATGGCCCCAGGACTGGGGACCCCGGCCTTAGAATGACTGCCTTCTTACATTTGTTGTTGTTGTTCTTTTTGTTTAGTTCATGGTCAGACGTTTGCTCATAATTTTCACCTATTCTGTGACAATATTATTTTGGTAAATATTCTTCATCTATGAAGTTTTATTAAATTTTGTTAATGTTTTTCACCTTTTATCAGCGCTGTGCTACTCCGTGTTGATTACTCAGCAGGAAATGAGTCGTATGTTAACTGGCCCTGCTTTCTCAGCAGCCTCCTCTGAAAGTGATTTTGCTGGTATTCTCTGAGCTATTCACGGCGTCTCCTCCATGTTCTATAGCTCTAGTTTTATGTAAGGAACCTATTTGCCACTTCAAAATAAATTGCTTGTATTTACTGGCACTTCCTGAGATCTGCCACCTGAACTGTTTTATCATTTCTGTGACCTCACTGTACTTCCTGCATCTAGAGTTTCTGCTTCTTTTCATCCTTTCATTCCCAGACTGTGCAGCTGTTTACTTGTTGCTTTGTAAAATACTCTATCTAGTTCCTTCTTCCATGAGAAAAGGAGGGAAACTGCTCTCATACTACCAAGTTCACACCAAAAGTCTCCACATGATTTTTTAAAAGAAAATTCTTAAGTACAATTTGATACACAAAACAGACTTACTTTAAGAGTTCATCTCTTTCTGTCTTCCATGCCAAAACTATATCGCTGCATTTGTTCTGGAACCTGACCAGGATTTCAGTCAACTCATTGTAAAACTATAAGCAAAGAACAAATACAAGTAATGAACAAGAACAATTTTTTAATCCAGAGAGTAATGTGATCTAAAGCTAATTTGTCAATGACAGTTAAAGCCGAAGAACTGAGATCTGCATGAGATACATCCATACAATTTACTAGGCCCAACAACTTAATATTAAATATGATCTAAGACTCCTAAAGAAAATAAAAATAATAAAATCATTTTTATAGAACATTATCATCAAAAATGTAACAAGTTAAAAGTTTCATGATCATGAAAATCTTCCTAATTCCTAGAGAAAAGTCAATTGTTTAATAACATGAAACCTATTTAAGTGGAAGGATTAGGTTTTCAAATTCACTACAGAAATGCAAGCATACTCCCCATCAAAAAGTGGGCAAAGGATATGAACAGACACTTCTCAAAAGAAGACATTTATGCAGCCAAAAACACATGAAAAAATGCTCATCATCACTGGCCATCAAAGAAATGCAAATCAAAACCACAGTGAGATACCATCTCACACCAGTTAGAACGGCGATCATTAAAAAGTCAGGAAACAACAAGTGCTGGAGAGGATGTGGAGAAATAGGAACACTTTTACACTGTTGGTGGGACTGTAAACTAGTTCAACCATTGTGGAAGTCGGTGTGGTGATTCCTCAGGGATCTAGAACTAGAAATACCATTTGACCCAGCCATCCCATTACTGGGTATATACCCAAAGGATTATAAATCATGCTGCTATAAAGACACATGCACTCATATGTTTACTGCGGCACTATTCACAATAGCAAAGACTTGGAACCAACCCAAATGTCCAACAATGATAGACTGGATTAAGAAAATGTGGCACATATACACCATGGAATACTATGCAGCCATAAAAAATGATGAGTTCATGTCCTTTGTAGGGACATGGATGAAGCTGGAAACCATCATTCTCAGCAAACTATTGCAAGGACAAAAAACCAAACACTGCACGTTCTCACTCATAGGTGGGAATTGAACAATGAGAATACATGGACACAGGAAAGGGAACATCACACACCGGGGACTGTTGTGGGATGGGGGGAGGGGGGAGGGATAGCATTAGGAGATATACCTAATGCTAAATGACGAGTTAATGGGTGCAGCACACCAACATGGCACATGTATACATATGTAACAAACCTGCACGTTGTGCACATGTACCCTAAAACTTAAAGTATAAAAAAAAAAAAAAAAAGAAATGCAAGCATACTTCAGAAACCCTTAAAAGAATTTCTAAAGGCTCTCTGGAGGGTTTTCTCAGCTTACCTATTTAAACAAAGCATTTTAAACCAAGTTAAAATGGCATTTTACCATCCTCTCTATTTGGAAGGCTTTGCAGTATTTTCACCCTCTCTTCAGAGGGTTTTACATTTTAGCTACTGTATTTATATCAAGGTAACTTTATTCAGTGATTATTATGAAGTTAAGTACCAAAAGGAATTATGCATCTGAGAAAACTTAAAAATCACTGTTCCCTCAAAAACAAATTGGTAAAAACAAATATAAGTGAATTCCCTAAACTTTTTAAAGGACAAGGCAAGAAAGTACTTACATATTCAGCAAGCCTTCTGACACTTGGGCAGGCCACAAGTCTGTCCTCAGCAAACCACCACACAGAATATAAAAGTCATGCCCGCCCAGCTTTTCCATCACAAATCAGCTTTGACTACTCCTGTCCCCTCAAAATTCATCAAATTAATCAACTTCCTATCCCTTAAAAAGGTGTCATTGACATCTCTGCTAATTCCTGCTACCTGGAATATTTGTACCCCTTTTCTGCCAGTTGAAATATGCAATTCATTCTTCAAGGTTCCCATGAAATGTTGCCACCTTCATTAAGCTTTCTCCCTCCTGTAACAAACTTCGCAGAGGCAATGGCATTAAAGCTAACATTCCAGGCAAAGAGTAATTTGGTTCAACTGGAAATACCATTTAACTTCCAACCTATACGTTCACATCTGTACTTGCTAGCTATGGTTCCTTTTGCATGTACTTCATACCTTTGTGCCTTCCTTCGAATTAGCTACAAGTTCAACAAAGTTGTCACATGCAGTAGCTAAATTCTTCAAAACTTCTTCTCTTAAGTTAGCTTCATTATTAGATTGCTTCATTTTCGAAAATTCCTGATGTGAGACCTTGTTAAAAGAAAGATTTATGTATTTACATTTACTTATAAAATATGGCTCATAACATTTTTATTGATCTTTTCCAATTATGAAAATCATATGTAATTAAATACATATGCAAAATTACTAGAAATACCTAGTATACTCTTTTGAAGCCTCATTATGCTTTAAATCTTTCTTAAGTAAAAATTTCAAAAATCCAATAGAAGTCAAAACAACCAATAATGATCACAGATTTCTATTAGTATATAACACTTGCAAAAAATATAACATGAAAATTATTTTACCTTTTGGAATATTTTATATCATATATAGATACAATGTTTAGGAGTAGAAATATATGTTTAATTTTGCACATTAACTATGAAAAGGGCAAACTTTCAAGTCTTTGTTAGTCCAAACTACCTATCTGTAAACACGAAAACTAACTTCAAACTTCTCAACATATTTAGTTTGCATTATTTTTTTAAAAAATGACTGAAGTCTGTATGTATGTTAGCCGTATAATTAAAGGTATCAGTAATTCCAACTAATTTCGATTTTCCTCCCGTATGGAAAAAAAAAACAAAGCTATTAAAAACTTGAAACCATGAAAAATATCAGAAGTATCAAGCACTCCTAAGTAATATGCAACATTTTAGCCATAGAAATGACTTTGTTTCTGCCGGGCGTGGTGGCTCACGTCTGTAATCCCAGCACTTTGGGAGGCCAAGGAGGGAGGATCAGGAGGTCAGGAGATGGAGACCATCCTGGCTAACACGGTGAAATCCCGTCTCTACTAAAAATACAAAAAATTAGCAGGGCGTGGTGGCGGGCGCCTGTAGTCCCAGCTACTCGGGCGGCTGAGGCGGGAGAATGGTGTGAACCCGGGAGGCGGAGCTTGCAGTGAGCCAAGATCGCACCACTGCACTCCAGCCTGGGCGACAGAACGAGACTCCATCTCAAAAAAAAAAAAAAAAAAAAAAAAACAAGGAGTGACTTGGTTTCATAGACACAAATAAAACTGATATGCCAAGTTTAATTTTACAAAATATATATGTATTAAGTTCTACTCTCAACTACAGATATTCTCCAATGTCATTTTTCTAATTGAATATAGGTTTAGTCCAGACATATCTTTTCTGTAATTTTTAAAACATAGATGTTATTAAATACATAAATTTCACCTGAATATTTTTAAGAAGTCCCTCCTGTTTCTTTAGAGATTCTTGGACTTTAGTTGTAAGACCTCCATAGACTCGATCTAGTTCAGTAACAGAAAGAGCTTCTTCATTTATCATGCCATCTTGAGCCAGGGCTGTCAAAAACTTGCTTGTCATGTCAAAATTCACAGATTTCAAGTCATTCTCCAGACCCTCTCTTTCCTTCTTTACTTCATCAAGATTTGACAATAAGGATTTTAAGACATTTACAACCTAAACAATAAAAAAGACACTTTAGTTTAACTGAAAAAAAAAGCCAATTTCAAGAAGGAAATAATATATAAAGGTTCATTTGGGCTGAGAGAGAGATGAGTTCTCAGAGAGCCAAATATAAATTGAACATCAGGTTTATGTAGATAGACACTGTACCTTCAGTTGACTCATATTAAAACAAAAGCAGCATTAATAACAGTAGCCAACAGCTACAATTTACTGAACTCCTATGTGTTAGGCACCATGCTAAACACTTCAGAAATATAATTTTATGTATTCCTTACAATACCCCATGGGGTATATATATTTATGACCTCTCTTCCAAAGATAGGGATAACGAGTCTCAAAAAAATTAAGTGACATGGTTATACAGTTACTAAGGGGCAGAGGTGAAATTTGAGACCTAAGTCTGACTAGTTCCAAAACCAATCTCTTAGCCACTCTACACTCTACTCCCTCCCAATCATGGCTGTGAAGCAGGGGAAGGTATGATTTTGCTACGTAAGTAGATATCCTATTTTGCCTAGAGAGACTGACAGACAGAGATATAGAGAAATAGAGGTGAAGATAGAAATAGAGATAGTTATGAAGCAAGCATGGTAGATGGAGAAAGAAATAGAGAAAGACACAGATATAAAGGTATATACCACATTTATTTTATACACCGGGAGAGGAAAAGGAAAGAGGGTTCTTGTGCCTCTCTTCATAGCATTAAGAGTTTTAGGCCAGATGTAGAGGTTCATACCTGCAATCCCAGCACTTTAGGAGGATCACCTGAGCCTAGGAGTTCGAGACCAGCCTAGGCAACAAAGTGAGACCCCCATTTCTACATTAAAAAAAAATTAGTTGGGTGCAATGGTGTGTACCTGCAGTCACAGCTACTCCAGAGGCTGAGGCAGGAGGATTGCTTCAGCCCAGGGGGTCAAGGCTGCAGTGAGCCATGATCATGCCACTGCACTCCAGCCTGGGTGACAGAGAGAAACCCTGTCTCAAAACAAAATACAAAAACAAAACAGAGATTTATCTCTTGTATTCAGTCAAGACACTCTCTGACTTATACCCACCTGATTCATAAATACCCCTTTATATTCATAGTGTTCAAGTGCCTTCTAATGAGCACTTTCAAGCTGCCCCTTTCACTCATCTCTTCATACTTTGCTAGGACCACCAAGAACATCAACCCAATCTCCCTATTCTGCTTGCCCCAATGATGCTCATAGAAAGAAAACAGGGGGAAAGACAAAGGGAAGAAGAGGACATCATGAGCCCTGTCTCCACCCCTGTCTTTCTCATTACCAGCAGCAAGTCCAGTTCCCATGATCCCCCTACCAACTGCCTGTTTCTAAAAATTCCTACCCTACTCTTTCTTCCACAGTCTTAGTTAACTCCTTGATAGGAACGTCCAAAGTAACATCCCTTTGTGAAGACCAGAGACTCGAGGTTTCTGCTAAATGTAGGCGAATTTCCTTTTTGGCCTCATTTACATCTATATCTTCTAAACATCCTAATTTTAAAATGGAAGGAAAGGAAAGGAAGAGAAGGGGGAGGGGGACAAGAGAGGAAGGAAGGGGGAAGGGAAGGAGAGAGGGAGGGAGAGAAAGAAGAGGGTACAGGGGAGAAGGCTGTGGAAAGGGAAAGAAATATGATTCCTAGAGTCTAGAAAGCATCAAACCACAGAAACTCTAAAAGGAAGGAGGAGGAGAAAGAATCATACGTGGGTGGATATGACAAAGTCTGTTTAAAGACCTAGTAGAACTTGATATCAGACGATGTGAATAAAAGTTTCCTTCCAAGTGACTTCCAGGACATATTATTAAATGAGAAAAAAAGGGTACAAAAGCATATATAGTGTGCTGCATTTTGAGTAAGACAGAAGGAAAATCAGAAAATAAATATACACATACATAATATGTACATATGTATACATATGTATGCATAATTTTGGGGGAGGTTGGGTTTTTTGTTTGTTGTTGTTCTTCCAAAAAGAAAATCAGTAAGGACAAACCAGAAACTAACGGATATGATTACTTACAGGAAGTATACAGGAAAGAAGTAGAAGGAAAAGGAATGAGGCTTACTCTGCATGTACCTTTTGAATCATGAACATTTTTTACACACTCAGAAAACAAGATTAAGTCAAAACTTGAATATGGAAACAAATGAACTAATGGTCTATCAAAGTGAAACGTAATTACACAAAAAAAACGTAATTACATAGAAAATTAAAAACACTTCAACTCTGACTATACTCCCTTAGAGACCATAATGGGCTTAGTGACTGTGCAATCAAGGACAGGTTACTACTTAGAAAACTCAATTTTCGCAGCTGCAAAATGGGCATAATAGTACCTATTTCAGGACTGTTGTGAAGACTGAGATAATCTATATAAAGTGCTCAACATAACTTCTAACAAAGGGTAAGTATTCAGTCATATTACCTAGATTAGGAAGAAAAGCTTACCGCAACTTCCATGGTATCCAACCAGACTGATACAGAAGCTTTCTAACCAGACTGATACAGAGGGCCAAATAGTTAACAAATCCTGTGATATTCAAAAATGCAATAATTCTAACTTTCTGGGGAAAAAAATGCCATTTCAAACAACGAATTTATGAACAAACTTGTGGACTACCACACAAAGATAGAGATCCCTTATATTACGAACATCTTTTAAAAAAATTCATATGCAGTGCACTAGTTTAACATATTTCAGATTATATGACACTCGCCTCATTTTAACAGAGTAAATGAAGTAGAAAATGAATTAAACTGCTTCCACAAATGAATGACCACGATAATAAGAAAACCACTGCCTAAATTTTCTTCTAAATTCAAATTTGAGGTTTAACATGTTATCAAAGTATATAAATAATTAGAATCCTAGCATATTTATTTCTTATACACAGCTCCAGCTACCTTTCAACTGCAATTAAATGTATCCCTTTATTAAGTTAAGGCTGCCAGCGATGACCATTCAAACAAATGCTTTTTGTTTTGGGACCATTCTAGATGCCATGGACACGACTACTAACAAAAACAGTCTTTTCCTTCATTTGGGGACCAGAGAGGATTAAATAAATATGGAAAGGGGAGGATTAAACAAATACACAAAAATAGAATAATGTGGGTAGACAATGACAAAGATGGAGAAGAGGTGACATCTGAGACTAATGAAAAAGAGGTAATAGCCATGGAAATGGGAAGAAAGCCCTGCACAGAAGGAAACGCAAATATAACAGTCCTGTGGCAGGCACAAGCTTGGCAGGATCAAAGGAAAGAAAAAAAGGCCACTCTGGCTGAAGCATAGTAAACAAAAGGCAGAACAGGAGATGAGGTCAAACAGAATGGCAGGAACGGCATCACCTAGGCTGTCAATACTTTGTCTTTCAGATCAGGAACTTACAAACTTTTTTGGTAAAGGACCAAACAGAAAATATTTTTGCCTCAGTAGGCCACAGTCTCTGTTCCAACTCTTTAACTCTGCTTTGTAGTATGAAAGACAATGTGTAAATGAATGAGCGCAGCTATGTTTCAACAAAAATGTATTAACACTGAAATCTGAATTTTATATAATGCCCACATATTAAAACATTCGTTTGACTTTTTTTTAGCCATTTAAAAAATGAAGTAGAAAGTAGAGTTTTATATTTAAAAAATGTAAAACTCATTTTTAGCTCCCAGGCCATACAAAGAGAAGAGGCAGAGGATTCGGCCCACAAGCCACAGGTTCCTGACCCGAGTTTTAGATTTAAAACCCTCTGTGGCATTTAACAGCACCAAGTACAATATAAGCCGTAAGAAATGCCCTCAATGGGCCGGGCGCGGTGGCTCATGCCTGTAATCCCAGCACTTTGGGAGGCCAAGGCAAGTGGATCACGAGGTCAAGAGATCGAGACCACCCTGGCCAACATGGTGAAACCCTGTCTCTACTAAATATACGAAAATTAGCTGGGCATAGTAGCGCATGCCTACAGTCCCAGCTACTCGGGAGGCTGAGGCAGGAGAATTGCTTGAACCCAGGAGGCAGAGGTTGCAGTGAGCCAAGATTGCACCACTGCACTCCAGCCTGGGTGACAGAGCAAGACTCCGTCCCCCCACGGCCAAAAAAAAAAAGAAAGAAAGAAATGCCCTCAATGAAATCTTCTATTTTACTTTTATAACCTTGTCATTTTATTTTCAGAAAAGGCAAATAAGCAACTATGTCTACACCAACGAAAGCAGAAACTTGATACATTTACCCTACACTAAAGGTAACCTAGAGGAGTTTTTTGTCTCTCTATGTTAGGGACCAAGGTACTCAGCACAGTTCTGGAATAGCAGGCCTTCAAAAAACACTTGGTGAGTAAATAAATAAACAGATTCCAGCCATTCTCAACATGTCTATAAACTTTCTGTCATGAGAAATCAGGAGTAAAAGCTGTGTTTGCAGATCCTCCACTAGTCTGTGAATCCAAAAAAGGCACTCCTCTGGGAGGGCACACAGTTTTAAACAGTTCTCTTTATGCTCTACCTCTAAGGAGATAAAGGGTTTTTTTTTTTTTTTAAAGGTACCCCCTCCGTTACTTCCAGCAGATGTAACACTTTGAGTAAAATTGAACATCATCCTTGTGCAAAAAAATAGATGTTCCTTCCCCTGGCTAGACTCAGCCCCATATACATTAGGGCCAAGGCTTGGCCAGCCAACCACAGACCAGACTTCAGGCCACAGTAGATCATAGGCAACCAATCACAAGCAGTGATCCTAGGTATTTAATACAAAAATCTTGAAATACAAATGACCACTAGTCTGCAAAATTTTTCAGAGTATCTCAATATCTAAAACCAGATGCCCAAAGAGACTGAAAATAAGTAACTAGAAAGTAGGCTACTTCACAATAAAAGAAAAAACAGCCCTACCATCAAACTTGGACTTTTTAATAAAACATATACATTGCATCACTCTAATCAGCAATCAAAAAACTGAGTTTTTATCATAAAAATTCTGGCTAAAATGCGTCATCAACTATTATGACAACCATCTGAAATAGCTCTGATAAACCTGATGCTTGCCTTATTTGATTAAGGCACACGACAAACGAATATATAGAGAGTACTGAAATTTTGTGGTTACCCCATCAAGAACTCTAGCTTCCAAAAAATTACTTCATATTGACTATAAAAGTTCCTTTCTCCTGTGTAACACAAGTAAGGATTAATAAAACTGATACAACTGAATAAAATATCAACAAATCAGTGCATACTAATGCAGATTTTGCTTAGCACAAACCATTTTTACTTTTCTACTGAAAGCAGAAGAATCAAAGGGCAAAAGCCACATAATTCTGAGTCACGTACAAGACACCAAAAAGAATACAAAGAGAGTACTAAACAGAGATCTTTTTCTAAAATAAAAAAGGTACCAGAATGTATTGCTCTTCCAAGGGTCTACAGTTTCTTCTTCGGGTTCTTTGTTGCTCACAAGTTAATCTTCTGACCACCTCCCTTTTCTCCGCTATGTCCTCAAAGCAACAACTCACATTCCCTGTTCCACTGGGTTCCCCCGTTAGATTCAGGTTCAATGCACATTCAACTACGTAGCCTTCTCTTCCCTTTGAGAGGTGCCCGGTACCTGTGCATTTACCCTACACTAAAGGTAACCCAGAGCAGTTTTTTGTCTCTTTATGTTAGGGACCAAGGTGCTCAGCACTGCTCTGGAATAGCAGGCCTTCAAACACTTGGTGAATAAATAAATAAACAAGCAGATTCCAGCCATTCTCAACATGTCTGTAAACCTTCTGTCATGAGAAATCAGGAGTAAAAGCTGTGTTTGCAGATCCTCTGTGCCTCGGATAACTCTCTAGACACAGCCACTACTCAGCCCTTCTCCGATCCTACACGTTTACTTTTTCTGCCTATCCACTCTGTCCTCATAATGTGCCAATCTCTTAAGAAGCCTCTGAAGAGAACTACTCCAAATTACTGAAATTTAAGTACTTCATCTAAATCCTCATAACATACTTCTATACTTTCCCTGTGACATTTTTAAACTTCTTCCCTATATTACAGTCATCCTTGTACATGACTAATATTCCACAATGGATCATAAATTGAGGGTAAAGCCTGTGTATAATTTGTATGTTAATTTTCCAATGTACCTACCATAGTGCCTTACACAGAGCAGATATCCAGTAGGTCTTGGAATACATATATGAAACATATAAAATGCATCTGTGGAAAGACAAATAAGAAACAAAACTCATACTTTTCAGAACTTACTATCCCAGGAAATTCACTTTTTTCAAGAAGTTTTCAGCAGTATTTCTTGCCCTTTGGCTTGTTTTCCTGTGCAGAGATTTGGGACCTCTATCTTTTCCTACTAACTTACCCTACCTCCCCATGATAGGCCATTAAATTATAGTTGCACTTTCTCTTAGGACTTTCCAAATCAGATGCCCTACTATTCAATTTTCTCTTTCCTGTCATCAGTAGAAACACCATGACGGAGCTATCCATTTATTAACACGCACACCTTGCCAATCTTCCTTTCAAAGGTAGTCCCGGGGAAACAAGGTGGAAGGGAGTAGAGAACAATGGAAGAAATAAAGAATTTGTGTATCTGGCCATACCCAGTCCTTTCATTTCAGGAAATTTCTATACTTCCAAGCTTCTCTCTTTTATAAAACCCAAATTAAATACTGTTGACCTATGAAGTATCTAAAATTTAGTTCAAAAAAGGGCATTCAATAAATGGAAGTGACTATTACAGGATAGTTAATATTAGTATAATTTCCTATTACACAGTCTATATACTACTTTAAATATAACAACCCCAATTTATTTCTGCATTTTTTTAAAGATGACAATAAGGAATTGGCAGTGCATTATATAAAATGGCTTGAATGTGGTTTTCTTAAGCAGATGACAACCCACATCAAAGTGCCCTTCTCACCTCACTGCCCTGCATGGTCTTTGCTGGATTAGCAGAAGGGATGGCAGCATTCAGCTCAGGCTCTGGCTTACACAAAAGCACGATGGGGTCACGATGAGACGGGTAACATTCTTTCACGTGTCCATCTGCTTGCACAGCTTTATCTAAAACTGTTCTGAAGCTGGTTCCCTCTGGGAGAAAATAGGTTTGCAGAGCACAGAAGTGATTCTAACAGCAACGTGTATGGCCTGGTTATATGTTGAGTTCTAGTCTCCAACTTTACTTATCTTCCCCTTCTCTAGACCCCAATTCACTTAATCATAAAAACAGCTCCTAACAGTCTTTGCGTTCTCGTTTTTGGAAAGATGACAAAATCACTTATAAAATCAAAAGCATAGCTATACCTTAAAATACATTTGGTGGTTACTATCTGCCAAATAAAAGCTAATTAATATTAATCTTTTCCTACAACTCATGAATGTAGGAAGAAATCATTCTCTCCAAAAATTGGTCCATTTATTTTAAAAGTATTCCTCTCTCAAAAGAGCAATGTGACTTAAAAAAAAAAAGATTTTTAGAAAAATCTCAATAATATACAAACTTTTTACAAAGATAAATAAAACTAATCTCCAGCCACCATGAAGACAGCATTTATCTCAGCAAGCACAAAATCTTCATAATCAAAGTCTTAAGAAGCATAAATTTGGCCTCAAAATAACTTAAAGCTCATTTTCGTTTTACCACCCAGGATTCACTACTAAATGAAAAAAAAATTACAAAGCCATAAATATAATATGCTCTCATTTATGTTTTTAAAATATGCGCAGGGGCCAGGCATGGTGATTCAAGCCTGTAATCTCATCACTTTGGGAAGTGGAGGCAGGTGGATCACTTGAGCCCAGGAGTTCAAGACGAGCCAGGGCAACACGGTAAAACCTCGTCTCTGCAAAAAATACAAAAATTAGCCAGGCGTGGTAGCACATGTCTACGGTGTCAGCTACTCAGGAGGCTGAGGTAGAAGCATTGACTGAGCCCTGGAGGTTGGGGCTGCAGCGAGCTGTGATCCTGCCACTGCACTCCAGCCTAAGTGACAGAGCGAGACCTTGTCTCAAAAAAAAAATAAATAAAATAAAATATGCACAGAGCTTGGAACAGAAAATGAAAGTTGGAGGACCATTTTAACTTTTCCCTTTATACTGTTCTTAAGAATCTGTACTTCTGACAATTGGCAGATTACTTTTGTGAACTTTTTTAATCTTTATACTAAAACTGAGGAAAAACAATTTCGGTAAAAACGAATTTACAACTGAGCCTAATTTAATCAAGTAAAAATGTGGGTCCAAATTGGGAATTTATTCAAATGAAGGTCATTTATACACATTTTTACCTGCTTTTAAAGGCTTATACAGTTCATTGGATGATGTCCTTTGCCAGCGTTCCTTAAATTTTGCTCATAAATCATTATCGGTTGCTTCTTCTTCATCCAAAAACCTTAATGACTTTAAAAGGAAGCAAAAAGAACCCTGAAATGTCATTTCTGGATTAAAAAATTTAATGCAATTATTAAATGTTCATACACAATATAAGGGAGAATTTGGTGAGATGGGAATACTAGGTTAGAATATAAATCGACTTTTTTCTTGCAGACATCTAAGTTATAATGCATTTAACAAAAAGTCTTATAAATTTAAGGCTGAATTAGCTATCACCTTTCTCAGTAAAAAAAAAAAGGAAGAATACATGAGACTATTTACATCCATGTATCAATTTAAAGAAAGTTTTAAGATTAAAATAGATAAATAGAAGCCATAAACAAAGGGGAAAAACTGATCAATTACATTAAAAAATAAAAGATTTAGAATTTCATTCCAATACAACGAACAGAAAATTATGTTTAATATATTTTTAAATGCCTTTTAATGTGTAGATAAGATGACAGGATAGTAGGGGGCCAGAAACACAAGAAAATACTAATCTACCAGTAGACACAGTGCTAGCACCAACAATACATGACAATCCCTGATAGCTTAGGACAAAGAATAGCAAACTTCTGTCAAACACCACAGAGTAAATATTTTAGGCTTTGTGGGCCACAGTCTATGGCACATAGAATTCTTCTTTTTTGACAATGCTCTAAAAAAGATAAAAATTATCCTTAACTAGTGAACCACACAAAAGTAGGCCACAAGCCAGCACTAGCCCACCATCCATAGTTCACCAGCTGTGTAGTTCACCATTGACTTGCATTGTGAATTTAGAACATGAAAAGTCAACAAGAAACATAGGTAGGGACAATAAAAGGTGAGAGGTCAGATCAAAAGCACTCTCCACACTCAAACTGGTATACTTCCAAATAGATGATTCTCAGTGGATGAATTTTTAAAACAGAAAACGGCCCTACAGAAGAAAACATGCCTGTCTGGACCTTGGCTCTAAAGAAAAAAGAAAAAAAAAAAGAAGTATTATCTGAGATTCCTGATCAAAAGCCTGAATTTGGGACTAGAAACCACACTATTTGTGTGACACAAAGTCCTAAGATAAATTACTACTATAATTAAAAGATTATAAAAGAAAGGAAAAAGCCTCTTAAGTTTGAGGAGGTGCCAGGTATATAATGCCTTTTTATGGCAGAAGCAAACACAAATTCTTTCTAGAATTCACCTTAAACCCAGATCTCAATGAATTCCCACAAATAAATTACAGGAAATATGAATGCACAATCAAAACTCACTGAACACTAAATGCAATTCAGTATTCTGTACTGGATCTTGGAACAGAAGGAGGAACGTTGGTGGAATAACTGGTAAAATCTGAGTAATAATACTGTACCAATGTCAATTTCCTAGTTTTAACAATGTGCCACGACCGCGTAAGATTTTAACTTTCAGGGAAGCTAGGTGAAAAATATACAGGAACTTTCCACACTAAATTTGCAAAGTCTCTGTAAATCTGAAACTATTTTTTAAAGTTTTAAAAAACAGTAACAAAAAAACTGAACACAAGAGAAAACAAGCCACCATAAGCAAGAATCAGCAAAAATTACAAATCATAGAATCAAACCCACAGAAACCACAGACATTGGAATTATAAGATAAATAATATAAAATAAATATACTTAATATATTTCAAGAAATTAGGGATAAATTAAAGGGTTTAACCTTCCAGGTTAAGACAAATTAAATTAAAAAGAAAAATCTTGCTACACGCTATGTATAAAATAAATCAATAATTACAAAGACTGAACGGTTCATATGATAGTTGATTTCTCATAGTATACTAGTTTTACACAGTGGTCATTTGAGTTTCATTAATGTGTACTTACTTACCCTTAAGATAAGAATGAAACCCATTCTCACTCAACCAGAATTACTCTTATGCTAAAGAGGCGGCTCTGGGCCACAGTAAATTCACCAAAGTGATGAATACTAACTACACTGTGAGCACTAGCATGAGGAAGTCTCCAGTCCCAATCCCTGCTGGACATCAAGGGATCACAGTGTTTATACTTGAAAAGCAAATCTTATAAAACATACCTCATCTAGGATTTCTCTATTTCATTGCAGTAATTCAGGCAGTTCTTTAGTCAACTGATCAACAGTCTGGATGCCTCCCTGTTCAATCACAGATCTTGATTTAGTCAATATAGACTGAGGTACAGTGTCTCCAGACACATCTTCAATTGCTGCTGGAAGATTAAGGGAAGCTAGCACTCTGAAAAAATGAGATACTATGTTATATTGAAGTCTAAAACAATTTAACTCATCAATATTTACTTTATTTAATTTAATCTTCTATAACCAAATCAACAGCAATGGAGTTAGCACCCAGAAAAACTGGATAAGCCCTATCAATGAAAAACAAAGCAAAGATTAACAGAAAAACAAAAAAATCAGTGATTGATACAATTAAACCAAAATCATTAAAAAATTAAGTTCACAATTCAGAATTAAAAGCCAAAAAATAGGCTGGTGCAGTGGCTCACACCTGTAATCCCAGCACTTGGGAGGCCAAGGCAGGCGGATCACCTGAGGTCAGGAATTCAAGGCCAGCCTGGCCAACACGGTGAAACCCCATCTCTACTAAAAATACAAAAATTAGTCAGGCGTAGTGGTGAGCACCTATAATCCCAGCTACTTGGGAGGCTGAGGCACAAGAATCACCTGAAGCCAGGAGACGAAGGTTGCAGTGAGCTGAGATCTCACCACTGCACTCCAGCCTGGGCGACAGAGTAAGACTCAGTCTGGAAAAACAAAAAAAAAAAAGCCGAAAAATTATGACCGCATTAAAATATATTAGGTATCGTTGGCTTACAGTTCAAACTTGTTTCAGTCTAAGTAATTAAAAGTCAAAAATTCTATCCTAAAAAAGCAGTCTTTTATACTTTTGATTGTTACAGCATCTCTAACGAGTCAGAAACAATACACAAAATAGGTATTTTTTTCTTTTTTGCTCTCTTTCAACAGAATCAATAATTATAATTTCACATCATCTAGGCAAAATGTCAACAGAAGATAGATGATCTAAGTCTTCATTACAGAATCTTCATCTGCTCTCGGTTTTGTAGCACACTAACGATTCCTCAGTTATTTCATTTACATGATGGGGAAGGGAGGTACATATCCCTACCTACTATGTAAAGAAAAAAGGCAAATGAAATGATGGAATACAATGAACTCCTCAGAAAAGAAGCTCTGTAAAATCTCAGACTGCCTGTTTATCATATGCTAGAGTAAACTTACATTCCTTTCTTGTTCAAGAAAAATGATGGTAAAATCCATGCATTAATCAAAACTAAAAACATGAAAAGGCAAGCCAACCACGAGAGAAATACAGCTGGCCCCTGAACAACACAGATTTGAACTACGTGAGTCCATGTATATGTGGACTTTCACCTCTTTCACCTTTGCCACCTCTAAGACAGCAAGACCAACCCTCCTTCCTCCTCTTCTTCAGCCTACTCAAACATGAAATAGACAAGGACGAAGACCTTTATGATGATCCACTTCCATTTAATCATAGTAAATATATTTTCTCTTCCTTATGATTTTCTTAATAGCATTTTTTCTCTAGCTTATTTATTATAAGAATATACTATACAATACATATACAAAATATGTGTTAATTGACTGTTTATGTTATCAGTAAGGCTTCTGGTCAACAGCAGGCTATTAGTAGTTAAGTTTTGGGGACTCAGAAGTTATATGCAGATTTGGCTGTGCAGGGGGGTCAGCACCCATAACCCCTATGTTGTTCAGGGTCAACTATATTCTCAATCGTATGTATCTGACAAAGGACTTGCCTCCAAAATAGGTAAAGAACTCTTTAAATATTAAGAAAACTCAGTTTTAAAAACTGAGAAAAAGATTTCAATAGACACTTTACAGAAAAGATATGAATGGCTAGTAAGCACATGAAAAGCTGTTCAGTATCATTAGTAATTAGGAGAATGCAAATTAAATCACAGTGAGATTCTGCTACACACACACGAAAGCAGCTAAAACTAAAAAGACTGACGGTACCAAGTATTGGTGAGGATGCAGAACAACTGTATTTCTCAAACAGTGCAGATAGGATATAAAATGGAACAACCACTTTGGAAAACAACCTGGCAATTTCATGTAAAATTAAATATGCTAACCACACAACCTAACAATTCCACTCCTAAGTATTTACCCAAGAGAACTAAAATATGTCCACATGAAGCTTTATACACGAATGTTCATAGAAACTGAAATGTCCATTAACAGGTGAAAGAGTTAACAAACTGCTCTATAACCATAAAATGGAATACTACTCCATAACCATAAAATGGAATACTGCTCAGCCACAGAAAAGACTCAAACTGATACACATAATATAGATGAATCTCAAAAACAGTAACTAAGTGAAAAAAAGCAAAACACATTCTAAGTATATACTGTACATACTGTAAGTACTGTATATGTATATGCTAGAATGATTACATGTATTTTAAATTGTATAAAAAGTAAAACTAAACTTAAGACAGGGAGCAGATCAATAGTGGCCAGGGGCCAGGAGAAGAAGGACTGGGAAAGGGGCATGAGAGAATTTTTTTAGGGTAACAGTAATGTTCTCTATCTTAATCATAGTGCCGGTTACATGGGTACATACATTTATCAAAACTAACTAAATAGCCAGGCATGGTGGCTCATGCCTGTAATCCCAGCACTTTGGGAGGTCAAGGCAAGAGGATCACTTGAGCCCAGGAGTTCAAGACCAGGAGCCCAGGAGTTCAAGACCAGCCTGGGCAACAAAGCGAGATCTCGTCTCTATAAAAAAATGAAAAAATTAGCCAGGTGCGGTGGCTTGCACCTGTGGCCTCAGCTACACAGGAGGCTGAGGCAGGAGGATCACCTGAGCCCAGAAGGTTGAGATTGCAGTGAGCCATGTTTAATGTTTACACCACTGCACTCCAGCCTGGTGACAATAAGACCCTGTCCCAAAAAACAAAACAAAACAAACAAAAAAATATATATATACACACACATAAACATATATATACATATAATAATAATTGAACTGTGTACTTAGAATAGGTGTATTTTGTGTGTGCAAAATATACCTAAAAATTTTTTAAACCAATGAATTATTTTCTTAGTATCCAATCCATCAGAAACAAAAATTGGTTCAGAACACTAAACGTACCATGTATCTGAGTTCATTTCTACTTCTCATTTCCCCCAAATAAATATCTCTTAAAATACAAATTTTTAGTCAAACATCCTCACCTTGTTTCTATAATTTCTTCCAACTATATTTGCTAGAGCTTCACAAATACAGTGTCCACCAAAAATAGTTGTGTGTGTCTACATTTTCTATTTTATATACTCTTGACATTTAGCTCTAAGCTCAGAAACTAAAATGTTCACAAACTAAAGAACAACCAAACGGAAAACTTTAGGCTCTAAAATTAAGCTCTACCTACCCATTTGCCAAAGTGGTGGCTTCTCTCATCTGAGCAATTGATCTGTTAACAAATCGGCTTTCCTCTGATCACAGGCAGCCAAAGACTGCCACACTGACACAGGCACCATCTCCTCAAACAGATCTAAGATTAGGAAGAGAAATTACAACAAAATTTTAAGACAAAAACCCGAACTGTAAAAGTGACTGTTCATATTTTCTTTTCAATATTCACATAGTCCATACATATTTGATATTTAAAGATCAAAATATCAATAGTCTATTGACATTTAAAGATCAAAACTAAATCACTATTTAAAGCACAATGATAAAGAGAATTTTTAGATCACTACATTCACCGACAATGGTGACAATGAAAAGTTTCTTCTTTGAACTTAATTTTCTTTAACTTTTTCAGATGTGTTCATCACTGAGTTTGAGGGATCTTTAGTGACGCTGTTCATTTGTTGATTAAACTGAATGAGGGGCCGGGAGCAGTGGCTAAGGCCTGTAATCCCAGCACTTTGGGAGGCTGAGGCAGGTGCCTCACCTGAGGTCATGAGTTCAAGACCAGTCTGGCCAACTTGGAGAAACCCCATCTCTACTAAAAATACAAAAATTAGCCAGTGTAATGGTAGGAGCCTGTAGTCCCAGCTACTGGGGAGGCTGAGACAGAAGAATCGTCTGAACCCAGGAGGCGGAGGTTGCAGTGAGCCGAGATTGCACCACTGCACTGCAGCCTGGGCAATAGAGCAAGACTCGGTCTCAAAAAAAAAAAAAAAATTGACTGAGTGGGTCACGGCAGCAGGATTCCATTTCTGGCTCCAACACTTCCTAGCTATGTGACCTTGAGGAAATTACTTAACCACTCTGTGCATCAGTATCCTCATCAAACAGGGCTAACAACAGTACCCATCTCAGGGCACTTGTGAAAACTAATGAGCCAATATTTGTAAAGTGCTTAAAGAGTACCTGGCACATGGTAAACACTTTGTGTTTGCTAAATAAACACATAATCACCCTTTCCCAGTAACAGGATATTCTCCTTGGGATCTCAGCTAGAGGCTACCATCTGCTGTATACATCTACTTATACTTCCCTTCAACCTAAATAATTATACCTTTTAACCATATTGACAATAATATGGAAATATCACTCAAGAAGAACCTAACAGACCATGGAATTATAATAATTTAAACCATCCTTTTATCAAATGACATGGTCAGAACTGGAGAGGAAAGAGGGATACTAGTAACTTTTAAGTCCTCTACTAAGGTTTTTTTAATAAAAAGACTTCCAACCCACTAGAAAATATGCTTACATTTGCACATACTCCAGAAAAACTAAACATAAATAAATTCCCCACTATGAATGTGTTATAGTGTTGATGTCCTGTGTTACAGTACATGCGTGTCATGAGCTGTCAGGAAATGTGTACACCATGCAGGAGGCTGGACCCTGAGTGAGAATGACTGCCAGTAAAAACTGCCTGGCAATGGGAATGGCCAAAGAACTTTTGTCAATTGGTATGTCTAAGATTCAACTTTAAGCTGATTTCTATAGTGAGGTACAATCCTTCATTATTCTAACACTTAGGTAATGAACACATGAAAGAGAAAGAAAGAGAGAAGAGCAAGATTTAGAATCTTGATGAGAATCTGGTTTTTTGTTTGTTTTGTTTTGAGACGGAGTCTTGCTCTGTCGCCCAGGCTGGAATGCAGTGGCGCGATCTCGGCTCACTGCAAGCTCCACTTCCTGGGTTCATGCCATTCTCCTGCCTCAGCCTCCCAAGTAGCTGGGACTACAGGCACCCACCACCACACCTGGCTAATTTTTTGTATTTTTAGTAGAGACGGGGTTTCACCGTGTTAGCCAGGATGGTCTCGATCTCCTGACCTCATGATCTGCCCGTCTCAGCCTCCCAAAGTGCTGGGATTACAGGTGTGAGCCACCGTGCCAGGCCGAGAATCTTAAAAATTATGTAACTTAAGTTTCTTCCTCATTCTTTTCCAGATTCTGAATAAAGGGGTGGGTTTGAGAGATGGAAAAAAACTTAAAATCAAAAGGTAGTCTTTGAAATTAAACACCATCATACCAGCCTGTGATTTTCCAAACATAGAAAAATCTTTTTAGCCTACTTCCTTCATTACCAAGAGCAAAACAAACCAAAACAGTAGATGCTAAGGTATAAACCTGATGCCACAAATGATACAGATCCAAACAAACACAAATACACACACACACACACACAGATTCAAAAATCACAACACTATAAATCCTAGGACCAATGAATCTAATTAAATCCCTTTTGTGTAATATCCCTATTAATATAGGACTAGAAGACATTGTACACTCAAAAATCCAAAAGTCTAAATTGCTTTCACATAGTCAAAAACACAGGATTTCCACTAACTCCACCACACTACCATATGTGGCTTTAGGTAGCTCAAAACTGAATTCCAAAATGAAGTATATTTTTGAGAGTAACAACTCCCAGAGAAAAACAAGGGCACACATATAGAGTTCCATGCTCCTCAGGAACTGCTAGGTCTGATCTTGGACCCTCTCTTCTACTAGGTTCGGCCTGGATGAATGTATCTGATGAGACCCACATACCTTATCAAGAAATGGCTGGAAAAGGCTAAAATCGTTTCTCATGTTCCCATTACTACAAAGTAAAAGCATGACAAGCTCTATACTTAAGTGTTTTGACTTGGTCAAACGCTAACACCGGGTTTGCTACAGTGTAAAATTAATCTAGAATGTAATCATTGATTCCATTTTCTTTTTATTCTTAAAAAAAAAAAGGGTGGTTGGGGAAGAAATCACTGCTTTTCCATTGCGCAGGTACTTTGTGCTAGAGAGCATGTGTCATTTCTAGGGTCTCAGAAAAAGAACAGATGTATCTATGTGTAAACACAAACAGTAAGTTACAAGTTGCCCCTTAGTACTGAAGGCAAGAATCAGCATCAGTACTCAAAAAAGTGTTTTAAAAAGAGTGTAACTTACTCTTACTGACCCAGGCTAAACGGGCTCTGTCTGGTGCTTCTTTGTCTGCACATGGCCACCCACAGCCTGTCTTCTAATTAAACCAATGCTCTAGCAGCAGAACAAGCAAACAAGTTGCCTCCCATCTGCATACAGCTCTTAAGGATACATTTCCCTTGTTCAGAAGGTGGAAATTCTTGGGAGAGGTGATTTTCTCTGCCTCTTCACAAGAAGAACATGGATACTTGGCTGGATGCAACTCCATGAAGCGTAACTGTGTGTGTACACCTCAAAAAATAAAAAATGCAGAGAAACATAAAGACTCCATAAACAGCTGGAATACACAGAAATACTGAAGCACCACTGGGAATACTGCTAAACAGACAGGCAAAATAGGATCTTTGAAATCATCAATAATACCAAGTTAAGAAAAAAAAAAAGGAAAAAAGAGCACCTAAGGTCAAAACTCCAATTTCATGCAATGAAAACATTGTAAGTACTACAAAAGAAAAAAGGTAAATATTCTACTTCACATACATAGAAACACATCCCACTCCCCTTACAGAGAATAAAAGATATTATCAATGGAAAAGAAAAATGAGATTTTCAAGGGTGGTAGGTCTAAAATTAGACTCACCAGCCACATTATAGTTAATGAGCACTTACGTAAATGTGAGCTAAATGCATCAAGCTGTCGTTCCAGTGTGGTCAGCTCTACTGGGGGGCAGGGGGTGCTGGGGAAAGAGCAAGGGACCACTCTGCTTATGAAAATATAATTTCTACAAAAATAAAAACGTACAGGAAATGAGATGCTCGTTTATTTAAATAATTTTAAACTTCCCAAATCACAGAAATGACCTTAAAGTAGATGCCCCTCCTTTTTTGCAATAAAAACCAAATGACTGAAGTAGGGTAGGGAGCAGGGTGTGGTTAAGCATCTGCTCACAAGAAAACTTGTTATAAGTTTGGTGAGGGAAAAGGGAAATGTATCAGCTCTTCCCAATGTCCCCTTCCATCCTAGGTATGCCCATATGCCATCAGGAAGCCACACCATCTCCATGACCACTAGGCATTTCAAGGACTGGCAGGCCGTAGAAGTTTCTTCTATCCCCCTGAGGCACACAGACAATTCCAGCCGGAAGTATAAAGCCCAGGGGAGAGAATATGGCCTATTCCTGCAGCTGCGCAAGAGGCCTGCGCTGGGGTCCACTCACAATGAACTACTCAAGTGTGACCAACATTCCCATTCTGGAGATCCCTGCCTTAAAGAAATGCAGACCTGGCTGGGCACGGTGGCTCACACCTGTCACCCCAGCACTTTGGGAGGCCAAGGCAGATGGATCACTTGAGGCCAGGAGCTTGAGGCCAGCCTGGGCAACGTGGCAAAACCCCGTCTCTACTAAAAACACAAAAAAAATTAGCCAGGTGTGGTGGCGCACACCTGTAGTCCCAACTACTCAGGAGGCTGAGGCATGAAAATCGTTTGAACCTGGGAGGTAGAGATTGCAGTGAGCCGAGATCATACCACTGCACTCCAGCCTGGGCGACAGAGCAAGAATCTGTCTCAACAACAACAAAGATACAGACAAATGTATAACAGTATTATATATAATATAAATATATAATGAAAATACCTACTTTCTTTCTCTTACATACCAAAATATCAGTCATCTGAACAAGTTATTCTTAAAGGACTTCCCTAGAGTTTACAAGCAAGCAATATTTGTATTACACAGAGATCCAAAGACGACGAACTGTTTTTAACAGAATGACTAAAAACTTGGCCCAATATAATCTGCCCTATAAACGCTAAAGCATTTGGACAAGAAACGAGTTTTAACCATGAATTAGCATCTCCCCTGACCATAGGGAGCTTTAAAGCATGAATTAAGTGAATAAAAAACTTCACAGTCCATTTTTAATAACAGAAGTTCAACAAAAGATTTTTAACAAAGGAACCTGTATAATTTGCCTTTTACTACATAAAACGTAAAAGCTATTCCTATCACTATTCTTTTTTTTTTTTTTCTTTTAGACGGAGTCTCAGTCCGTAGCCCAAGCTGGAGTGCAGTGGTGCAGTCTCAGTGCAGTCTCAGCTCACTGCAACCTCTGCCTCCTGGGTCCCAGTTCAAGCAATTCTTCTGCCTCAGCCTCTCAACTAGCTGGGATTACAGGAACGCGCCACCATGCCCAGCTAATTTTTGTATTTTTATTAGAGATGGGGTTTCACCATATTGGCCAGGCTGGTCTTGATCTCCTGACCTCGTGATGCGTCCGCTTCGGCCTCCCAAAGTGCTGGGATTACAGGCGTGAGCCACTGTGCCCAGCCCCTATCACTATTCTTAATACACGGTATTCTACCTACCAAAATAATCAGTTTTCAGAATGAATTAACCAAAATTTCTCAAAGGTTACAACAAGATCTTCAAAACCTCTGCGAAATTCATCAGTTTTCTCACAAAAGATTATAAATTACCTTCCAAAAGTCTGTCATTCATATTGCACCTATTATTACTCATTAGACTTTTTTAAACCAGGTCTTTGTACTTTTTAAGAAAAACACCATTGTGCAAAAGGAGCTTCAGGCAGTATTTTATAGATAGTTCATTTTCTATCAGAATCCATGAAACACTTTCTATTTTAGAAACAATCCTAAGAAAATGGTAGCATCATGACTCACCCAGTTCTATATCCACTTTTCTCAAAAAAGAAATTCACATTAGAAGTTTTACCATTTGAAATATGCAAAATTATGGTCTGGAATCTTAAATCCACTGTCACTACTTGATCCAAAACTATTTCAAAAGCAGCCAAAAAAGCAACTGGCATCCAAATGTATAGTCCCAAATATGAAGACCAAATTCTTTCACAATATTAATCTTCTCTGCTGTGAGTGAAACCAGAGTTGTACCATCCAGTGAACAGAATTCACTTTCTCATCAGTTATTAAGATAATCTCAAAAAAGCTATACGAAACAACAGGAATGAATCAACTTACCAATAAATCATTAAAATATGATCTATAAACTGACCTTTCCATTTCCTTCCCTACATTTTGAAGATAAACAAAATATACTTTGGAGTAATATCATTTGCATTTCCACACTGCAGAAAACCTCTCATACAGAAGCAGCCACCTTCCCTCCCAAAACTCTAAAGGGAGAAGGTGGTCAATTTAATAGATAGGAACTTTTGCACCTGCTCCTCCTTTACTTAAATGAAGAAAACACCTCATTCTGTTGTCCAGAAGTGACAGTCTTAAGATGACATCACTTGTCTGTAGCGGTGGTAAAGAAAAATAAAACGACACAAAATTATCAGTCTCTAAGAAAAGCTAAAAAATGATATGTCTGCATAATTCCCTTTAGTGTGTGTGGAACACACTACTACACACACACACACACACACACACACATATTTCTTTTGCCTTGTCTCTTCCTCCTTCACTGCATGGAGTTAAGATCAGTATACTTTTCACTATTTGGGAAAATACAAATTATCACATTTTTAAAATATACAGCCAGATACTCTTTCTAGGCAATAAAGACCATTAAAACATTTCAGTCATTTCAATCCACAATTAGTATTTAAGGAATTCATATCAATTTTAATATCTGCCTAAGTAATAATATAACGGGCAAGTTTTAAAAATATGTTTATGTATTGTTTCCTTAAGCTCAGTGGCAAGAACATCATTTTTTAAATCAAAAAGTATATCCCAAAGTCTAAAGAGAAGAGAACAATGACTGTTTGCATCTGTTCAATAATCCAGACATGACTTAACTGAATAGACTGACCAAAACTAAGATAAGTATTTATTCTCAAATTAAACATAATGCATTATTAATAAGGCTCTCCAGAATTTTTCTCAGCACTTTTCAGTATTCTGAAAGGACTCAATACTGCTACTTATATTTTTCTAAGTACAAAAATATTAGAATCCAATCTTCTTACGTCTTTCCATTGACCCAAGCTATTACAATACTTCCCCAACTGAAGTCCATCTGAAAACCTATCCTGTTTTAAGGTAATGAATCACAATTATTCAAGGTGAGAGAAACTGCAGGGGGCAGTATAAGCATGATTTCCAACATAATTCTTAAGATTTAGGAAAATTCTTCCTGTTAGTGTAAGCTTAACCTTAAACTATTAACATGTATTTCAATCAAAGAGTCCATAGAAAAGTTAATTGTTAAAGATAATTGAAATTCTTCCACAAATTTAATAATCAAAAGTTGAGGCCAGGCACAGTGGCTCTCACCTGTAATCGCAGCACTTTGGGAGGCCGAGGTAGGTGGATCACCTGAGCTCAGGAGTTCAAGACCACCCTGGTCAACATGGTGAAACCCCATCTCTACTAAAAAAAAAAAAAAATACAAAAATTAGCTGGGTGTGGTGGTGCATGCCTGTAGTCCCAGCTACATGGGAAGCTGAGGCACAAGAATCACTTCAGCCTGGGAGGCAGAGGTTGCAGTGAGCCAAGATCGCACCACTGCACTCCAGCTTGGGCTACAGAGTGAGAATCCATCTCAAAAATATATATATATATAAAATAAAATAACTAAAAGTTGAGGTGTGGGATGCTCTAAAGTCACTTGGGGAAGAATTCTATGCTACCATTATCCTTATGACTTATTCCAATCAAAAATAATAGAACAAGAAATTTTTTTCCTTTAAATTCATATCCACACTCTTAAAAAAACACAAGTTATCCAAAACTATAAGTCCACTTACTCAGGAGAAACTCATTATTTCAAAATGTATTCTTATCATTTTTAAGTATAAATAAGTAAATCCCTTAAAAGTCAGATTCAACACTAGGGGAAAATAGAATGAAATATTAAACATGATATATAAGTATGACTTAGGAAAATTAAAGTTATTCTAAGATAAAAAGAGAAACTTAATTTTATTCAGTTTTGCATTCATGGTTGCCATTCTAGTATATTCTCCAGCTACTCAATAACCTTCTTTCCCAAACCTATGCTGATTCCATGCAAGTAATTTCCAACTAACAATTGAATTAGTTAAGTTAGATGAAGCCCTCTTTGTGTGTCTGTTTTGAGTAAAGGTAACATTTGGTGGTAAATACATCTATCTTCTTTCTTATGTCATTTTTCTCCTCTGATCCTCAACATATAATTAAACTTTCTTTGATGCTGTAAAACTTGTCATTAATAGTTACCATAAATATTCATCTCATACATACCACTTCCAAAGCACCTCATAACTGTAATAATTGCTAACAGTTATGGGTGCTTACTACGTACCACACACTGTTCTAAGAGACTGTCCTGTATTAGTCATATATGAACTCAGTTAATCTTCACAACTCTGTGAAGTGGGAATTATTATCCTCATAAATAGGGAAACTGAGTCAAGGACAGACTGTGCCACACCCATGGACACATGGCTAATGACTGGTAGAGCTGGCATGAAATGTATCAGTCATATTAGGAGGGCATCACACATCCCCATGTAAGATTCAATAGAACTAGGTGCTCACCATATTCTTTCACCTTCCTTGACTACATTAGGACCAATCTGACATTACCAAGAGAAATTAAAATCTACAAAGCATGATCAAAAGCTCAGGTCCACAATTAAGCATGAGAATATACAGAAAACACGGCTAGGACTTTTGGTAAACACCTGGGCAATTTTCACAAGGAAAGGCATGAAAGGGTGCGTGCCCTGGTATGAGCGCCTGAATACAAGGGCCACAACCCAGTCAACCTGGAAATGTCGCCTTTAACTATCATCTCCTCCCTCAAACTCATCATTGTTTCGTCATCATGTCTTACTTGATTCCCTAAGGAGTATTCTCAACCAGAAAAATATTTTTCACGATAATCCTCTCAACTGATAGATACAAATCTATCTTCTCCAAGTTCGAGCAGCAAGTCAATCTTCTGAAGACCTCAATATCCCCTGCACAAATTCATCAAGGGTCCAAATCAAGAGAACTGAGAGGACCTCACTCTAGAGTATAAAAAATTATGGCAAACGTGAGAGCCTCCCCACTCAATTATTCGATGTCCACAGTAAACTGGGGACAAACCTAACCATAACACTGGGACAAGGCACACTTCACAGCACACAATTTCAGGGTATATATCTAACTGTTAGGTTCGTGAAGAATCTTCCCCTTCTACTTTAGGCACTTCTAGACAGTTGGAATTTATTTTTAAACAACAGAACATACATCACTTTTTGGGGGTTAACTTCAAGGATTTTCCTACTGAAAATGAGAAACTTCAGTATCCAGTCACTAACTTTTGTATTCATGAATCTCACAAAAAAAAAAAAATCAAGAAAAGGAAGGAATTTAACCAACTTTCATATTACTCAGAAAAGTCACCAATGAAAACAACAATATCATAGGCTTCTTCATAACTGTGCTAATATTGGTGGGCAACACTGGTCATATAATTTATGGTTGACTAACTCAACAGTTTCATGTCATTTAAGAACAATAAAGATAAACTCACAAGTATTTTCAATAAAACAGAGAAAAGAAATACCTCAAGTTCCACCAGTGCTGCAGTGACTGCGTCAGTTGCAAGAGCACCCGCCTGCAGCTTTTCAATTGCCTATGAAACCAAGGGGAGAGATTATTCATTGCAAAATCACAACTTCCCAAACTTTCCAAAAGCTTAAAGAAGTATGGGAGACACTTAGATTAATAAAAATTGACCACTAGTTCCATTCCATACTTTAAGACATAAACTACTCAGATTAAAAACAAGCAAGTGTTTATATTCAGGTTAATTGGTAATATGGCTCACTTAATATTATTCAAATTAAAACAATAACATCTAGCTATTAAATGAAAAGTACAAGGAATTTAGTAAGCTTAATTCATTGTAAGGCTATTCAAAATAGCCACAGAAATTGTATGACCCAGTTTGGTTCAAATATCCTGACAATTCGTATTTTATATAGATAACTAAATCTCAAACGAATCATTTCTCCTCCCCGTTAATACTCTCCATACCTAAAAAGAAGTGACTCTGAGTCACAGGGGCGCCGGAATCTGAGGATAAAAGCACACATTTGACAAAAACATTTTGGATACTATAATGTAAATTCTAAATCAAGATGTAACATATTATTTTGTAATATAAACTACACAGAATAAAGGTCTATAAAATCACCTGGCCTTGAGCATAAATTAGGAGAGGAAAAGAGAGAGAAGGAAAAGTCATTTATAAATGATTTATTAACATTTCAATTTAGTCAACAAAGAGAAAGCTCAAAAACTAAGAACTGTATTCCTAATTAAACTTTTAAGAAGTGTATTCATTGGAAATATTAAAGAGGCTAAATATACAATTCAAATGTATTAAATTTCTAAGACTATAGTTACATAAAATTTATTTTCAGATGATAGAAAAATTTCACACTTTGAAAAATAAGAAAAAATATAAAACAGCTTAGAGAACTTTTAGCTTTATTGTTATAAATTTCAAAAGAACAAAATCCCTGTAACAAAATATTCTTATTTATAGGGCTTCATTCATAAGAAAAAGCTTGAATCTCTGATAAAGTATAATCTTTTTAATGTTATGTAAATATCAACGAAAAGAGCAGAGAGAGACGCATATTTACTCGATATACAATATTCAACTAGATCCTATTTGCATAAAAAGTAATGGAAGGTTTGCCTACAAGACTAGTAAGAATCAAAATAAAAAACATTTCTTCTGAGTCCATTCCTGTCCCCACATTAAATATTCAACAGTTTAGCAAAACCTCAAAAACCAATGGGAAAAAAGCACAACTGAGTACAAGGGCAAAGCTGAACTCTGGAATGACAATGAACTTGCTATGATACAAACTACGTGATGAAAAACAGAATGAAAAAGTATAGGACAATCTCTCTTAAAAAAGCACCCATTTTAATTTTTTTATTTATTTTTTTCCCTTCATGGAAAAACACACTGACTGCCTTCAAGCTGTTTTCTCTATCCTTCTGTCTACAGAAGTTCAACATCGTTGCAAAGATTAAAAGAGATATGATTGTGTGCCCACAATTACAAAAATACAGACTTTAATCTGGGACGTGGGGAAAGAGCTAAGCATCATGTGGAGAAAGACACAAAACAACACAAAACGATCCCCTACAAAAACAAGCAAAATAATTTTGTAGTCCAAACCGGAAGACTGCCCTAGAAATGAAACTTTTAAATGTTGAATTTCTTTTTTTTTTTTTTTTTTTTGGAGTTGCATACATTTTTTTAATCCAAAGAAGTCAGCCTCCTAAGTATTGCTTAAACAGGTTTATCAGAATTAAGTAGGCACGACACTCATACTTTCAGAAAAGCATTTGCAGCCAGGGGAGTAACGTGGCACTCACCAGCATGATATCTGTTTTGCCAACTTGCTGAGGAACGAGTAACCTGAAATGAAGAAGCGAGAATCTCATCCTCAGCCCCCCAACAGCTTCCTCAGCTTCTTTTTATTCTGAGTCACTCCCTGAAACAGTCGCTGCATCTAAGACCAGCCTCGGGCTAAACCCAGCTGGCCTGAAGGCTCAACTCACATCAAACAGAGCTGGGAGTTGCTTTTGCGTGTGTCCGCAGTTTGAAGTGTCCTCTCCGAAGGTGAAGTGGAGGAAGCAGGTGCGCTCTGGGATGAAGTGCAGGGAGGCAAACTCTGGCTGGGTTCCTGTAAACATCCATGGCAGTTGCAAATAATGAGAAGCCGAGGCCAGGCCATCGGTGTGACGCTGCAGGCAGATGAGGTCTTGGGACGCCCCTTGCGTTCCCCCTTCTGTGGGAGCAGGTGCCTTCCCAATCTCAGCACTCAGTCCCAATCTCTCTTCCACTCTCCTGGGTCCAAACAGGAACCTCTCTGTTGGCACGAAGCTTTTGAGGGTAGCAGGCAGGCCTCGGAGGCAGGGGAGGGTCTCCTCCTGGGGAACCATCCCCGTCCAGATGGTGCCCCCAACCAGCTGCTGCGGCGCCATGATCTGGGCGGCTGGTCCAGGGCGTGGGTTGCGGATCGTGGAGGGAAGAGGGGAACGGCAGTCGAGACCCTACTCCAAGTACCCATCAAAGACGTCGAGCTCCGAGTCAGCATCGTAAAGGCCCGAGCCGGGGTCGGAGAGCACGCCGAGGTCCACGAGCGCCTGGTCCATGTCCTCGAACAGGAAGACGAGGCCCACGTTGAGGACGATGTACTCCATGAGGAAGGCGTAGTACAGGATCAGCACATTGACGAAGAACAGGCCCACGTAGAACATAGAGGGCAGCAGCGGCGGCGGCACGTAGGGGACCAGGGGGCCCAGTGCGTCCAGGTGGGCCGCGACCCGGGCGCCGAGCATGCAGCCGGTGGCAAGGGCGGCGGCGGCCCGGCGATCCCGGCGAACTCAGCCGCTGTGGCGCCCGGGCCGCCGGCGAGGGCACAGCGCAGCCATCCAGGGGTACCCTGGAGCCCGACAGAAGCAGGGCCGGGCTCCAGATGTCCCCTGGCAAATGCGCCCCGACCCCCGAAATGCGCCGGGCGGGTCACCGCACCCCGAGATGTGCCCCCAAGGCTCTTTCGACCGCCCTGAAGTGGCGGGCCCCCCTGAAGTGGCCGGCGGCTGCCCGGCTCCCTCGAGGCGCCTCCCTGGCGCTCGCAGGGCCTCGCAGAGCCGGCGGGGATCCCACCGCGGCTCAGTGTCTAGGGCCGGTCCCGGCAGCCCTCTCTCCCGCCCGGCCCCGCAGGTCCTAGCGTCGCCCTCCCCCCCGCGCCCCTGCAGGCCCAGCACCCATGGCTGCGGCCGCGGCGTCGCCCTCCGAGTCGCGCTCAGAGCCACTGCTTTATGTTCAAAACTGAAAAGCATAGATGATACACATTGCGTTGATACTCTCTGACAAGCTCGTTTGCATACATGTTTATATTCCTTGGCTTTGGATTCAGAATGATAAACTGCACCTATAGTAGAAAATAAAATCCAGTTGTTAATTGTTAAAATATCAAGAGACCTTGCTTATGTTATATAAATACTCCAATAAACTGATGCTGTCCTAGTAAAAAACAAAACTATTGCCCTAACTGTATGGAGTTTTATGATTTCTTTCTCCAATGTAAGCCTTTTTAATACCATGCCTTATCTCCGTTTTCAAAAGCTCTTTTCCTGCCAAAAGCCCTAAAAATAGCTCATGTCCCCAGAGGCTTCACCAAGGTCACCTCCCCTCTTCTTTTCAAGAAGCTTTTTCCAAATCAGGAGTTCTTTTGATCTGGAGCTAACAACCCAGAAGGTGTCAGGGACAGGGTCCCTCCAGGTTCCTCTCTGCTGAAAGCCCCTGCCATTTGGGAAGTTACTGTTTCAAATCCAGAATTCATAAGAATAATTCAGAAAGCTGGATTGCTTCTGAACAACATTGGAAGTTGAGGCATCTTACATCTCACATGTCCACAACCACCACCAATTGCACCATTCCTAACCAAACACTTCACGTCCTCTCAATAAAGTTGCTAGATTAGTCTCATTTCTTAAAAAGCTGTTTTTTGACAAAATGGGAGAAAATTTTCGCAACCTACTCATCTCACAAAGGACTAATATCCAGAATCTACAATGAACTCCAACAAATTTACAAGAAAAATACAAGCAACCCCATCAAAAAGTGGGCAAAGGATATGAACAGACACTTCTCAAAAGAAGACATTTATGCAGCCAAAAAGCACATGAAGAAATGCTCATCATCACTGGCCATCAGAGAAATGCAAATCAAAACCACAATGAGATACCATCTCACACCAGTTAGAATGGCGATCATTAAAAAGTCAGGAAACAACAGGTGCTGGAGAGGATGTGGAGAAATAGGAACACTTTTACACTGTTGGTGGGACTGTAAACTAGTTCAACCACTGTGGAAGTCAGTGTGTCTAGATCCTCAGGGATCTAGAACTAGAAATACCATTTGACCCAGCCATCCCATTACTGGGTATATACCCAAAGGACTATAAATCATGCTGCTATAAAGACACATGCACACATATGTTTATTGCGGCATTATTCACAATAGCAAAGACTTGGAACCAACCCAAATGTCTAACAATGATAGACTGGATTAAGAAAAGGTGGCATATATACACCAACGAATGCTATGCAGCCATAAAAAAATGATGAGTTCACGTCCTTTGTAGGGACATGGATGAAACTGGAAACCATCATTCTCAGCAAACTATCGCAAGGACAAAAAAACAAACACCGCATGTTCTCACTCATAGGTGGGAATTGAAGAATGAGAACACATAGACACAGGAAGGGGAACATCACACACCGGGGACTGTTGTGGGGTGGGGGGAGGGGGAGGGATAGCATTAGGAGGTATACCTAATGCTAAATGACAAGTGAATGGGTGCAGCACACCAACATGGCACATGTATACATATGGAACTAACCTGTACTTTGTGCACATCTACCCTAAAACTTAAAGTATAAGAATAATAAAATTTTTTTAAAAAGTTGCTTTTTGGTAGTTTATATGTAACACTGTAGTTCTATATGTACTTGCAAATAGCTATAGTACCAGTAAAAAATGTGATAAAATGAAACTCACATATGCCAAAAATACTTTGATTTAGCGCTTCATTAAGTGCATGATTATCTGCATCTTTTGATTTACCTATCTTTACAATTTTCAGCTGAGATACTTAGAGGTCACATAGTAAATTAAGGTTTTCTTTTTTTAAAATAATCTCCATCTTTCTAAATTTGGTGAGTCCAGTAAGTTATTTTTGAGATGTTGAAATCTGTGGCTTTGTTCTAAACTTGAGCACAGAAATCATGCCACTTACGAAATATGCTTTGTCTTCCAACATCAGAGTGTCTGGTAGAAGGTGACTGTTCTTGGAATTTAAAAAATCTTAACAGGAAAAGACAAGAATCTGGACACTTTTTCTGTTTCTGATAATATGGCTGAGTAGGTAGACATGCTGGCTAGTCCTTGCATAGATCAAGACATACTTGAACTTGCCAAAAAAAATAAAAAATCCAGAGTCTCTAAGAATGAAGATGAAGTGAAAATCAGAAGGGCTATTGAGAGAGTAATGGGGAAGCAGCCCCAGTTATCAAGGGACGTGTGCATGTGTTCATTAAAAAGTTTCAGATGTAAAAAAAGTTGAGAAAAATAATGTAACTGCCCTACATATACACATCATCAACAATTTTTCATTCATGGCATGGACAGTTTTTTGTTTTTGTTGGTTTTTTGTTGTTTGTTTTTAAAGGTGGGATTTTGCTGTGGTCGCCCAGGCTGGAGTGCAGTGTCATGATCTTGGCTCACTGCAAATTCTGCCTCTCAGGTTCAAGCGATTCTCCTGCCTCAGCCTCCCAAGTAGCTGGGATTACAGGCACCCGGCACCACATCCGGCTAACTGTTGTATTTTTAGTAGAGATGATGTTTCACCACGTTGGCCAGGCTGGTCTTGAACTCCTGACCTCAGGTGATCCACCTGCCTCAGTCTCCCAAAGTGCTGGGATTACAGGCGTGAGCCACCACACCTGGCCACAGCCAGTTTTGTTTCATTTATATTCCCACTTCATTTATATGCATTCCTTCTTCCTCTGAATTATTTTGAAGTAAAATCTATACATCATATCATTTTTTAATTACCGTATATGTATCTGCAGAAGACAAGGAATTTTTAAAAATAAATATATTCACAATGCCATTAAATACCAAAAAAATTAATATTCTGAAAATAGCCACAAATCCAGAGTTCACATTTTCTTGACTTTCTCATAGGTGATTTTTCTTCTAGGTTTTCTATTTAATCAGGTAACTGTTTGCTCATATTTACATTCCTTACTGAACAATGTCTAAACTTAAACTGACATAAAACGCACATGATCTTCTGACCAAATGCTTAGTGCAAGAAAAAACTTCAAACTGCAAGACGAGTCCCTCCAAATATAGAAAGGACCAGTATTTTAGGAGGTATGTTAACTAAAATGTGGCAATGTAAGGAGCAAAACAGGAAGAACCTTTAAGTCCTAAACTTACAAGTCAATTTCCTAGTCAGTTTCCATGGTCCTTCCACAACAACCTCTGGCATCTGTATTCTCTACAATGGAGGTAACAATAGTAGCTATTTCAGAGCAGGAAAAGGCTTAGAGCAGTGCTGCAAGAGGGTCGTGGCTATATAAAGTTTAGCTATTTGTATATTGTAACAAACCCCCTTTTTTTTTTTTTTTGTCAATAATAGATTTCTTTTGGAAAAGTAGCAGCCTCCTGTCTGGGGACAACTGCAGTTCCACTAAGTGAACATTGGTGTCTGCTCGCCTTTGCCTCTATTTCTCTCAATAATATACTGTCAAGCTGTTCCTTGATTTAGCAATTTTATGTACTTTCTTTTTCTTCTTTTTTTTTTTTCCTGTTTTCCTGAGACACAGTCCCGCTCTATCGCCCAGTTTGGACTGCAGCAGCGCCAACATGGCTCACTGCCACCTCACCCCCACCCCTCTCCGGCTCAAGCAATCCTCCTACATCAGCCTTCAGAGTAGCTGGGACTACCCGCCGGGCCCACCAGGCCCCGCTAATCTTTGTGGTTTTTGTTTTGTTTTTCAATTAAGGGACTGGGTTTCGGGCCAGGCGCAGTGACTCAGGCCTGCAATCGCAGCACCCCGGAAGGCCGAGGCCGGCGGATCACCCGAGGTTAGGAGCTGGAGACCAGCCTGACCAACATGGAGAAACCCCATCTCAACCAAAATAAATAAATAATAAAAAAGTAGCCGGGCATGGTGGCTCACGCCTGCAATCCCAGCCACTCAGGAGGCTGAAGCAGGAGAATCACCCAAACCCGGGAGGCGGAGGCCCGGGAAGCCGAGACCACGCCACTGCACTCCAGCCTGGGCAACAAGAGGGAAACTCCGCCTCGAAAACAAAACAAAAACAAAAACGGGTTTCACCATGTTGCCCAGGCGGGTCTGGATCTCCTAGGCTCAAGCGATTCACCGCGCTCAGCCGTCCAAAGTCCTGGGATCACAAGCGCGAGCCATGACACCAGGCCGATCTATTCCTGTCTGATTAAAAATTGGGCTGGGCGTGGTGGTTAACGCCTGCGATCCTAACACCCAGGGAGGCCGAGGCGGTCGGATAACCTGAGGTCAGATTGAGGCCAGCCTGACCAACATGGAGAAAACCCCATCTCTACCAAAAAAAAAAAAAAAAATACAAAATACAAAATTAGCAGGGCACGGTGGCTCATGCCTGCAATCCCAGCCACTCGGGAGGCTGAGGCAGGAGAACCACCCAAACCTGGGAGGCCGAGGCTGCGGGGAGCCGAGACCCTGCCACTGCACTCTAGCCTGGGCAACAAGAGCGAAACTCCCTATCAAAAAAAAAAAAAAAAAAAGAGGGACTGGGTTTCACCATGTTGCCCCAGCCGGCCTGGAACTCCTAGGCTCAAGCGATCCGCCGCGCTCGGCCATCTGAAGTCCCGGGATCACAAGGGTGAGCCACCACGCCAGGCCCATCTGTTCCTTTCTGATTAATAAATTGGGCCCGGCGCGGTGGCTCCCTCCTGCAATCCCAGCACCCTGGGAGGCGGAGGCGGGCGGACCACCTGAGGTCGGGAGTTTGAGACCAGCCTGACCAACATGGAGAAACCCGTCTCTACCAAAAAAGAAAAAAAATAAAAAGCTGGGCATGGTGGCTCACGCCTGCAATCCCAGCACCCCGGGAGGCCGAAGCAGGCGGGTAACCTGAGGTCAGGAGTTTGAGACTACCCTGACGAAGGGAGAAACCCCGTCTATACCAAAAAAAAAAAAAAAAAAATTAGCCGGGCATGGTGGCTCACGCCTGTAATCCCAGCCGCTCCGGAGGCTGAGGCAGGAGAACAACCCAAACCCAATAGGCGGAGGCCGCCGGGAGCCGAGACCGCGCCACTGCACTCCAACCGGGCAACAAGAGTGAAACTGCCTCAAAAAAAAAAAAAGACCGGGTTTCACCATGTTGCCCCGGCCTGTCTGGAACTCCTAGGCTCAAGCGATCCCCCACGCTATTCCTTTGTGATTTATAAATTGGGCCTTGGGCGCTGGCTCAAGCCTGCAATCCCAGCACCTCCGGACGCCCGAGGCGGGCGGATAACCTGAGGTTGGAGTTTGAGACCAGCCTTATGAACATGGAGAAACCCCATCTCCAACAACAAAAACAAACGAACAAAAAACAAAATGAGCTGGGCATGGTGGCTCACGCGTGCAATCCCAGCCACTCGGGAGGCTGTGGCAGGAGAACCACCCAAACCCGGGAGGCGGAGGCCCGTTGAGCCAAGACCTCACCACTGCACTCCAGCCTGGGCAACAAAAGCGAATCTCCGCCTCAAAACAAACAAAAAGTGACCGGGTTTCACCATGTTGCCCAGGCAAGTATAGAACGAACTCCTACGCTCAAGCGATCCGCCGCGCTCAGCCGTCCAAATTCCTGGGATCATAAGCGTGAGCCACCATGCAAGGCCGATCTATTCCTTTCTGATTAATAAACTGGGCTGGGCGCGCTGGCTCACGCCTGCAATCCCAGCACCCCCGGAGGCCCAGGAGGCGGGCGGATAACCTGAGGTCGGGAGTTTGAGACCAGCCTGATGAACATGGAGAAACCCTGTCTGTACCAAAAAAAAAAGAGAAGAGAGACCGGGTTTCACCATGTTGCCCAGGCCGGTGTGGAACTCCTAGGCTCAAGTGATCGATCCCCCGCGCTCGGCCGTCCGACGTCCTGGGACCACAAGCGTGAGCCACCACGCCAGGCCGATCTATTCCTTTCTGATTAATTAGTTGGGCTTTGCGTGCTGGCTCACGCCTGCAATCCCAGCACCCCCGGAAGCCAAGGCGGGCGGATAACCTGAGGTCCTGAGTTTGAGACCAGCCTGACCAACAGGTAGAAACCCTGTGTGTACCAAAAAAAAAAAAAAAGAAAAAAGAAAATTAGGCATGGTGGCTCACACCTGCAATCTCAGCCATTAGGGAGGTTGAGGCAGAAGAACCACCCAAACCCAAGAGGCGGAGGCGGCGGGGAGCCGAGACTGCACCACTGCACTCCAGCCTGGGCAACAAGAGCGAAACTCCGCCTCAAAAAAAAAAAAAGAGACCGAGTTTCACCATGTTGCCCAGGCCTGTCTGGATCTCCTAGGCTCAAATGATCCCCAGTGCTCTGCCATCCAAAGTCCTTGGATCACAAGCGCAAGCCACCAAGCCAGGCCCATCTATTCCTCTCTGATTAATAAATTGGGCGGGGTGCGGTGGCTCACACCTGCAGTCCTGTAGAGGGATTTTTAAGGAATTAGATAGACTCATGGGGTTTAGGAGGACATTTATTAATTATTTAGGTGCACCAGCCCAGTCGGATTAACATTTAAAGGATTGAGTACTGAACCAAGAGTTACCTTTCAAGCATTATGTGGGGCGAAGGGGGAGATCTGTGCAGGGAGAAGCATATTATAGAAGCGAGAAACAAAGATACTTATTTAATTGAAACATACATTATATTATTTTTTACTATTTAAGGAAAAATATGTTTTGTGACGAGTTTGTTTAGTGACCTTGCAGTTGCACAGTTAGGGAATTAGTTGGGCATGGTGGCTCACACAATCCCAGCCACTCGGGAGGCTGTGGCAGGAGAACCATCCAAACCCGGGAGGCAGAGGTCCCACAAGCCGAGACCTCGCCACTGCACTCCAGCCTGGGCAACAAGAGCAAATCTCCCCCTTAAAAAAAAAATGTGACTGGGTTTCACTATTCTGTCCAGGCCGGTCTGGAACTCCTAGGCCCAAGCGATCTGGCGCTTGATGTCTTTAACCTATGATTGAAAGCATATTAAGATCTTGGGTGTATCAACAGTCCAGAGGTCAAGAAGGAAATTCCTGGAATGTGAAATATTCTGCAACAAGAAAGGCAATTGGAGAGGTGACTAAATTCACTGCAGTTGTTTTGCCCTCTTCTTTCTCCTCTCTCTCTTTCCTGGAAGTCCCCTAGTACAAAGTAAAAGAGATAATGGCTTTTGGAGTGCATGTTTTTCCTGGAATTGGAAGGAATTTTAACAAAGGAGCCCTTCACAATGAAACCCCCCCACACCCCTGCTTTTCACCTGAAGCAGGACAAGATCGGTGCCCCCACCATCATTCTCCATGTGACCCCAGGTGGGGATGCGGGGTGGACACTACTGATAAGCTCTTAGCAATTTCCCTCTTTATGGACTCTGAAGCTCCTTAGCTTGACAACTGATGAATAAGTTTTCTTTTGTGGGATAAGAGTAGGTGAATTTTCCCCCTGAATTCCCGTCCTGGGGCCAGGGAAGAGAGCCCAGGATCCCTTCTCTTGGCCGTCACACTGCGGGAAAGAGTACCTAGAGTTAAAAGCCTGATAAATGCCCTCGAACAGCTTTGAAAATCACGAGGTCAGGAGATCGAGGCCATCCTGGCTAACACGGTGAAACCCCGTCTCTACTAAAAAAAAAAAAAAAAAAAATACAAAAAATTAGCCGGACATGGTGGCAGGCGCCTGTAGTCCCAGCTACTGGGGAGGCTGAGGCAGGAGAATGGCATGAACCCGGGAGGCGGAGCTTGCAGTGAGCGGAGATCGTGCCACTGCACTCCAGCCTGGGCGACAGAGCGAGACTCTGTCTCAAAAAAAAAAAAAAAAGTGATTATTATATACTTTATTTCAAAGATGAAATGTATGACCATACAGCAAAATAAAATTGGGATAAAAAAATAACCTGAAAATCAGGAAACAGGAGAAACAGTCTAAACATTTAGTTTTGTGGTCTTGCCTAATTATTTTTCTTATGGTCAATAAGGAATAATTTAAAATGACCTTATTCCTGAGTACCTGGAGACTTCTAAGAAGTTTTTAAGAATAGTTTTATGTTGAAGAATCATCCCAAGAAATACTTCCAAGATATATCTGTGTTGCCATCCTAGTTACTATAAACCAGAGAAAAATATTTTAATTACTCTTTTTTAATGAATATGTACAAAAATGCTTCATTATAAATCTAAAATATAGGAATATGTTCAGTAATTGATTTTTGCAAAAAGTATGTTATTATTATTTTTCCCTAAAGCAGGGAGAGAACTGTAGCTTCATAATCTGAGATATCAGGTAAGGAAGTCCTCCCCTATTCTTTTTTAAGGAATAAGCTTTTTATATTCCTCTCTCCAGTCTCTCAGAGATAGCATCACATAACTCCCCTATGCTCTGTTGGCTCCATCCTCGGGGGCAAGTGCTATTTCACATCTTACTCTTAAATCACTTTTAAGAAATAGACATAGCTTCCACCAAAGAGGAGCCCTCCCAACAGACCTTTAATAACACCAAAGTGTTTCCATGTGTGCGCCCTTAAGCGAACATACACAAATGAAATGAATCTACAGATTATGAAGCCAGTTTTTATAAGTGACACATGAATATCAGTCATATTAGACACACTCCTGCCGAGTATTGTAACAAATCTCTTTTTACCACATACATGAATAGCTGTCCCATATATTCATAAAATATAAGAATTTTTTTTGATTAATAAGCTTCATTTTTTAGAGTAGTTTTAGACTCACAGCAAAATTGAGTGGAAAGTAGAAGAGTTCCCCTAGACTCCCTACTCCCTTACACACACAGCTTCCCCCACTGTCAACATCCTGCACCAGAATGATGCATTTGCTATAATCGATGAACCTACACTGACGCATCACTATCACCCAGAGTCCATAGTTTACATTAGGGTTCGATAAAATAATTTTTTACAACTTAAATCCCCCAATAAACTTAACATTACTTCTCTGGGCCATACGTTTTTCTGCATCAGTAAAATGGGATAAGAATATTTATTTGGAGCTGGGAGTGGTGGTGCATGCCTGTAGTCTTAGCTTCTTGGGAGGCTGAGGTGGGAGGATTGCTTGAGCCCAGGAGTTTGACGCTGCAGTGAACCATGATTGCATCACTGCACTAAAGCCTGGGCAGCAGACTGAAACCCTGTCTCAAACAAAATAAAACAAAGATAACAAAAAGGTAACATTTATTTGGAAGGTTTTGTGAGTATTATTTGGGATACATTATGAAAAGTGCTAGCACATTATGACTATTCAGTTATGGTTAGTTAACTTTATCATTAAGATCGTTATAACCTGTAGGAACTGACCCTGCTACCCCAATCCTGTCTTTGAAGGAGCAAACCCATATGGGAATAAAAATGACTGGCTCCCCTCCCTGCCTTGACCTGTCATTTGAGTCTACCTAATTATAAAATGAACAGGGTTTTAAGTTTTGAACCTATTCCCTGTCATGGTGGGTAGAAAATCAATCACTACACCCCTATTTATAGAACAATCAGAACAGAGGAAAAGACCCGATTTTGAATTCCAGCCATACATTAATTGTGTGCCTTTAGGAAAATCACTTAAGCCTGTTAACATTCATTTTATTCCACTGAATAATAATACACGAAAGCACTTTATATACTTGAATGAACTATGCTCATTTACAGGGTTCTGCGCATGACACTGCATCTGTAAAACTGAGAAACCAACAAAGTGAGGGCAGAATGAAAAAAAAAAACTTTCAGAATGTTCTTCCTTTCCTCAATGCCATACAGTTTGTGCAGTCAGCTGATTGGCTGAAAAGAGTCAGTTTTGACGACTGATGCTTCCTGCTCATGTTTAGTTGGTTTAGGAAGCTCATTAGGATGCTATCTCGGAGATGAGTCTGGTGGGTAGAATATCTGATGACTGTAAGGCAAATGTGCTTCCTTCAGCTGGTGAATTAATTTCTCAATAGACTCAATTTGCTTTTTACCAACTGTCTGGCAATATCCGATATTTGCAATAGTCTTTCAAACACTTGCAATAAAATCTGGCTCACACACACAACCTGTTAGCGGTGAAAGAGAAACATTCATCACATTCAAAATTCTCCAAACATGAGAGCAGCTGAATGTGCTTTAAGACAGTATACCTAATGATACATCTCTATTTTCCCCTTCCTCTTACAATCATTTACACAGATATATGAGAGGTAAATATGTGTTTAGAAAGTATTAGTCATCATAGATGTACCTCCAGTCATCTATTCAACTGTAATCATGGTCAAATATGCACTTGTACAACTTTATACTATCAATGAGTATAGGTAGGTGAAAATTAGTGTTGCCAGAAAAAATCCAAACCAGAAAACTGAAAGTATAGAAAAATTATACGTTATGTCATTGATAAACCATTTTAAAATAATATATCACGTATAGAATAAAAAATTCCGTGAATATATACATGCAAATTATACATATATGTGAATTTAATTTTATTAAAAGGTAATTGGCATCTGCAATTTCATGCAGTCTAAGTGAAACCCATAAAGAAATGTGTATGAAATAGGAAAGCAACAAAAGCTCATAACATTTTAAAATTAGAAATCAGATTCAAAACCAATCATGATCTATTTTAAATTTCTCTCTATAACATTTCAATTGAGACATAAAACACACTTTATACAACATGCCTCACTATTTTATTAACAGCATGACTTCCCTTTCCCCAATCCCCAAACCATGTTCCCATCTACACCCCACCCCACCCAACTCTCACCTCTTCCATTAGCATTATTACAAACATATTTTACAAATCTTATATCAAGCTTTTCCACTCTGTCTCTTTTAAATGTAGAAATATCTTATATATAAACCCGAATACCACAAATCTTCACATTTATATTTTCTAAAGCAGTTAAATCGTTATAGACAATTCTACCTAAAAAGCAAAATGCGCTTGACAATATGTCATGTTATGTTAAGTTGACCAGACACAGAAGTCATTTCTGTCGGATTTCTTGTCGATGTTTGCATTAAGTTGGAGCTTTCTGATCTCGGCTCCTGTTGTGCCAGTAATTTGAAAGGTCACCTCTCTGTTGGCCTTTGGCTTATGCAATGCAGTCTGTCAATTAAAAGTCTCAGCCGGGCGCGGTGGCTCACGAGGTCAGGAGATGGAGACCATCCTGGCTAACACGGTGAAACCCAGTCTCTACTAAAAATACAAAAATTAGCCGGGTGTGGCAGGCGCCTGTAGTCCCAGCTACTCGCGAGGCTGAGGCAGGAGAATGGCGTGAACCCGGGAGGCGGAGCTTGCAGTGAGCTGAGATCGCACCATTGCACTCCGGCCTGGGATACTGAGTGAGACTCCGTCTCAAAAAAAAAGAAAAAAAAAAGTCTTGTAAATTTGTACATAGAATATTGAAGTTAGAAGAGGCTTTTCACTCTCTGGGCTCTAATACTGCCCAGAGGTTGTTTCTTGTTCCCATAAGAAAATCCTGTATGTCTCTCCATTACCATTCCTGATACTTACCTCCAATTCAAAATGTGGCCAGTTCCACCTTCTAAGCCTTTATACCAAATTGACTGGGTAGGTTTATTATGAATCTGTGTCTTTGTCCAAACTCTACATTAGACCTCCCAGGAGAGTTCAAACTAAAAACTAATGAGTAAGTGCAATATTACAATTGAAACGGGAGCAAACATAATTTCAAGTAGGACTCATAAAAACTGTGGGACCAAAAGAGGAAAAGTGCACGCCGAATGTTCTCAGTTCTGAAATGGCTCTTGTGAAATATCTATGTGAAAACACTTCAAGGACCTAAAAAAAAAATGGTGAAAAAGAGAACAATCTTCCTTGCAAAACAACTCCAGAGTTAATGCCAGAGCTTTCTATCAAAACATCCATGCTAAATTCACCAGAAAGATTCAGAAGATCAATGACAGGAGTAAGGGAAAAACAAGGACATTTTGTGAGTGGAACATATAATGACCCTGCAGCAGGAGACCCAGAGAGTGGGAAAAAAGAAATGGAGGGTGTAAGTAAATTAATTGCCTGTAACATGTTTAATGAAATAAGTAGACGTGTGATGCAAATTTCTTAATAGTCAAACATTATGCAACATATGATGCATAAGAATTGTACTATCTCAAATTTTTTTAATGTGAGATTTTCTTGATGCCACTTTCATTTACCTACACACACACAAATGGCACAAATCACATATACATATACTGACACGAAAATACATATGTGGGAGGGAGAGAAAGAGGGAGGAAAACGTTAATCATGATACATTGCCAGTGTAAGAACTCCCTTTTGGCCGGGCGCGGTGGCTCACACCTGTAATCCCAGCACGTTGGAAGGCGGAGGAGGGCGGATCACGAGGTCAGAAGATGGAGACCATCCTGGCTAACACGGTGAAACCCAGTCTCTACTAAAAATACAAAAAAAAATTAGCCGGGCGTGGTGGCGGGCGCCGGTAGTCCCAGCTACTCGGGAGGCTGAGGCAGGAGAATGGCATGGACCCGGGAGGTGGAGTTTGCGGTGAGCCGAGATCGCGCCACTGCACTCCAGCCTGGGCGACAGAGCGAGACTCCGTCCCCCTCAAAAAAGAAAAAAAAAAGAACTCCCTTTTTAGAAAGATCTTTTATTCAACTTACCAAAATTTTAATTGCCAATGACACAGAAACCAGCACAAATAAGTACTTGTAACTTACCCAGGTACAAGTGAATTTCTATGACTGAAATTCAGGGGCATTCTAAGCAAGAATAGTTCAATAGAAACTAATCTCATTATTTTTCATTTTTATTAAGTCATATTTATTATTCATAGTGTGGTTTCTCATCAAGGAGTTATTTAACATGCCAAATGCCTGCACCTCTTTAACTAGGTCTTTATGCATAGGGAATGTTTAAATATCCACAAAAGTAATACATACTAACCAATTTTTTAGATTTTAACATATATATTTGAAGATACGTTTTCCCCAAATGTACAGTTCTTTGTGGCCTGGATTGCCTCAGGAAACTGCCTCTGCCTTTTGTGGGTATTATGGCAAGCAAGGGCACTGGTAATTTACTGCTGAGAAAATGCCTAGCCGTTTGCCTGATTATGCCACGTCATCTTCCTGACACTACAGAGCACGGTAACCTCATTTCCAAAATCAAAGAACAAATCTGAACAGCTACTGTTCCTGAGGCAAACAAGTGAATAAATTCCAAAACATGCCATGGACTAATTGAAGATGAATTTCAGGCAATTCTTTTTTTTTTTTTTTTTTTTAGCTGGAGTCTCGCACTGTCGCCCAGGCCGGAGTGCAGTGGCGCGATCTCCGCTCACTACTGCAAGCTCCGCTTCCCGGGTTCACGCCATTCTTCTGCCTCAGCCTTCCGAGTGTCTGGGGCTACAGACACCCACCACCACTCCTGGCTAATTTTTTTGTATTTTTAGTAGAGACGGGGTTTCACCATGTTAGCCAGGATGGTCTCGATCTCCTAACATTGTGATCTGCCCTCCTCGGCCTCCCAAAGTGCTGGGAGTACAGGCGTGAGGCCCTGCGCCCGGCTGGATTTTAGACAATTCTATGTCGTCTGTTGAATCTATCATCTGTTGAATCAGCTTTCTAGTAACTACACACTATAGAAGTGAAACCAACCTGTACTACCAAGAGTGTATTAATTTTGCATGCATTTCCTAGTAAACAATGTAGACAGTATTAATTTTTATGTTGCCAAGGTCATAGTTTTGTCCCTCAAGTCATCTGCTAAATTTTGCCTCACCTGGCTCAGTCAGAAGGAACAGAATTGACAATATTAACTGGTCTCAGTTATCTCCACTGACAGGAAAAAACGTGTATTTTCTACACGGACTGTGGGAATCAGCATTTTCTGTTATTAACTTAGATTTTTTTTCTTGCCATTTATCTTTATGATCCCAATGTATTGATGTATTTCTAACACTACAACAAGATTTGTGTCACTCAACTGTATGTGTTGTAATCATTATCTTTTAACCATTTATCTCCATGAAACTGATGTCATTGAAAGATAGAAAAGAGAAACAAAAAGCATAGAAGGGAGAGAGGGAGGGAGCAAGACTTTAGTCGTGATACAATGCCAATGTAAGGGCTCCTTTTAAGAAAGATTTTAAAAAAATTCTTCTTCAAAATTTCCATTGCCTCCTTGAATGAACTGTGAAGGATTGCAAATTCCTTTAAAACTCGGTTTTGGCAATGACTCTGGATTTCCTTCATTAGCTAGCTATGCAGAATTCATTTTCCAATGCTCTATTAAAAATAAAAGGCCGGGCATGGTGGCTCTCGCTTGTAATCCCAGCACTTTGGGAGGCTGAGGCGGGCGGATCACAAGGTCAGGAGATCGAGACCATCCTGGCTAACACTGTAAAACCCCATCTCTACTAAAAATACAAAAAATTAGCCGGGCGTGGTGGTGGGCGCCTGTAGCCCCAGCTACTCGGGAGGCTGAGACAGGAGAAAGGCGTGAACCCAGGAGGCGGAGCTTACAGTGAGTCGAGATCACGCCACTGCACTCCAGCCTGGGTGACAGAGCGAGACTCCATCTCAAAAAAAAAAAAAAAAAAAAAGAAAGAAAGAAAGAAAGAAAGAAAATTAAATAAAAATAAAAAGGGAAGATTCCCTTAATGTTTCCCAGTCTATTAAAGGTTTCCTTCCAAAAGGAGCTCATTCTGATCCCATTTAGTACAACACCCTCGTGTATGCCAGATGGCACAGGCATCATAGCTTCACAAATGTCATTCTGATTCTCACCTTTAAAATGAAATTCCCTTAGTCTACCTTTCTTTACATAAACTACAAAACTGTAGACAAAGATATGCCAAATTAAAAGCCTCTTTTGCTAAACATTCTAGAAATAATTTGAGAAAAATGGGCGCAATTTGAGACCTTAGTTGTCTTGGAAAGGGGGTAGGTGGGTATTTGACTATGATTCTGGTCGCTATTTCTCCTGTTAACTATTTAAATGTGTGACCTTAAAAGAAAATCATTCAGTCTTGTTGAGACTAATGTCTCATCCAAAAAAAGTACTTAAAATTTCTCCTATGTGTCTTATAGCGCAAAAATGTTCAATTCTGTTTCAAGCCATTCTAACATTTGGTTTATAAACAGGTATTACATCATCAAGGCTTACTGCAGGCCTCTGCGATCTTTATTTCAATTTCATTCCTTTTTAGGCTAGATGTAATTTTGGGATTTTAAAAATGGAATTATATGTTGCTATGGGTTGAACTGTGTTTTTCCCGAAAATATATGCTAATGCCCTAACCCCCAATACTTTAGAATGTGACCTTATATAGAAATAGAGTCTTTACAGAGGTTATCTAGTTAAAATGGGGTCATTAGGGTGGGTACTAATCCAATATTACTAGTGTTCTTATAAAAAGGGGAAAATTGAACACAAGGGGAACATGCACAGAGGGAAGACTATATGCAGACACTATATGGAAGACTGGGCTGACACATCTGTAAACTCAGAAACACCAGTGATTTCCAACAAACCACCAGATCCTGGGAGAGATGCAAGAGACACAGACAGCCTCCCTTATATCCTTCTGGAGGAAACTACCTTGACTACATCTTGTTTTCAGCCTTCTAGCTTCCCAAACCGTGACACAATAAATGTGAGTTGTTTTAAGCCACCCGGTTTGTGGTACCTTGGAGAGTAGCTCCTGCAAATGAATACATTGTTATAGACTAAAAAGTGCATCAATCATAAGTGTACAATTTTTATAATCTTTCAATATGGACTCAGTCATGTGACCACCATAAACAAGAGCACCTCAGAAGCCTCTTTCATGCCTCATTAATTTTCTTCTACCGAATAGAACACTTTTCTGACTTCCTCTACAATAGATTCATTTTTCCTGAGGAAATTTCTATGAATGCAGGCATATTTGTGACACCACAGATGTAGCAGCAGTTCTTTAATTGCTGTATTTTATTCCACTCTATCAATGATCCATAAAATATTTTTACATTCTGCTGTTGGTGGACAATTGAACTGTTTTGAGTGTCTGCATATAAAAATAATATTATAATGAAAGTCTTTTGGTGTAAAAAATTCCCAGTCATATCTGTTGGGTATATACTTAAATGTAGAATGGTTGGGTCATAGATAGGTATCTGTAAAACCAAACTGTGCTTTATTAATCTACTTATTTTTCTTTTAAATATTAATGTATAATTTACACATAACAGAGTGTACAGATCTTAAGTATACACCTCATTGAATTTTCACATAGCTTCATACACGGAACAACTCAGATAAAAAATATCTTACAGGCCGGGCGCGGTGGCTCATGCCTGTAATTCCAGCACTTTGGGAGGCCGAGGCGGGTGGATCACCTGAGTTTAGGAGTTCAAGACCAGCCTGGCCAGCCTGATGAAACCCCGTCTCTACTAAAAATGCAAAAATTAGCTGGGTGTGGTGGCGGGCACCTGTAATCCCAGCTACTTGGGAGGCTGAGATAGAAGAATTGCTTGAACCCAGGAGACAGAGGTTGCAGTGAACCCAGATTGTGCCACTGCACTCCAGCCTGGGTGACGAGAGAGAGACTCCACCTCCAAAAAAAAAAAAATCTTACAAATACCCCATAAACCTTCTTCTTGCCAACTCAGTCAACTACAACCCAAAAAAAGATAACTCCTATACTGACCTCTATTTATATAGATTCATTCCATTAATGAATTAATGTTAATAGGCTGTTAATGAGCTTCATAAAAATAGTATCATGCAGTATATATGCTCCTGCATATGGCTGATTTTATTCAATATTAGGTTTTCAAAATTTATGAGATTCTTGTATATACCTATAGTTCATACTTTATAATTTTAATAGGGGTATTCCATTTTATGAATATATAACTGTGTTATTGGATGATTCATCTGTTTCTAATTTTGGGCTACTATAAATAATGCTAATTGAATATCTTATATATATCTTTTGTTAGACTGAAGTACTCATTGATCTTGAGTATATATACCCAGGAGTGGAATTGCTGGGTCAAAAGGTATGCAAACATTTAACTTCAGTAGATCTCGCCAAAAGAATTTTCAAGATGGTTGTTCAGATTCACATTCACACAACAGTCTATAAGAGTGGTAGTTATTCCACATCTTCTGAAACAATCTTCTGAAACAATCTTCTGTATTAAAATTCTGGATTTAATCTTTCAAATTCTGGATTTAATATTTTTATATTTGTACTATCTTTTTTTATTCTTATTTCCTTTTTTGGCTTTTTTTTTTTTAATCGCTCTGTTGCCCCTGCTGGAGTGCAGTGGTGCCATCTCAGCTCACTGCAGCCTCCGCCTCTTGGGTTCAAGTGATTCTCCTGCCTCAGCCTCCTGAGTAGCTGAGATTACAGGCATGCGCCACCACGCCTGGCTAATTTTTGTATTTTTTAGTAGAGATGGGGTTTCACCATGTTGGTCAGGCTGGTCTGGAACTCCTGACCTTGTGATCCACCCGCCTCGGACTCCCAAAGTGCTGGGATTACAGGCAGGAGCCACTTCGCCTGGCCTTTTTTCCATTTTTAGAATAATTATTTATTTTTCATTTTATTAAAATACTTGTAATTCCTTTTTAGTACTTTTAGTTATCCTACAGAATATTTATTCTAGACTATTGTGGACTACCTTAAGTACCTTAGTTATCCTAGAGGATATAATATTTATTCTCAACTATTGTGGACTACTATTTCTGAAGTATGTTCGTACTTTTTCCACTTCTCCAACAATGTAAGGACCTTAGAGCAGTTGAACACTATTTAGCTACTCCCACTCTTTGTCATATATTTTATTCAACATTTAAACTTTGTAAAAGACAAGTTAATTATATTTATCCTTACTTCTCAGGTTTATTTTCATGGTGAATATTCTTTATAAATTACTTTTCTTTAATATCTTTCAGATTTTTGTATCAATGATTACTGGCTTCCCACAAAAAAATTAAAGTGTTCTTTCTTTTGTATTATTTCCTGAAAATGCTTGTGTAAGACTAGTTCAATTAGTTCCTTAAGTTTTGGTAAGGATTCACCAGGTAATCCACATGTGGTTGGAATTGTGTGTGTGTGTGTGTGTAAAATGTGTTAATCATAAATGTAGTTTCTATAATACATACAGAACTTACTCAGATCTTTAGAACTTCTTGTGCCAATATTTTAAGGCTTTTATTTCAGTTAATTTCATTGCTTCCTCTAATTGTATGCTTCTCTCTGGGATAATTTTTTCTTAGTCTGAAGAACTTTCCTTAGTATTTCTGTAGTTCAGTTCTCCTAGGCAAACATTCTCTCAACAATTACTTGTCTGAATATATTTTACTGCGCTTCACTTTTATGTGCTTTTTCACTGGTTATTAAATTTTAGACTGGCAAATTTGCCCCTCAGCATGTTAAAATGCCATTTCATTGTCTCCAGCTTCTATTGTTTTTGTTGGAATACTTATTTGTGCTCTTTTACTTACTTTTGAGAGTTTTGTTTTGGTTCAGCAGCTTATAATCTGCATAGGTAAAGTTTTATTTGTATTATATTCCTTAGGTTTTGTTAAGTTTCTTGCAAGTAGGTTGATATTCTTTATCAATTTTACAAAATTTTTGACCAACGGCTCTTCCGATATTGCTTCTTCTCCATTCTCTCTCACTTGTCTTTATGTCCAGTTTAGTTATAGTAGATGTTGTGACAGTGCCTTATGTCTTTTTTGTTCTGCTTTATTAAATCTCTTCAGTTGAGATTATTTCTATAGATCAATTTATATTATTTCTATGAATCTCTTTTCAGGTTAACTTGTTTTACTACATTTATTCTAAAGCAAGCCTATTCAGTGACATAAGTTCAATTATTATGTTTCTGTTTTAGAATATCTGTGTGACTTTTTATAGATATTTAAATCTTTGCTGCAATCTCCATCATTTCATCCAGTTTGCCTACTTTTATTATATTAGCAACGGTCATTCTAAATTTGTCTGCTAAATTCTGAACTGTGAATCAGTGAGCTGCGCTTATTGTGCACATGTGTTTTGATTAATACAATTTTTGCCACTTCACATATCTAGACGTTTTTTGTATCATGCTGGACATTGTGTATAAAAGAATAATAAAGTATTCTGGTAATAGTAGTTTTAGAATGTATTCCCACTTTTCTCTATTAAGCAGATAGTGTTGGGAGAAAGTCATTACCAATACAATCAGATATTGGAGCAGTCAGGATTCAGTTTTAGTTTCAGTAAGACTGGCATCTTTGGCTTATCTCTGTTTCTGAAGTATGTTCCTTTTGAGCTTTTGATTGAGAGCTGGTAGGAACTACTTCTCATTAGTCTCAAAAAATGTTGTTGGAGATTAAATTTTAATTTCAGGGGTATTGGGCTTAGCCCTTTAGCATTTCACCCTATTCAGCTTCAAAATCTTAGAAATGTGTTGAACAAGGGAGTTGGCCATGCTTTTGGGGCAGGCTCTCTTCTTTGCAATGAGTTTGTCTCCCAGTTGCTGTGATACTCTTGAAGATTTTATTCTGTCTCTTGAAATCTTCTGGAATAACTCCTCATTCTTGCATATATCACAATAATTCAGTCAATATGCCTCAGGGAAAATATCTTTTGTGTGCCACTGCTTATTTTACCCCTAATCCATATCTGGGCCAGGCCCAATCCTCAGCCTTCACCCATAATTATAAAAGACACTCAGAGAAACAGTCAGTTCACATTGGAAGGTTCATTAATCTATACATTTTTGTGGACCTATTTTGACCTATGCAACTTTCTTGGCATTCACTTTAAGTGCTTTATGCCTAATCAAATGGCCTTTCTTCAATATTTTTCCCAAAGCATCTCAATATTTATAAAATTATACATCTCATGAAGTTTTTAAAGGACTAAAGAGATCTTTCAAACGTACATATAGAATAAAAAGTCATGTTATCTTTGTTTGCATGCTCATCTTGGGAAGGAATGTACTACTCAAGATTTCTTTTTTTTTTTTTTTTTTTTTTTTGAGATGGGGTCTCACTCTGTCACCAGGCTGGAGTGCAGTGGCGCGATCTCAGCTCACTGCAACCTCTGCCTCCTGGGTTCAAGAGATTCACCTGCCTCAGCCTCTTGAGTAGCTGGGATTACAGGCACATGCCACCATGCCCAACTATTTTTGTATTTTTAGTAGAGATGGGGTTTCACCATGTTGGCCAGGAAGGTCTGGATCTCCTGACCTCATGATCTGCCTGCCTCGGCCTCCCAAAGTGATTGGATTACAGGCATGAGCCACGGCGCCAGGATTACTTAAATTAAAAGCATGCTGGAATTGGTTCAACAAGGATTTAAGATGGCTGTTCTAAACAGGTTTTGCTAATGATATTCCGAGTCCTCTGACACAGTAATGAAAGTAAAAAGTTCTTGTTAGTATAATAATCATTCTGAGCTATTAGTAATATATATTATTGAGAAGCTACCCTACGGGTATTTAGAAACCCTGGACAAGGGAGAGGCAGTAGATTTCAACCAACATATTCTGAGGAAGCAGCTTAAAATGTGACAGCATATCTTGTGTTTAGGTCAATTGGTCTAAGGTAACTCAAATGTATAAATCATAAAGCTTTAGAGATGTTCTTGGAGAGAAATGTGTAATAACATAGGTGTCAGGAAAACTACTATGGACCACTCTGTATAAAAGGTGCTGGGAGAGTAATTTACTTTGGCCCGCAAGGCTCAGGTTAACAGAGGGAGGAACAGCAAACAAATCCTGAGAACCATATAGGAGTGAATGACAGACAGGGATACCAGCATCTATTATCAAAGGACCCAGAGGAAACGGGGAAGAATAGAGTGGAGCTGAGTAAGTCAGTGTTCAGTAGGTTTTAAAAGAAGGTAACTATCAAAGGAGAGGAATATTGATCTCAGAAACATCCTTTCACCTGGAGAGTAAAGATGGCATCAGAAGGAGCACAGGCAAATGAAAACCTTGGTCCCTCCAGCATTGTCTTATTTCTTCACAAAGTAAAATTTTGTTGAAGACTCAAATTAGCCCAATAATTTCCTGGCCTGGTGTACATTGTGAAAGATAATATTTCACAGTGTTCTATGGGTGTATTTGTGCTTTTTTCTTTAAAAATACAAAAAAAACAGTTTTTAATTTTCACATGAATAATTCATTATCATTATAAAATTTTAGCCAATATAGAAAACTTTGTGATTAAATAAAAACTTTATACATTTCAATGTTAAACATCCCTCATAGGGCTTTTATCCCTGTTTACTCACAATTTGTTCATGTCCCTGCACCAGGCATGTGCCCTTAGACAGTTGAAACCTACTTAGATGTATCTGCTATTCTAGACCTATATCTGGTGTTTGGATACTTAGTTCGGCTCTTCTAATTCAAGGAATATTAATCTTTAATGCATTGAATCCTGAGTACCATTATGTATGTTTCTGCTTCTTGAACCCTGTTTAAGAGACCCCTATTTAGTTCTATCAGGAGAGAATTTAAACAACAAAAGGAACCTGGTGATGTTTTTAAATAATTGATTTTTTTAAACCCCATATAAGTTCAATTCATATTTTAAAAGTTAATATTCTAATTTATACATTAAGTACCAGTATCTTTTGATACATATATACAAGAGGCAGCATGAAAACCAGTGTTTACTTTTGGTGCAAACTGGCGTCCTTTTAGGGCTGCTCTCACCTGCTTTCACTCATGCTTTCATCCAAGTGTTCAGTATCATACTGTTTTTTAGCTGTTCCCTCCAGCTTTCCTAGAAGTATGCAATCACCCCCCACCTTCCATTATAATTCTTTCTCAATCAGTACTACTTTTCCTTCTGAGTAACTTATCCTTTCTAACCATTAGGAAAAAAATATGGCCAGTTGATTAAACCACTTAAGAGTTGAGTGGAAAGACTTATTCCTCCAAAATTGCACTTAAATATTAACGGAGGAGACTGTCAATTCAGAGCCATCTAAGCACCACGATGGCCTCCTCTTCTATATTGTACCCTGCATTTAAACAGTTTTCATCACATACACACAAATGCACACAGATGCATACCCACATGCACACTCCAACTTTTCCTTTCCATTTCTATTGTTAGTATACTACTTGTTTAAGGCAGTAACACCCCATATGTTTTAATGAGTTTTTTTTCTTTCTCTCCACTCAAATCCATTTTATGATGTAGACCAGGGATTGAGAAGCGTTTCCTGTCCAGGGACAGATAGTAAATATTTTTGACTTTGCAGGTGGCACAGTCTCTGTCAAAGCCATAGACATTACGTAATGAATGAGGACGGCTATATTCCAGTGAAACTTTGTTTACATGAATGAGCTGCAGACTAGATTTGGCCCATCGGCAGTAGTTTGTTGAGCCTGGATCTACATAAATCTTACTGATTGCAGATGTTCTCACATTACTTATTACTTAAAAATAAAATCAATCATCTCATTTCTTCAACAAACTTAAATAATTTGTCCTAAGTGCAAGACATCTATTTACTTGTCCTGTGATTTCACTACAGAATAAGATGTTAAATTTAGGCTGACAATTGAGACACATTTTCCTGTTGTCTTTTTCATATGCTTGCAATCTAGTGAAAATAAACTATTGACTTCTTTATATGTCTAATGAAATATTTTGCTTCCTTTCTAATGCTAATCTCTGTATGTTACTATCCAAAGTCCAACTCACATATACCTTTCCTCAAATGCTAATTGGATGAATTTCTCCATTAGGAAAAATTTCACAACATTCTACTTTGCACTATACCATTTTGAGGGCATCACCATTTTGAGGGTTCATCTCAGTGTCTAGTACAGATAACATAATGTCTTACACATCACAGTTGCTCGGAAAGTAATTGTTAATGCTTAAATAAAACAACTCTGCCAGTGGTTTTCCTACTGACTTGAACTAAAAATCTTGTTCATTTACCACTTCTCCCTCTCCTTTTCTCTCTTTCCCCCTCCCTTTCTCTCTCCCATCTCTCTATCCTCCTCTCACCCCTATTATTGGTAGGTCCTATAAAATCTTACCTTATAGAATCTCACATTTATCTTTTACATCATTCACACTGCTACCATCCAAATTCAGATCTTTCATACCTCTTCATTGGACTATTAAAATAGTCGAATTCCTTTCTGTCATTATCTCCATGCCAAACCATCTTTATTATTTATCTATTTATATGTAACATATCACCCCCAAACTTAGCATTTTAAAACACACATTATTTCAATTTTTGTTGGTGGGAATCCACATGTGGATTAGCTGTGGCCTCTGACTCTCACTCTTTTAAAAGTCTGCAGTCATCTTAAGGCTGGACAGGGAATGATTTATTTGCAGACTCACTCACATAGTTGTTGGCTTTAGTTTTGTGCCAGGTGTTGTGCTGTAAACTCCCTTGGTTCCTTGTCACGTGGGTCTCTCCACAAAGCATCACACAACATGGCAACTCTCTTTATCAAAGCAAGCAAGCGAGAGGGCAAGAGGGAATGCCAGCAAGAGTTGGGGGTGGCTAGCAAGGGGCAAGACATAGTTCCTTGTTAGCTAACCAAGGAAGTAACACCGCATTACTTTTGTTGAATTCTGTCTCTTACCAGCAAGGCACCAGGTCCAGCTCATACTCAAGAAGGGGAGATAATACAAGATATCGGGAGGTGGAATCAGAAACATGGGAGCTGTGTCAGAAGCCACCCATCCCACCACTCCAGATAGTTATCACTTTCTTCTATTATGTTATTTTTTTCTCCTTAAAATACTTAAATGACCTAGAGTAGTGGTCTCTACAGTTTTTTTTTTATCCTGCTCTTCACTCCCAGAGTATATTAGTTGATGCAGCAGTTTGTCTCTCTTCATTATCACCAAACTCACACATAATTCATGCATGTGGTAGAGATGCTCTGTGTATGCATAAGTCTGACTCTTCAGAATCCCTGTTATTGACATGTGAGTGACTATTGCTATCCATGAGCCATTGAATTTCTACTATCCTCATTCTCAGTGGTCAAAAGGGTTGATTGCTTTCTACTCTCTACTTCTCATTGTCACCTGGCTTCTGTAACAATGTTCCTGCCTATACTTTTTTCCTTTTTGCAATGTCATTTTCTGCTTTCTTGTGTAATTTCAAGTAAAAAGAACTTTTTTAAAACAGTTTCTACCATGGGGTCCTCCTGAACAGTGTGACTTCTCTGCCCAAAACAGTTGTAACGTCCAGCTGTTTTCAGTAATTTTTCCTAGTTGGAGCTCAAAGAATAACACGAGAGAACTAATTTTTTTTTCATTCTGTCCAGACTAAGATGGGAGGGCTGATAATTCTGTTAAACTATTGCAGGGATTGCTAAGATTTTATTGCATGAATACGTCTGTCTTTCTTTGGATGCCTTTTTTTTTTAAAGCACAAAGTTAACTGTAATAAGGATGGTTATTTATATTGTTTATTTATATGTACCTTTGAGATTTCAATTTTTGTTAAATGAATATTTATTAAGTCATTATGCACTAGAAAACAGAGAAAACTGAAAACAAAAACCTAAATTGCGAGGATTTTTCAGTACTACTGTAACTATATGCAAACTCAAAGCAGTTTTTTTGTGTTCGGTGGCGCTCTGAAATCCTCTTCTGGATACCTTGCCAAGTCCAGTATTGTGGAAGATGGCGTTATGGTCCAGATCACTGCAGAGAACATGGATTCCTCGAGGCAGGCACTGCTAGAGACGAGGGACTTCAGCATCACCTGTGGGAAGGCAGACGCGGAGGATCCCCAGGAGCGCATGCACATCCGGTGGGTGGATGATGACAAGAACGTTAGCAAGGGTGTCTAAGTCCTATAGATGGGAAGTCCATGGAGACTATAACAAATGTGAAGATATTCCACGGATCAGAATACAAAGCAAATGGAAAAGTCATCATATGGACAGAGGTGTTTTTTCTAGAAAACGATTCCCAGGATTTCCTAGAAATCCTAGTGCTGGGATTACAAGGAAACGATGACCGGCACAATTGCCTCAGTGATCCTACGGATCACAGTAGATTGACTGAGCATGTTGCCAAGGCTTTTTGCCTTGCTCCTGAAGCTTCTGAAGGAGGATGGAATGACCAAACTGGGACTACGTGTAACACTTGACTCAGATCAGGCTGGCTATCAAGCAGGGAGCAGCGGCCAGCCCCTTCCCTCGCAGTCCATGAATGATTTGGACAGCGCCTTGGTGCCGGTGATCCATGGAGGGGCCTGCCAGCTCAGTGAGGGCCCTGTCGTCATGGAACTCATTTTTTATATTCTGGAAGCCGGGCGCGGTGGCTCACGCCTGTAATCCCAGCACTTTGGGAGGCCGAGGCGGGCGGATCACAAGGTCAGGAGATGGAGACCATCCTGGCTAACACGGTGAAACCCCGTCTGTACTAAAAAATACAAAAAATTAGTTGGGCGTCGTGGCGGGCGCCTGCAGTCTCAGCTACTTGGGAGGCTGAGGCAGGAGAATGGCGTGAACCCGGGAGGTGGAGCTTGCAGTGAGCTGAGATCGCGCCACTGCACTCCAGCCTGGGCGACTGAGCAAGACTCCGTCAAAAAAAAAAAAAAAAGTTAGATTAACCTTTTGTTAACACTATTAATTGGGCGGGGAATAGGGTGGGAGTGGGGGTTTGGGGGATGGGTGGGAAAGGGTGGTTGGGGGGACAGATGTTCCATAATTCTAAGTCTTTTTTCTATGCACTCTCCACCAAGAAGATCTGGGCAGCTTCTGTTCCTGCACAACAGTTATGCTATCCTTACAGGTAATCCCCTTCTGTTAGTGTTTAGACAATAATTCCACTCCTCTCTCAAGATTTACTTACGGTCATGTGCCCCGAAATGCTCAGATGGGCACAACCATCACCAAAGGTGGGATGGGAGAGCAGAGGGGAAATAAAATATGAAGCATCAGTTAAAAATAATAATACTAATAATTTGAAAAATGTTTAATGAAGACATAACTTTGTAGAAAAAGGCACACCTAAAGAAGGTTATTCAAGACAAAATTAAGAATATATTTGCTAATATATGCTTTGAATTAATTTTTGATGTTTCTTATGTATATATTTAAAAAGCAAACGTATGAATTTTAATCATTTTTTATTCATAGGAAATGTATAGGGGTTCATAAATTTTGTCACTATACTTCTCTGACCTTATATATTCAGTTTTGTCCCCTTGTTTACAATCTGACTGAGCTGTAAAGGTGTAACCATTAACCAATCAAAGTGAACATTAAAAGGTCAGTGCATTACATATTTTAGCTGCTTCCCAAAAAAATGGGTAAGGCATTCAAATTTTGGCATATTTTTGCAAGTCCAAACTTGTAAAATAAATCTGTGATTACATAAATGAGACTGGCTCCCTGTAAAATTTGTAAAAAACATGAGAAGGAAGTTCAATTCCCTGTCTTTCCCTTTTTATTATATTTTAAAGTCAGTCTCCAAAATTCTAGTAAGTTGATATAGGAAGTACTCCAGTTATCAATGTCATAACAACCTTATAAATATTTTCCAGGCTGCAAGTTTCAAAATAAGAACTTCCTTCCTATTTACAAATTAGCACATGGACATACTTTGGAATTATTTGTGGGTATCAAATAACTTTTTATTTTTGCAAATATTTGTATCAATAACTTCTTTCCTGCCTCAGCCTCCCAAAGTAACTGGAATTACAGGTGCCCACCACCAAAACCAAAGAGTGTTTATTTATTTTTTATTTTTTTTTATGTAGAGACAGGGTTTCTACATGTTGGCCAGGCTGGTCTCAAACTCCTGACCTCAGGTGATCCCACCTTTCTCGGTCTCCCAAAGTGCTAGGATTACAAGCATGAGCCACCCCACCCAGCCAGTGTCAATAACTTCTATCATGACAATTATCCATTTTGGCCATCAGTTATTTGTAAATAAGTGATAAGACATTTTGCCCTCATATCTATTTGTGATCAAAGGAAAACCAGTACCAAAGAATATTTATTTTCTGCATGATCAATGTGATTGGAACATATATAGTGTCTATATTCTTTGTTATTAGTGTGAAAAATAAGCAAATAATTTGTGTTTTAAATCATTTGTAAAAATTGTTTTTGTTGCCAATATATTTTAACCATTCTGAAGAGAAGGCTAAAAAAGATTTTTGCGTCTTTTTTTTTGAGATGGAGTCTTGCTCTGTCACCCAGGCTGGAGTGCAGTGGCGCGATCTCGGATCACTGCAAGCTCTGCCTCCCGGGTTCACGCCATTCTCCTGCCTCAGCCTCCCGAGTAGCCGGGACTACAGGTGCCCGCTGCCACGCTAATTTTTTTGTATTTTTAGTAGAGGCGGGGTTTCACTGTGTTAGCCAGGATGGTCTCAATCTCCTGACCTCATGATCCACCCTCCTTGGCCTCCCAAAGCGCTGGGCTTACAGGAATTAGCCACCGTGCCCGGCCAGGTTTTTGCCTTTATAAGAACGAATGTAAGGAATAAAATTAGATGGCTAAAAATGGGGGATTGGGGAGGGGAAGACTGGCCTATTGATTAGGAGAAGGCCAGGAGTAAAGTCTGCCAGTAACATTAAAGATATGAAACCATAACCTTTGTTATACAATTTTATCCATTGCATAACAGCAATGGATGCTGTTTCTGTGCTGAATGGAAGGTGAGGTCATAGCAAGAAAGCTGCCTACAAGGCCTCATTTACAGGGAAGTTTTGAGAAGCTGGAGAAAATCTGAGAAAAAGCATATATGATGGTTGGAATTAAACCATCTACAGAAAGTATGTTCTAAGGTGTTAGGATAAGCACCTAATTAAGCACCAGCAGGCTGAAGCAAGCAGAGGCGTCATCGGAGCTACGTGTTCACACCGTGCTGGGACTGAGAAGAAGCTGAAGGCAGTATCTCTTCAGAAGTTTCAGGCATCCGGGCATTTGAGAGGCCAAGAAGTCTGTGGCTGCTAAAAGCAAAAGGGCCAGCAGATTTAAAAAAATAAATAAATAAATAAAAATAAAAAACGTTGATTTTTAAAATCTAGAAAATGTCACTGCGAGCGCAAGGTAAATTGTCACTGCAAAGATAAAAGGCACCCTCATTTCCTAAGCTTCCTGTTCTCCACATACAATTTATTTTTTAAGATTTCTGGGCAAAAGTAATTACTGCTTGATCTGCATCGAAAACTATTTTAATTGCTATATTTCAGTATAGCATGTGATATGTGGAGCATTGCTGCTATCACTGGGCGAATGTCAGAGTCAGTAGATGTGTGATTTGTTGCAAGTTACTTCTAGCAAAGGCTGAACTGAAGTTTCTTTCTTTTCTGACCTTGATTATGATAATTGAATGAGGTAATTGGATGAAAATATCCTTACTTTCATTTCAACCTTAATTTTTTCCTTAAAAATTTTATAGGCAAATACATTTGCCACTTTCCTCACCTTTCAGCAATTTTTTCAGAAAATAACACACTTTTCATTTGGCCATTATCCTATTTAAAAGGAGCCATGAATATCTTGCGAATGAGAGAAAAGGAGGTCAGGCACGAATAAGATGTGATGACATTTGGAAGTCTGAAAGCGAATAGAATTGTCCTGACAGTCTAGCTAAGGAGAAGAGACACACCACTCTGAGTACTCACAATGCCAATGTAGTGGCAGTTTTTCCAAAAATCACTATGGATGATAAGAACTGGGAAGAGAAGCAGAAATCAAGAAGATTGAAAAGTTGCATATGGCAACAGCTATGTGGGTCAACCTTCCACATACTTCCCCTATCGCTTCCGTTGCCTATAGCCTTTGCACAAAGGATAAAGTCACATAAATATTCTTGAGAACAACACGATTTGTCCAGAAAAGGCTCAGTGAGACATAGCTGAATGATAGTTAGATTTGACGGGTTAATTTAGCAATTACTTGTGTGACTTCTCATCAAAGAGCAGATGTGAGTTACAGCATCATCATAAATGATGGTGAACAGATGCAGACCTGAACCAGAACTTCCACCCAACCCCCACAAACGTGTCTCCCCACTGTGTGACTAAGCCCATCGTCTCTGGAACAACTGGTAGGAAAGTGTGAGTGGGATCATCAAATCAACTACAAGAAAATCGAACAAAGGATTCTGAAGAGTAGAACTGAGGTTACAACAGAAATGTATTCAATAATACGGAAAATAATTATGTCTATCTTTTTAAAAAGAAGAAATACTAGTTTTACTTGGACATATGTGGTTGAAGGAGAGGGGCTGTGGGCATCTATCCTCCCCTTCAATGGCAAGGTATCAGTAACTGCTCAAAAGAAGAACTAGTGGTCTTTTCAGAAACTTTACTGTTGGGATTAAAAAGTATGCTAGTGGACAGGAAATAATATTACCACAATGATTTCAAGATGAATTAAAAAGGCAAATGTTGAAAGCTAAATTTCAAATTCATTTGAATATGAATTGATATTTACATAATCTGGAGTGAGGCAGAGCCTGCATAGAGCTGGACACCATAAGGGAAAGGACTATAGATTAACTAGATAAAATTTCACATCGCAATTTTCCAAACAAAATTTTATCCTGTTTAGTAAACATCACTTAAACACAATTTTAACATTATAAATATATCTGCACATATACATGTACAAATGTGTTATTTATGTAGAAAGAGTTAAAACAGATCAACAGCAAAACATGCATTTTTGTACATAAGTGATTAACAAGGGAGGGTAATGTGCTTCTTTTTTCAAAAATAGTCACTAGCTTGGGCACAGTGGCTCACACCTATAATCCTAGCACTTTGGGCAGAAGTGCTTGAATCCAGAAGTTTGACATCAGCTTGGGCAACATAGCGAGACACCAACTCCACAAAATTTTTTTTTTTAAAAAGCCAGGCATGGTGGCACACACCCGTAGTCCCAGCTACTCAGGAGGCTGAAGCAGGAGGATTATGTGAGCTGGAGGTCGAGGCTGCAGTGATCAATCAGGCCACTGAACTCCAGCCTGGGTGACAGACTTCATCTCCAAAAACAAAAAATAGTCATTAAAAAGAAAGGCCCTGCTGCAAAAGAAGAAAGGCAGTGGATTTGTCATACAGTCTAACTTTTATGAAGAGTTTACTTACTGCTACTTTTAAAGGGTATCTTACAGTCTGTAAATTGGCAGATGGAATAATGACTTGTACTTCCCTCTTATGAGTAATTAAAGCAGCTTATTTTTGTTCAGTGCTTCAACACCTTCATTTACTGTCTGATTAGACAACTTTTCTAGAATCTGCTATCTGCAAACCCTCCTCTCATATGCAGATCTACAACGTGTGAATATAACATTCCTGATTATATCATGACCACTCCCAGTGGGCTCTGCTGGTAGCTTGTTTTGTATAGGTATAGATCCAGTGCTGTTTCCTCTTTATTCTTTTTATTGAGCACTCTTATACATATATGGTTATGCAGAGATAACACACTGTCAATACAAAGATTTTCAGAATTTATTTGACAAAATGACACAAAACTAAAAATATCATTTACACATGAAATTCAAAGAACGCATTATTTTTCCTTACAAAATTGTGGAAAAATTAATTCAGATAGTAACATAGAACTAGTTCTAAAACTAAAATGCTAGTGTGAATGTATATAGGAGATATGGTTTGACTGTGTTCCTACCCAAATCTCATCTTGATTTTTAGTTCCCACAATTCCCACATGTTGTGGCAGGGACACAGTGGGAGGTAACTGAATCACGGAGGTGAGTCTTTCTCATGCTGCTCCCATGAGACTGCATAAGTCTCATGAGATTGGATGGTTTTATAAAGGGGAATTCCCCTGCACACATGCTCTCTCTCTTGCCTGCCACCATGTAAGATGTGACTTTGCTCCTCATTCACCTTCTGCCATGATTGGGAGGCCTCCCCAGCCATGTGGAACTGTGAGTCAATTAAACCTCTTTACTTTATAAATTACCAGTCTTGGGTATGTCTTTATTAGCAGTGTGAGAACAGAGTAATAGAACAGGCAAAATGAAGGAGTTTATTTTAAACCTGCTTTAAATTATTTCGTGGTTAAAGTATTTAAAACCTTTTCTTCTATTTTTAGGAAAACAATGAGAAAGCTAAACACAGGTCTAACTTGTTATTCAACTAAAAATTATTTTAAAAATATTTGAGTACTGACTTCTGGCACCAGCCAAGACAAAGCATGCTCACCAAGGCCTATTTCTCTTTCTGACTGAAATTAAAACTCTGGACATAAAAAGCAACTATCAAGGACTCTTAAAAGTAAACAATAACAGATGGATTGAAGGCAAAATCAAAATACCAATAGTGACCTGTAACAGGGGTGGGTTTAATGGCTATTTTTTTTTTTTCTAACCCAGGTGTGCAAAATTTCTACTGTTTTTAGCTAGAGAACCAAGAATGAAGCCTCTGCAAGATGGAGCATATGTAGAGTGTTGGGAGCAGGCCCCCCAAAATCTGGCCATAAACTGGCCATAAATAAAATCTCTGCAGCACTGTAACATGTTCATAATGGCCCTAACACCCATACTGGAAGGTTGTGGGTTTACTGGAATGAGGGCAAAGAACACCTGGCCTGCCCGGGGTGGAAAACCGCTTAAAGGCATTCTTAAACCACAAACAATAGCATGAGTGATCTGTGCCTTAAGGACATGCTCCTGCTGCAGTTAACTAGCCCAACCTATTCCTTTAATTCGGCCCATCCCTTCGTTTCCCATAAGGGATACTTTTAGTTAATTTAATATCTATAGAAACAATGCTAATGACTGGCTTGCTGTTAATAAATACGTGGGTAAATCTCTGTTTGTGGCTGAGCTCTGAAGGCTGTGAGACCCCTGATTTCCCACTTCACACCTCTATATTTCTGTGTCTATGTCTTTAATTCCTCTAGCACCGCTAGGTTAGGGTCTCCCTGACCGAGCTGGTCTCGGCATAGAGAAATAATTCTTTTGTTTTTCTCTTTCTTCCCCACCCAGCCTTGCCTGGAAGCCAGCTCTGGTTCTGAAGCTGCTGTCATGATACTAGCTGTGTAGTGGCAGCAATGCACAGGCACTGAGAACTTCAAGAGAGACAATCTCTCTCATTATTTCTCTTTAAAGAAAAAAAAAGGGGGGTACAGACACTTATGAGAAAACAAAAACACATGAAGACAAATATAAAAATACAATACTAAGATATCAAATCTAGCAATATTTAAAAACAATACTTTACAAACAAGTGATTTATACCATGAATGCAAGGCTGGTTCAACATTCAAAGCTCAACAGATATAAATTGCAACATTATTAGGTAGATGAAGAATAAACGTGTCATTTCAGCAGATGCAGCAAAAGCATTTGACAAAATTCAATAGCTATTCTTTATAAAAACTCTCAGCAAAATGAGAAAAGGGAACTTATCCTGATAGAGGGCATCTACAAAACAAACAAAAAAAAAACAAACAAAACTACCACTAAATTACACTTAATGGTGACTCTCCAACTGATTTAAAAACTGGGTCCAAGGCAAGAAGTCAGATCTTTTACCACTTATATTCAACTTTATACTGATAGTCCTAGCCAGATCAGTAATGTAGGGAAAAAAATCAGTGACATCCACATCAGAAAGGAAGAAATAAACCTGTTTCTATTTTCAGACAACAGTCTATGTAAAAGTATTCAAAATAACCTATTAAAATGCTCAATATGCGAGTTTAGTAATGTGGTTATATGCAAACTCAATAAACAAAATCAATCATATTTCTATATATTACCAAACAACGTTTGGAAATAGAAACATACAAAAAATTATTTAGAATGACATAAAAAATAAAGTGTTTATGTATAATTTTACAAAAATATGTGCACAATTGGTATTTTTCCTCCCAAGTAGCTGGGACTACAGGCATGCACCACCATGTCCAGCTAATTTTTGTATTTTTAGGAGAGCTGGGGTTTCACCATGTTGCCCAGCCTGGTCTCAAATTCATGGTCTCAAGCAATCCGCCCGCCTCAGCCTCCCAAAGTGCTGGGATTATAGGCATGAGCCACTGTGCCAGACTCCCTATTTACTTTATTTTAAAAAACCTATTTACCTGTAGATAAATGTTTGAGGTGATAGATACGCTAATTACCCTGATTTGATCATTCCATATTATATACCTCAAAATATCACACTATACCTCATAAATATGTACAATTATGTGTCAATTAAAAATAAAACCAAAAAATTATTTTTTCAACCTTCATAGTAGCTTTTTTTTAATTAAAGGAATTTATCTCTAATAATAAAGTCAAATAGAACAAAAATTACAGACTGAGGATCATTTTGTGGAGGAAATACAAATGTAGGCCTGGAACAGAGGGCATAAAAAAATAACATCATCCTCTTAAGTATATACTTTAAAAAAAAAGAAAAAAGAAAGTTGTAGATATCAAAAAAAAACAACAACACATTTTACTTTTAACTGGGCACTTTCACTACACTTATATCACAATGCTGCCTGGATAACATTTTAAAGAATTGTTTATTACAAATGAGAGGAAATGCCAGCTAAAGTCAAGGGAGTTGAACAGTTTTCAGTTTTCCCTGCCAATCTAAACCACCAGTGCCAGTAAGGACTACTCAGTGAAGAGTGCAGAGCAGGAACCCAAGCGTGTTGTGATGTTAAAAACAGCAGTTATTTTATATCATGGGTTTTGAATCACTGATATTCTATTTTTGTTGTTGCTTTTTATTGATATACCAGAAATAATGTTATTTTTTAAATGTTTCATGTTCTGAATGACCTGTTCTTAATACTTTCCTCTTTAGAGCGGTCTTCATTTATTTCCCCAGAAGTGTAGATGAGGTGATTGTTTATAGAACTTACATCTTTAAATGCTCTCAATCGTTGGAGTGTTTGACGTTCTTGGTTGACCCATTCTTTTTTCTTTTGCTCCTTTTTATCTTGTCTCTTTTCTATATTTAAGCAGATGTATATTTGTAAATTGCTCAACATTACAAAAATGTGTGGCATACAATAAAAATGTCCTGACAAAGAAAGAGGCTGTACCCCAACATTACCACCCCAAGACTGCGCCCAGACTGCAGGCCTGGAGGTGAATTGGCTGACAGCTGCAGGTCCAGGGCAGCGCAACTCCAGTTTCCACAAGTCTAGGCCTGCATGTCACGCTACACAAACATAGAACATTTTCCTTCGGAGGACACTCACCATCTGAATACTGTGATGCTGACGAGAATATCTTATGCTTTCTTCAGCCTGTTGCAATCTGAGCCAATGATTTTCTTTGCACTGATCCTGGTGGAATAATACAAATCACCTACATGGTTTTTAGTGTTACCCTGGTATAGCATAAAAGGTTAAAAGAAGAAAGCACTGCATTTGGGCGTAGTGTAAGGCATTCATTAATATTAGTTCTGGTGCGGCCCAATGGTACTCTCCTCCACAGTCTATGATGAGAGTTGCCTGGCTGCTTATGGAAATAATTTGTTCCCAGCAGAGTGCTTTAAGAGGTGAAAACAATCCGCCAACCATGAGAGGACACACAGGCAGCCCCCATTCTTAAATGGGATGTGTCCCAACAATGTTTTAATGTGATTGTTTTAAACACATTTCCCCATAACATTATAAATACTAATTACATTTCCAAGCATACCTACAAACGCAGAGCAACTGAAAAATTGTTATAACTGTGTTTCACCTGTGCTTAACCACTCACTATACCAATATATAATATGCTATACATACATAAAATCCTTAATCTATGTAAAAAATAATACAGTAATACTCACAGATAATACTAACATTTATTGAGTAGGTTTTAGCTTCAGTGATAAATACTTTTCATGCCTTATGCTACTCTATCGTCACATGAAATTTGTATTATTACCACTATCTTTTTTTTTTGAGACTGAGTTTTGCTCTTGTTGCCCAGGCTGGAGGAGTGCAATGGCATGATCTCGGCTCACTGCAACTTCCGCCTCCTGGGTTCAAGCGATTCTCCTGCCTCAGCCTCCCAAGTAGCTGGGATTACGGGTGCCGTGCCTGATCTATCATCCTCTTTTAACAGAGGAGAAAACTGTGAGCCCAAAAGAGATTTAAGTAATTTGCCTAATGTCACATGACTACTACCTAAGTGGCCAGACTGCGATCTGAACCCAAGTTGAGAGCTCACCTCAACTACCATTCTATTAACCGAGTGCCTTCCAAATTCCAACATTTCCAGAATCAGTGGAAAGAGCTCCTCTAAATGGGGTAGGGGGAGTGATTATATCTTGAGAGTGAAGGTTAATGCTCCAAGTCTGGATAAGAGAAGGCACAGGAGCATTTTATATACATATACATATAACACTGCCAAGGAGGTGGAGGCATCTGTTCATCCACAGCACCATGGGAGTGCCAAAGGAGACTCCTCTTGGGGCTCATGGGTTTTCTGAAATGTGGAGCAAAGGGCAAATGCCTGTAGATCTTCAAATCCTCTGAATAACAGTTCCTAAATCCAGAAGTACAATTCTTAAACACGAACATGCAAAGAATATACTCTTCTAACAAATTTTTTTATTTTTAATTTTTATTAGAGACAGGGTTTTGTTCTATCACCCTAGCTGGAGTGCAGTGGTACAATCACAGCTCACTGAGGCCTCAACCTCCTGGCCTCAAGCAATCCTCCTGCCTCAGCCTCTTGAGTAGCTGGGACTATACGTGCGCACCACAGAGATGAGGTCTCCCTGTGTTGTCCCTGGTCTCGAACTTCTGGCCTTAAGTGATTCTCCCACCTCAACCTCCCAAAGTGCTGGGATTACAGCCATAAGCCACAGCACCTAGCCAAGTTTTTTTTAAGTATTTGTATTTACATGGAAGAGTAATTAACATTTTTGTAAGCTACAAAAGTCACAATTTTCATGTTTTCTTAATTCTAACAAGAAAAGTATAGTAGGCTCGGCACAGTGGCTCACGCCTGTAATCCCAGCACTTTGGGAGGCTGAGGCAGGTGGATTGCTCGAGGTCAGGAATTCAAGGCTAGTCTGACCAACATGGTGAAACCCCGTCTCTACTAAAAATACAAAAATTAGCCAGGCTTGGTGGCAGGCACCTGTAATCCCAGCTATGCAGGAGGCTGAGGCAGCAGATTCGCTTGAACCTGGGAGGTGGAGGTTGCAGTGAACCGAGATCACGCCACTGCACTCCAGCCTGGGAGACAGAGCAAGACTGCGCATCAAAAAAAAAAAAAGGGAGAAAAGTATAGTAAATATGAGTAAATACAAATAAAAGTCTGTATAAAAATGATATATAGAAGCTTCCTTTTCTGTCAGAAAAAATTAAATTTCTTAGTGTTATCTTTTTATGTATTCATGGATTTTTAAAAATTAAGAAAAAAAATCACCAAATACAAGGTCTGAGGTGAGCTGAATATTGTTATCTGTAATTGTTTTGTGTACTAAAATATATTTAGAATTATTATAGCTGGTTATTAGAAATGGAGTTTCTACCTATTGTGGTTTTTAAAGTACCTGTGGTCCGGGGGTGGTGGCTCACACCTGTAATCCCAGGACTTTGGGAGGCCAAGGTGGGCGGATCACTTGAGGTCAGGAGTTCAAGACGAGCCTAGCCAACATGGCGAAACCCCGTCTCTACAAAATATACAAAAATTAGCTGGGCGTGGTGGCACGTGCCTGTAAACCCAGCTACTTGGCAGGCTAAGGCACGAGAATTGCTTGAACCTAGGAGGCAGAAGTTGTAGTGAGCCAAGATCATGCCTCCGCACTCCAGCCTGGGTGACAGAGCAAGACTCTGTCTCAAAAAAAATAAAAATAAAGTGCCTGTGTATGCAGTGGGAATTCAACAAATAGTTGTTGAATGAATAAATTAAAACCTTGAGATTTGCTAAATGCTTAAAACCCAAAAGAAAAAAATAATATTTTTAAGAAAAATATTAAAAATCATTTTAACTATAGCCATGGATAAGTTCATAAGCACACAAAAAATTAATCACTGTGTTGGTAAAAACCTTATTTCAATACCTCTTTATCCTTCATACAAGAATAAATCTCTGGAAGAGAAAAGAAAAGAAAGCTGCTCTGAGCGTACCCACCTTTCTACTCTGGAGAGAAGCTCTTTTGACACAGATCCTGCCCCGTTTAATAGACTCCAGCTGCTGGCACTGCCTTCTGAGTTCTTTCACTTCCGAATTCTTATCGTCCTGCAGCCCCACCACAGTCAATGACTAAGTTCCTCTGGACTTTCACATGGATCGTAATAGACAACTTCATCCTGTTTTTCTAAAAAGGTATTAATGATTGTTTAAAACATATTTTATTATTTGTAAAAATACATTGAATTTTTTTAAATGTAAGGAAAATAAAGATCACTTGTAATCCCACCACTGAGAACCACTATTAACATATAAAAAATCTATGTGTATAAATGTAATATACATATACACATGTGTATATATACATGACTATACACATGTATGTAAGTAGCATGTGTGTATATACATGTAAGTAGTATATGCATGTATATATACCTGTATAGACATACGTATATATACACATGCACACACACACACATACTACTTACATAGCTACACGTATCAATGGAGTTCTAAAAGAACACTTTCCATGGGATGGAAATAAATTTTTAGGCCAGGTGCGGTGGCTCACGCCTGTAATCCCAGCACTTTGGGAGGCCAAGGCAGGCTGCACACCTGAGGTCAGGAGTTCAAGACCAGCCTGGCCAACATGGCAAAACCCCATCTCTACTAAAAATACAAAACTAGTTGGGCACAGTGGCGTGTGCCTGTAATCCCAGCTACTCAGGAGGCTGAGGCAGGAGAACAGCATGAACCTGGGAGGCAGAAGTTGCAGTGAGCCGAGATCGTGCCACTGCACTCCAGCCTGGGCAACAGAGCAAGACTCCATCTCCAAAAACAAAAAAAAATTAAAAAAGATAAATTTTAATGGCAGCATAGTATTCTCTAATTTAAGCAATCCATGTTGTTAGGCTGTTCCAATGTTCCATTATTATTCATTTCACTGTGATGAACATCTCTGTATAAATCTTTGTGTATGCTTTTTATCACTTCCTTAGCAGATAAGTGTTTAAGGATCTTGATACCCATTGCCACACTGCCCTCCAGAAAGGCAACTTATATTCTACCAGCAATATATTATTAAGATGCCTTAGTGATATTTAATCTTGATTACATATTGATTTTTTAAAAGTCATGCTTACTGTAACAAATTCAAACCCACCCGAAGTACATCAAATAAACAGTGAAATTCTATTGCTCCTTCCCCAAACCTTCTGAGTCATTCTCAGAGGAAAAACATTATGAACAATTTGGCATGCATCCTTCCAGATTAACTTGTTTTTTAATGTAATTTTTTTCCTAAATATGTAAAATGCTTATAACCTGAAACTACTGAAAAAAATTCTGAATACTCAGGATTAAACTAAAAGTTCAGGATCTATGTGAAGAAATTTATTAAACTTGGAGGAACTTTAGGAAAAAAGATTTAAATAAATGGAGAGAGACATACCAAGTTCTTGGGTAGGAAGATTCAAAATTGCAAAGACCACTATTCTCCCCAAAGTAATCTCTAATTTTAAGCAAAATCACAATCAAAATTCCAAAGAGTTTTTTGTTTTGAACTTGATTCTAAATTTCATCTGGAAGAATAAACGAGTGAAAATAGTCAGAAAACTTGTGAAGTAATGTGGGGGGTACTTGCCTTACCAGACCCTAAAATGTGCCTCCAAGACAGTCGTGGGAACAGTATGGAGCCAGCAGCAGAAGCCACTCACGAACCAATGGAGGAGAACAACTCAGAAACAGACCCAAGTCAATCTAAGGTTTAACTGGAGAAATGTTAAACATTTAGGGAAAATGTTTTTAAAATCAGTGATTGGGACTGCTTAACAATTTGAGGGAAAGGTTCAATTCCTACCACAATCAAAATAAATTCCACCTGGACTAAAGAATTAAATGTTTTAAAAAATAACATCATAAACATACTGAAAGAAAACATAAGTATATATTGACATAATTTTGGGATAGGAGACTATTGCCAGACATAATACTAAAAGCAGAAGCCATAGGGGAAAAAAATCGATAAACACGACTTCATAAAACTTAAATATTTCTGAAAGGCAAGAAAACGCAAATGACAAGGAGAGATTATTTGCAACATATGACAGACAATAGAGGACATTATTCTTAATGTTGAAAGGAAATATTCCAAAGAAAAATGGACAAAGACTATGAATAGGCATTTCATAAAATAAGTACAAATGGCTTGTAAACATACAAAATTTTGTTCAATAATCACTCATAATTAAATAAATGAAAATTGGAAGACTGCCATTTTCTCTGTCAAGTAAGCAAAAATGCAAAAGAATGGCATGAGTCTGGGAAACATACACACTCATATTCTGCTGATGGGAGCGTCTTTTTTCTTTTCTTTTTTTTTTTGAGACAGAGTCTTACTCTGTCGCCCAGGCTGGAGTGCAGTGGTGCCATCTCAGCTCACTGCAATCTCAACCTCCCAGGTTTAAGCGATTCTCCTGCCTCAGCCTCCCAGGTAGCTGGGATTGCAGGCACCCACCACCACGCCCGGCTAATTTTTGTATTTTTAGTAGAGACAGGGTTTCACCACGTTGGCCAAGCTGGTCTTGAACTCCTGACCTCAAGTGATCTGCCCCCTCTCAGCCTCCCAAAGTGCTGAGATTACAGGCGTGAGCCACCACGCCCAGCCTGGGAGCGTCATTTTAAATGTACGACCTATCTAGAGGGCCACTACATAGTATGAAATTTAGAAATCAGAAAATAATACGGAGGTGAGGAAAAATGTATCTCAGATGACTGCTGTATTGTTACGTAGCAAAATGTAAAATATACATTGCCCTTGACCCAGTAATTCCATCCTTAGATATTTATTCCAAGGAGATAATCTGTCCTATACTCAAAGACATGTGTAAAGGAAAGTTCACTACACTACTGTTCAAAACAGCGGAAATTTGGAAATCACGGTATATCCATATAATGGAATACTATGCAGCCATTAAAATTTTGATACTTTTATTATTTCTGAAACAGAAAGACAATTATTATGTATTAAATGAAAAAGAGACTATTATGCATTGTATGCCTGTGTCAAAATATCTCATGTAACCCATAAATATATGTATCTGCTATGCACCCCTAAACATTAAAAAATTTTAAAAAAGATGTTACTGAACTGGTTATGTAGTTTTGGTTAAAAATTTATATTTTTACATATCAGCATATTTTGAAATCTACAAAGTTATACAGCAAATTGTTACCACTAAGTATCCGTCTTTTTTTTTTTCTTTTTTAGACGGAGTCTTGCTCTGTCTTCTAGGCTGGAGTGCAGTGGCACGATCTTGGCTCACTGAAACTTCCACCTCACGGGTTCAAGCCATTCTCCTGCCTCAGCCTCCCAAGTAGCTGGGATTACAGGCACGTGCCACCACATTGGACTTTGTATTTTTAGTAGAAACAGGGTTTAGTATTTTTGTATTTTTAGTAGAGACGGGGTTTCACCATGTTGGTCAGACTGGTCTGGAACTCCTGACCTCAAGTGATCTGCCCGCCTCAGCCTCCCAAAGTGCTGGGATTATAGGCCTGAGCCACTGTGCCCAGCCAACCATTGAGCATCTCTAGATGATGGGATTGGGGTAATAATCATTTTTCTTTCTTTGTTTTGCTATGTGCTAACAATGAATATATTATTTGAATAATAAACCACTGAAGGAAAACTTTAGGAAATTTTCAGATGTTACAGTTTACAAAAAGTAATTGATAATATGGTCTGTATTTCCTTAAATTTATAAACATTGTAATCTATATACTTAAATAAAAACTTTACCTTTTATAAGTCTTTCAAGAGAGTCCAACTGTGTAGTAAGCAGTATTTCTTTGTTTTTTAATATCTCAAATTTAACTTCATATAGTTCTAACTGAATTTCATAAAATTGTATTTCTAATTCATCTACAACATTTATATTTTTTTCTTGTTCTGGAAGATCTTCCATCTTATTTTCATAGAAAAAAGAAAAATAAGTTAAAACAAATAGTATATTAAAAACAAACTTTAGAAGCATTCTAGCTATTTTCTATTCCTTGTTCCGTACTAAATATAAAAGAGCAAATAGGAAAGAAACACTTTTTCATTTCATCTAGTGATGCTAATACTTTATCCCATCCTTGAAACAGAGAAAAACATTTAGGTTTTGAGAAACATAAATGGCAATGAGGTATTATTATGTATTGCATATCGGTGTCCCCCCAAAATTCATATGTTGACACTGTAACTCCCAATGTGATGTTATTTGGAGGTGGGTCCTTTGGAAGTAATTAGGTTCAGATTATGTCAAAAGGATAGCACCCCCATCATGGGATTAGTGCCCTTATTAGAAGAGAAAGACAGGGATCACTTTCTTTCTCTCCAAACATACACACAGAAGAAAGGCTATATGAGCACTCAGTTAAGAAGGCAGCTGTCTACTAGACAGGAAGAGGATCCGCACCAGACAGTGAATCTGCAGGCACCTTGATCTTGGACTTCCCAGCCTCCAGAACTGTGAGAAATACATGTCCGTTGTTGAAGCCACCCAATCTGTGATATTTAATATTGTTATAGCAGCCTTAGCCAACTAAGACAGGTGTTTACAGTGTTTTCTGCTTTAAAGTCATAAGATTATAGGAAAAAACTTAAGTGTCTAAGATCCTTCAGGGAAGTATCTCTTTGATTATTTTAGAGCTGTACTGAAAACATTGCTGGATTGATTTTCAAGTACAGTACCCACTTCAATACTGGGCTTGGTGTTACTATAAAGTGAATCCTACAGTGTGGTATTTTGAAACATCTTAACCAAAGGAAAACTTTATGTCTAACCTTCCATAGGAGATGGTGTTGGAATAAGTGAAGAAAAGCAGCTCTTTAACAATGCCTGGAAAGAAAAGTGCTATCTAAAAATACAAGTGTGCTTTACCACATGGTCTCACTTATAAGTGGGAGCTAAGTAGTGTATACACAGACAGTGTGGAATAACAGACACTGGAGACTCAGAAGAGTAAGAGGGTGGGAGGGGGGATGAGAAATATTTAATGGGTACAATTACATTATGTAGGTGATGATTACGCTAAAAGCCCAAACTTCACCACTACACAATATATCCATGGAACAAAACTGCACTTGTATCCTTTATTTATACAAAATTTTTAAAAAATAAAAGTGGGGCGGGGCACGGTGGCTCACACCTGTAATCCCAGCACTTTCGGAGGCCAAGGTGGGCGGATCACGAGGTCAGGAGATCGAGACCATCCTGGCTAACACGGTGAAACCCCGTCTCTACTAAAAATACAAAAAATTAGCTGGGCGCGGTGGCGGGCGCCTGTAGCCCCAGCTACTCAGGAGGCTGAGGCAGGAGAATGGCATGAACCCGGGAGGCGGAGCTTGCTGTGAGCCGAGATCGTGCCACTGCAGTCCGGCCTAGGCAAAAGAGCGAGACTCCGTCTCAAAAAAAAAAATAAAAATAAAAAATAAATAAAAGTGTATTTTTAAAACAAAGTTACGTTTATCTTTGTCTTACCTTTCCCTGAATTTCAGCTCTTTTGCAATTTAAATACAATTCTTTCGCTCTCATGAGTTGCAGAGTCTCTTGAGCTAGCATTAGCTTAAGTTTTTCCAACCTGGGAATTGCTGTGGCCCAGGCAGCCTGGCCAAGTCTCTTCACATCCTGTTCCATTTCTTTTTGCATTCCTGTTGGATTATAAAAATAAAATATAATTACACCTCATTAAAAAGGGAAACATTGATCATGAGCTAATTCTTTTTTTATTGCCTCCATACTACCTGCAGAACATCTTTTTTAAAAGAAATTTTGTTTTATTAACTTTTTATTATTATAAAAATAATACATGGTCATTAATATACAATTTTAGGTATTCAATTTTTAAAAGGACAATAATAAGTCATGATCTCACCTAGTTGAGGCAACTGCTTCTTATATTTTGGCACACTTGCTTCCATATTGTTTCTATGACTAGCTAGACAGACAGGCTCATATGGATAGTTTGACCAAAAAACCAGGATCATCATTCTGCTTTATATCTTGTTGATTCTGTGCAATATATCAGAAACTCCTGCCATTTATAAAAAAAAAATCAAGAATCATGCTTAATAGCTATGTAGTTTTCTCTTTTATGAATGTACCATAACTTAAACTGACAGACATTAAGTTGTTTCCTATTTGGTGTTTTTATCAACAATTATTTAAGACTGAAAAAAAGTCCTTCACCCAGCCCACAAGCCCCTGCACGGTCTGATCCCTGCCTGTCTTGCCAGCATTCTCCCTCATACCACATTGTCCTGCACTCTCTGCGATCCAGCCCCGCAGGTTTTCTGTAAGCTCCTATTTGCCAACTTCCCTCAAGCCAGGGGACCTTCGCCAGTGCTATTCCTTCTGCCCGGAACACTCCTCACTTTTTCTATTCTCTCAATTTCCATTTACCCTTCAGATATTGGGGCAAGCGCCACTTCTCAGAGGCCTTCAGTGACCACGCTGATCAAGCCCAATTTCTCTCTCACAGACCCTCAGAGCCCCATGTCTCTCTTCTTTGTGCCATTTATTGTCACTGCCATTTTCTGTGTGCTTCAGTGAATAGATAATTAAGATTTCTCTCCCTTCACCAGACTGTACAATGTCTCTTAATGCTTGACACTGAATTCTCGCCACCTAGAAAACACAGTGCCTAGTGCGTAAGAGGGACTCAAATGGTATTTGAATAAAATGACAATCAATTACACGTATCTGCGTATAGCATTTTTTTAGATTATCACCTGCTAATGCTTTTACTGTCTCCTTAAAATAATTCACTGTGATATCTTGAATAGAGACGACAGCTTCTCCAGCCCGTCTGGTCCATTCTTCAGCTTCTTTCTCCAGGGCAACTACCCTTCTAGGACCTAGGTCATCCTCATCCAAGGACTTCTACAGACAGAAGGGAAAATTATCTTAGTAAGAGCTAATAGTTATGTAGAACCATTAGGAAATTGAAAGGAAATTGGTCACATGGATTAATTTAACTACACTACTACTCAGTCAGTTAAATTTTCATTCATTCAGCAGTCCCTTACTGCATATGAATAAGGCTCTAAGCTGAGCACCACCTGGAAGACAAAAGGACCCTCTGGGGCATAAAGTGGGGGGGAAAAAAAACTACTTTCACTTCACATGCCTAGAATAACTTTTTCTAGAGAGGAATGTTGTCAACTTATGCTTCTCTCTATTAATAATAATACACAATTGTTTAAATGAGTGATCTGTGTTGTCAAGCACTCAGCACAGGGCCTGGAAAACAGCACTTAAGTGTTAGCTGTTGTTATCATTTCTTTTAGGGATATGTAATATTATCACCTAAAAGACAGTATCTGTATATTCATGCTTATAACATGTACTGGTATTGGACTGAATGTTTGGGTCCCCCCAAAATGCATATGTTGAAGCCTAAATCCCCAGTGTGATGGGATTTGAAGATGGGGCCTTTGGGAGGTAATTAGGTCATGAGGGTGGAGACCTCAAGAAAATTGGGATTAATGCCCTTATAAAAAGAAGAGGAGACACAGGATCTCTCTCTCTGCTCTTCACCATGTGAAGACACAGCAAGACAGTCATCTACAAATTAAGAAACTGGCCCTCACAAGACACTGGATCTGCCAGCACCTTGATCTTAGACTACCCAGCCTCCAGAACTGTGAGAAAAAAGTTTTGTTGTTTATAAGCCACTAATCTACAGTACTTTGTTACAACAGCCTGAACTAAGACATGTACAGCTATGTCATCCAATATGCAATTTTTCTTCTACAAAGCATAAGAAATATGTACAAGTTAGCCGACAAGGAATTACAAATCAAAACGAGATACCACTTCACACCCACTAGGATGGCTGTAACCAAAGAGACACACAATTACAAGTGTTGGTGATAATGTGGACAAATTGGAACCCTCATTTACTGCTTCTGGGAATATAAATGATGCACCCACTTTGGAAAACCATCTGGCGTCTTTCAAAAGGTTAAACACTGAGTAATCACAGGACCCAGCAATCCTACTCCTCAGTACGTACACAAGAGCAATGAAAAGATATGTCTACACAAAAACTCACACACAAGCATTCATAGCAGAATTATTCATGATAGCCAAAAAGTGGAAACAACCCAAATGTCCATCAACTGATGAATAAAATGCAATATATCCATACAATGAATATCACTGAGCAATAAAAAGAAATGAAATCCTGGTATTTGCTACAACATGGATTAGCCTTGCAAACATTGTGCTGAGTGAAAGGACCACATATTCAATAATGCTGTTGCTATGTCCAGAGTAGGGAAATCCACAGAGACAGAAAGTAGATTGGTGGTTGCCCAGGGCTGGCAGTGACTAATGGGTACAGGGTTTCTTTTGGGGGTGAAAATGTCCTGAAATTACATAGTAATGATCATTGTGCAACTTTCAATATACTAAAAATCACTGAATTGTACATCTTTTTATATATGTAGATATATTTTATATATATATGCATATATATACATATATACGTATATACGTATACATACATATATACGTATATATGTATATATACATATACACATACATATATACATATACATATATACGTATATATACATATATACACATATACATACATACATATACAGATTATATATATGTATACATATATACACATACATATATACATATATGTATGTACGTATACATGCATATATACATATATGTATGTACGTATACATGCATATATACATATATGTATGTACATATACATGCATATATACATACATATATGTATACATATATATACAGATTTTACATATATATATATATATATATATATATATGGTCTGTGAATGGTATTTTAAAACAGCTGTTACTTAAAGAAAGGAAAATTATAGACTGGGTGCGGTGGCTCATGCCTGTAATCCCAGCACAATGGGAGCCTGAGGCAGGCAGATCACCTGAGGTCAGGAGTTCGAGACCAGCCTGACCAACATGAAGAAACCCCGTCTCTACTAAAAAAATACAAAATTAGCCGGGCTGGACAAGGTGGCACATGCCTGTAATCCCAGCTACTCGGGAGGCTGAGGCAGAAGAATCGCTTGAATCCAGGAGGTGGAGGTTGCCGTGAGCCGAGATCACGCCATTGCACTCCAGCCTGGGCAACAAGAGCGAAACTCCATCTCAAAAAAAAAAAAAAAAGAAGAAGAAAGCAAAATATATGCGAGACGTAGACTCTCCAAATAATAGACTTTCAAAATAATGAACAGAACAACTTTATCCACAGGTTAGGGTGGCATGAGTTTCATCTAAATGTGATACTATTTTTATAGTACAATCATCTGGCAGGGGCATGAGATTATATGTGGAAAGATGGCCCAGTGCAGGGGGCAGAAATCAAGAGATCTCTTAGGTGTCTTCTGATTCCCGTTGTTGAGACCCAAGGCAAGCTATTTAACAACTCCGGACTCTAGATTCATTTGTAACACTGGAATAAGAATGCCTTTCCTGAATGGTGTCACAAGGATGTTTGATGGCTCAATGAAGCAAGAGCGATAACTGTATTTACTAAAATTTAAGTTACTGAATTACAATCTAGGGTCCTGCTATTTAAATTTTCATCCTATTTTAAGAAATCTGCATGAGTCCTTAGAGGAAAACAACTGAAGCAAATAAACATCACATCAAAAACAATTCATCAGGCTGGGCGCAGTGGCTCACGCTTGTAATCCCAGCACTTTGGGAGGCTGAGACGGGTGGCTCACTTGAGGCCAGGAGTTCGAACCAGTCTGGCCAACATGGTGAAACCCCGTCTCTACTAAAAATACAAAGAAAGTTAGCTGGGCATGGTAGTGCACACCTGTAATCCCAGCTACTCAGGAGGCTGAGGCAGAAGAGTCACTTGAACCTGGAGGAGGTTGCAGTGAGCCAAGATTGTGCCACTGCACTCTAGCCTAGCTGACAAAGAGAGACCCTATCTCAAAAAACAAAAAAAAAAATTCATCGCCAGAAAAAACATTTAACTCTTTAAAATTTGTAGGAATCTTAAGCTATTAAGATGACCAACGTAAATGTCTTCATTTTCTATCAATTTTAAATATAAATTCAATATTTAAACACGAGGGTGAACTAGGCATAGTGGCTTATGCCTGTAATGCTACGCTTTGGGAGGCCGAGGTGGGCAGACTGCTTGAGCTCAGGAGTTAGAAACGAGCTTGAGCAACATGGCAAAACCTCATCTCTATCAATAAATAAGTAAATAAACATAAGAGTAAACCCAAACAAACCCAAACAAAGTACAGAGATTGAAGATTAAGTGTAAATAAAGAAATAATATATGACAAATAGTAAATGTGATAAAATAAAAATTAAAAAAAAAACCAAAATATCAAGCTTACATAAAGTTGCAACTTCTCGCATAGCCCTAAATGGCCGCAATAAGTACTGGAAGAACGTGGTTGCCACGGTAACTAATTCCTGGTAGGCTTCATCTTCCTCTTGGTAAACTTTCATTAATGCTACCATGGTGTTGGCTTTTCCGTGTCCTTGAATAACCTAGAGAGCAAATGTGAATAAAGCTCAAGTCAGGACAGTGTAATACATACCCAACAAACAAAGCTAAACGAAAGAAACCTTCATGTTCTCAACTTTCAATACATCAATTTAAAATATTGATTAAATACGAAAATGTTATCATTCTCCATCAAAAATGCCCAATAAAACAAGAATTGTTAAGAAAATTATGATATATCCATGGCAGAATATTATTAGTGTAGTCATTCAGCACTGTGCTTCTGAAGATTGTTTAATAATATGGAGACTTTTGGCCAGGCACGGTGGCTCATGCCGGTAATTCCAGCACTTTGGGAGGCCGAGGCGGGTGGATCACTTGAGGTCAGGACTTCGAGACCAGCCTGACCAACATAGAGAAACACTGTCTGTACTAAAAATACAAAATTAGTTGGGCGTGGTGGCGCATGCCTGTAATCCCAGCTACTGGGGAGGCTGAGGCAGGAGAATCGCTTGAACCTGGGAGGCGGAGGTTGCGGTGAGCCGAGACAGTGCCATTGCATTCCAGCCTGGGCAACAAGAATGAAACTCCGTTTCAAAAATAAAAAGAGACTTTTATAATTAAATGGAGAGGCAGAGTATAAAATTTAATCTCAACTGTGCACTAAGTATGCAGCGAAAAGGACCCAAAAGAAGGTTTGAGGTTGTGGATATTTTTTCATTTGACTTTTCTGACTGTAAAGGTTTTGTGAGGCTGTATTCCTTTTTAAAAGCTCATAAGGGCCAGGCGTGGTGGCTCACGCCTGTAACCCCAGCACCTTGGGAGGCCACAGCAGGCGCATCACAAGGTCAGGAGAACGAGACCATCCTGGCTAACACGGTGAAACCTGTCTATACTAACAATACAAAAAATTAGCCGGGCGTGGTGGCGGGCGCCTGCAGTCCCAGCTACTGGGGAGGATGAGGCAGGAAAATGGCGTGAACCCGGGGGGCAGAGCTTGCAGTGAGCCAAGATGGCACCACTGCACTCCAGCCTGGGCGACAGTGCAAGACTCTCTCAAAAAACAAAACAAAACTCAACTAAACAAAATCTCATAAAACATTACAGAGCTGTCTCCAAGTACTTTAGCATGTTGATTCTCTTAATGCCCCAGGTTAATATTCCCATGAAGTCCTTAGCAGTCAACTCATTTACAGAGCCTCAGCTGTGGTTCCGGTCTCTGCTGGTTATTGCTTGTGCTGCAGGGCAGAAAGCAAACTGAACAGTGTATAATCTAGGTGGACTGATTTGGTTGGAAATTATTTTACTCCCACAAGAAGAGAAATAAAATCAAATAATATAGATTTTTTTCAACCAATACATTCTTAAAGTCTTCTATTTCCATCCTTCTGCTTAAGGCTAAAGTGATCTACTTTCAGCTGTATTTTTTATCCAGGTAATAATATTATCATTTTTTTTAAGTGAAAGCCTCACTGAACAAAATTAAAACACACAAGCAAAAGTCAAAAGGCAAGTGGTACATTTCAGCCTTCTTTCTTAGACTATTCAGAAAAATTCCGGAGTTAAAACATTCAGCTTCATTTTATATATCCTAGCAATCCTAGCAATTGGTCTAATTCTAGAATCAATTACTTTTCTATTCTAAATATAAAGTAAATATTAAAATTATATATTTGGACATGTGAAGTTTAGCTTCCCCTCTCAACCCCTCATTTTTGAGTTCCAGATAAATATGTGAACTACACTAACGTGAACAACTAGCTCAACAGAATGAACTACATTCATGCTATAGTACCCCAGAGTGAACTTAAATTTGGGAAAACTAACTTTTCTGATAGCAACTACAGTAAAATACACCATATAAATGTTCGATTTTAAGGAGAAACCACCTATCTCTGTGAGAAACCAAGTGTTTAAAAAACAAGTCTGATACAAAATGATACCATTTTTGAAACTCCCCTGTGGGTTCCTCATATCCTCAGGTGAAAGTTATAAAGTTGAAGATGAAAAGCTGACTGGCCTGAAACTCCCCTGTGGTTTCCTCATAGTCTAAAGTGAAATCAACACGTTAAGTGGGTGTGTAGACATTTACACATAAAGCTCACAGTACAAAAATGACCCCACTAACAAGCTCCTTTTATAAAACCATTTTAATTTAGAAAGCTTATTCTATATTTAGCTTAGGCTGAATTCTTCTTTTCACCTCCCCTTCCTCAAAAGAATGCACAGAAAAATATCATTCAGGTTAATAAGAGCAGTGAGCCGAGACTCCAGCCTGGCTCTGCTTAGTAAACCGTGGGTGTGGATTTAGAAGGCATACTTTCTCCTAAACCCTTCTATGAACATGTACTTCCCCGTCCCCTAAGTTCAGTAAGTTTACCACTCAATTACTCTCTCAAACTACCTCTTTCAAGCTTAAAAGGGCACTAATGCGGTTAAACTGATGAATAAAGCTCACTTTCTACCGGCTTTCCATTTGACCAAGTCTGTATTACTTAAAACAAAACACCCTAACTCCTAAAAGCCATTTCTTCCTTTAAACCATTTTATCCCACTTGCGACGTCCCCGCAGACACAGACTTAGAATTGTTTACGTGTAGTCCGTGTTATTCTTTCCTACATGGATGGGTTGTTTTCAGTTTGCTTGCAGTATTTCTGACATTTCCCGTTACAACATCCTGCTCTGCCAGCATCTTCAGGGCAAAGGTTGGGGGCCTAGCCCAGCTCCCAGCGGCAAGTACACTAGGCTCTTAACTTCGCTTGTCCTCTCTGCAGGCCCTGCCGAAGCTCCCCCTGGTTTCCCGCAGCGATCCCGCGCAGGTGAGGGTACTGGGGAGCCCGTGGCCTTCTCCGCCCGCCGGCTCCTCCCCATCAGCCGTCAGCCAGGGCTCTCGGCGCCGGGGAAGCCTCCCACAGGGTCCCAGGCCACCCAAGCGCGGTCAAACGCCGGCGGCCCGGCCTCGCTTACCTGACGCAGCCGCGCGTCCGCCTCGACCCATCAGGCGCGCAGGGCCCGCTCCCGAAACTCGCGCGGGCTCTCGCAGTCGGCCGCGCGGCCCTTAGCCGCGAAGAGAGCGTCGCGCACGGTGGCGCCGCCACAGCCGTGGGCCGCCGCGCCCAGGTAGCGCTCCAGCTGCCCGCAAAGCTCCTGCAGCGCCGCCTCGCCGGGGCCCACGCGCGCCGGCCAGAGCAGCGCCCACCGCCCGAGCCCCAGACCTCAGGCCCCGCCGCCGCCCACGTCCAGCTCCGGCGGCAGCCGTGGGAAGCAGTGTTCCAGAGGCGGCCACAGCGCCGCTGGCTGCCGGCGCGCGCCGCGGAACCCCGCGGCCGAGAGCCGGCCGGCCCAGCTGGGCGGGGACACGGCGGCCTCGGGCTTGTGCTCCAGCCCCAGCCGGGCCCCCTCGCGCCGCTGCGGCTGCTGCGCGGTGCGGTCGTGACAAGTCACAGCAAACTTGCCCTCCGCGCCGTTCCAAGCCACCAGGAAGCGCAACCGGTGCCTCTGGGGATCGGCGAAGAGGCCCTCCCGGAGCGGCGCCCAGCCCTCCAGGCTGTCGGGCTGCTCGTCCTCCATGGCCGTCGGCGGCAGCGGCCCTAGGGCTTGGCGGGCGCGGGCCTGACCTCGTCGCACCGCCTGTCAGGGGACAGTCCCAGGTGAAGCATTTTTCGCTCCACAATTGGTATTTTAACAATATGAATGAAAAAAAAAAACCTCAGCTGTTTTGATAGAAATAACAAACGTGCCTAGGAATCATCTTCCTTGAAGGGAGAGGAGGGTCTTACTGAACTTGAAAAAACTAAATAAGCAAAGTTGATACATAAGGACACCCTTCTCTTTACCCTTACCTATTCTTAACAACTTTAATTCATTTCTGACACTGTCACCAACTGAAAAAGGGTCCAACTAAAAAAAAAAAATCATAAAGGTGAGAAAAATTGTGACGTGTTCTATCCTAATCCAATATATCTAAACCAATTTTACTGATAGAGAAAATATATTAAGTGAATGATGTAAATACATTAATATAGGTAACAACTCTTTGAAAGTAAAGTTTGCACATAACATGAAATACATAGAGAATTACTGCCGTCTCGAAGGAGAGAACCCTTGATGGGGAGTGGTAGTCAAAAAGGTGTATGAGCAAGTCATCTGTTGCAAGGTGATGGGAGGAGATTTTTATGCAGGCATTCAATATCAGTCAGAGGTTTTAATGATTTTTGTTTTTTATCTTGAGAGTTGGAGACTAGAAGATCTAAAATAGGAAAATTTTGGCATATCCATAGATAGAATGGAAGCTCTTGGCCAAAAATAACGTGCTCCAAGTCATGAAAAATAGCACACATGCACAATTAACTACAGAGTTACACAAGATGGTGTCTTTTCATTCGATTTTATTTGAACTCTTATTCTTCTCTATCTTTTACGCTTTGTATCCTTGTTAAATTAACTCTTCCATTTTTTCCTCATCCTATGGGGTACTTTAAACATTTTATTCAATAACTCTTAAGGCAATTTTTACAATTCTATTCACATATAAAATTGTCATAAGCATGTTTTGTGAGTGAAAAATTCTAATTTGTAATGCATATCAAGTGAAAAGCCTCAGTTCAGCACTCGTCATATCCAAAATCTGTGTTATATAATAATGTAAAAGACATATTTTCACACATGTAGCTCAAATGAGATTCTTACTTAACATTTCTTTTTTTTTTTTTTTTTGAGACGGAGTCTCGCTCTGTTGCCCAGGCTGGAGTGCAGTGGCGCAATCTCAGCTCACTGCAAGCTCTGCCTCCTGGGTTCATGCCATTCTCCTGTTTCAGCCTCCCAAGTAGCTGGGACTACAGGTGCCCGCCACCACGCCCGGCTAATTTTTTGTATTTTTAGTAGAGACGGGGTTTCACAGTGTTAGCCAGGATGGTCTCGATCTCCTGACCTCGTGATCTGCTCGTCTCTGCCTCCCAAAGTGCTGGGATTACAGGCGTGAGCCACCACGCCCGGCCTACATTTTACAAAATTTAACTCAATCTTTTATTTTAAAAAATGTGCATATACTGCCTGTTCAAGTACTTACTCTTTTTATTTATTATTTGAAATTGGAGGTCCATCTTTTTAGATTGTTAGGAGGTCTTCACATATTTGAATGAGTTATTAAGTTGATACAATCATTTTGGAAAAATAATTATCATTATCTACTACATTTAAACACATAATTTATGACTAGCAGTTTCAACAGAAACACCTGGATGTTCATCAGGCTAGAATGGATTGGAAAGCTCCATATTCATTCAACAGGGTGCTACACAAAACAAAAAGGAATGAATCACTGGTCCATAACATAAACAGATTTCACAAATGTAATTTTGAGTGAAATAAGCCAGAAAAAAATAAATACCATATGCTTCCATTTATATGAAGACAAAGATAGGCAATATTAATCTATGGTAACATGTGAGACTGACTTCTTTTTCTCAGCATCAGCTGAGAGCCTGAAAAATATTTTTCTGGGGTGCTAAAAAAGTGCCAGATCTTAAAAATATTTGTACAAAAGATAATAATATTTGTTTTTTATATAAATAGGTACAAAACATAAATATGTACAAAAATGTATTTATAAATATGTTAAACAAGATTACTATTTATACTTCAATATGATTTTTTTCACTTTTGTTGACATTAGTAAACCATCACACTTAATAAACAGCCATTTGGAATTGTTCTTGATTTAGGTATTTCCTTGATTAAATACCAAGTAGGAACATACCTTGATTCTAAAATATAAAGAATATTATTCCATGAAAGTTTCCATGAAAACTATTTTGCATTCTAAAATATTTTTAAAAGTACTTATTTTCAAAGTTCAGTTTCCTATTTTAAACAAAAGTTGAGCTAAATTACATATAAGCTAGTCCCCAAAATATTCAGTAAATATCAAATGAAGGTGTGAAAGTTAAAGATTTCATTTTACTAGTTAATTTGCAGTGCTATTATTTTGCTTAATAAACAATTTTATGCTAGAAATAAGCAGATTTCCCTATTCACATTATCTTTACCAAGAGAACTTAAATAAATACCATTGATTACTTGCAAAATACAGATTGTAGATTCAGAGCTCAAAACTAAACCTCTGAGGATGTAATTCAATTAAAACAACCCATAGTTGTGAATTCACCTCACCAGTGTCCCTAAGACAAGAAGCTCTTTCTCACATCAAAGTGAATTATTTTAATTCACTTTGGATGTTAGGAATATCCTAACTCCTTTGTAATTAAAAACAAAAACAAAACTTCTGATGCTTCTTTATATCTTAACAATCATGAGGTCTATAAAAATATGAACACAGAAGTTTGGGTCAGTTCAATGACTGAACTAAAACATTATTTCCCAACATGTCCATGTTTTACAAGATGATGGGGTTGTTATCGGTGATGCCATTGCAAAGATCTTGATGGTTCCAAAACACTAAGCATCACATAAGCCATGTTATAGCTGTTGCCCCAGATTTACCAAACCATTTGGATTAAAACTCTCAGTAAGGACCTCTGAAGCACAAAGATATATGAGTAACTCCTTAACCCCTTTGCTCTTACTCTTCAGGTACAAGTTCAAATTTTCACCTTTCCCTTTCTGCACTGACCTTGGGAAAGTCACTTTATCTCTGTGATCTAATTTTCCACATCAATAATGTATCTATACTTGGCATAGAGAGTTATGAGAATAAAATAATAACATATATGGGCAATTTCTGTGAATACCAATTGTATAGGTGGATTTTTAAATAATAGATTTAGGGCCGGGCGCAGTGACTCACACCTGTAATACCATCACTTTGGGAGGCCGAATCGGGTGGATCACCTGAGGTCAGGAGTTTAAGACCAGCCTGACCAACAAGGTGAAATACCGTCTCTACTAAAAATACAAAAATTAGCCAGGTGTGGTGGCGGGCACCTGTAGTCCCAGCTACTCAGGAGGGTGAGACAGGAGAATTGCTTGAACCCACAAGGCGGAGGTTGCAGTAGGCCGAGATCGCACCACTGCACTCCAGCCTGGGCGATGAAGCAAGACACCATGTAAAAAACAAACAAACAAATAAATAAATGAAATATATTTAGGAAAACTATTATAAGAAAAAATTTGAAAGCATTAAGAACTCTATTATGGACTGAACAAAAAAAGGAGAATTGGTACCATACCTTGGTAAGTTTATTTTAATAAGCCCAATTTCTATTAGTTCTTCAGTGTTTCCTCTTGCTCCGTGAATGTATGTTCCTTGCCTCTATCTTATCCCATTTTTTCTATTGTTAATGCACAGAGAGTTGTCGCAAGTTCTATTCTCAATGCCTACTGCATTGGGCAATAGATGACTCTGGTTCCCAACTCAGAAAAACCTCATTTTTAAGAAACGTTTGAGCTTTGACTTTGATCTCATTCAGAATATTTTGGTTCAAAAGTTTTTTGTTTTTTTGTTTTTTTTGAGACGGAGTCTCGCTTTGTCGCCCAGGCTGGAGTGCAATGGCGCGATCTCGGCTCACTGCAAGCTCCGCCTCTCGGGTTCACGCCATTCTCCTGCATCAGCCTCCCTAGTAGCTGGGACTGCAGGCGTCCGCCACCATGCCCGGCTAATTTTTTTTTTTGTATTTTTAGTAGAGACGGGGTTCCACCATGTTAGCCAGGATGGTCTCAAATCTCCTGATCTTGTGATCCGCCCGTCTTGGCCTCCCACAGTGCTGGGGTTACAGGTGTGAGCCACCACGCCTGGCCCAAGAGTCTTAAGTTTGTGTAAATAAGCACCTTTGAAAACTACATCTACAAATGGGAATATGGAATAAAAAGGACAAGCCAAAGGTTATGGAACAAAATAAAACATGAAGAAAGAGAAACACAATATTACTATATACAATATAGTAATATATTTTAAAATATGAAAAACGCTAGCAAAAAAAGCAATATGTAAACAAAAGAATTGGAGTAAAATAATATAATTTGAAACAGCACAATCTGCTGAAAATATACAAAAGACAAATTAGGGTATTCCTGAGCTCACTGTTTATAATATTAGAACATGTATATAAAAAGGAAAAGTGACTTTAAACTGTCTGGGGGCCAAGGAATATATAGTTTGTTACATTTTATTTACAAACAGTTTCTTTGACTAGGGAATCAATTTAAATTTTCTGTTTTGGAAATAATATAAATATATCTTTATTTTAGACTTTTTGCTGTAAAGTTTCTTAAATATTTACAACTTTAGGATAATCAGTGTACATTTCAATATATAATGTCCTAAAAATCAAACAGCTACCAAACATTGAATTGAAGTTCTGACTTATATAAATCATTTGCATAAAAACTGATCATTAAAAACAGTATCTAATGAACATTTTGGCCCCAATATTAATTAAAACTGAAATGATAGCATTACAAGCTAAAGATTAATTTCAATGACATGTCATTCAACCATTTTGACATAATTGACTTATAATAATCTAAAATTGACTATTTTTATGACATATTTGACATAAATGAAGAGAAAAAAGCTTCGACTCATTCTTAATTACTCATTCTAACCAATTGATGGCCAATAACTGAAATTAATTTCAAACCATTTTTTGTTATTTTAATCTTTTAAACATGTTTTACTTTCAGTGATTCATTTTCTAACATTCATAGCCAAAGCCCAGGCTCTACCCATCTTTGTCTACCTTAATGACTTTGTCAATTATTGGCATACACTGGGTCTTAAAAACTTGTGTTTCTTCCGAATTAATTAATGAAGTAGAATTGCTCTTATAGGGTTTCATATACCATTACCTCCAAAAGAGTACATTAGAAGTATTAGAAAATACTGATATTTATAAACAGATATTTATCTTATGATACAAAGAGCCAGAGCTGTTTTATTTTCTGTAAAACTAAGAATAACTTCTTGATAACATAGCTTCACAAAAAGAAAACCCAACACATTTCCATAAATAATTCTCTGAAATAACTATGTGAGTTTGTGTCTTTTTATATACATGTAGATATACATATACTTACACATCTATACATATATATGTAACATAAAGGATATGAACATTAGGACTGTTTAAATGTCTATTTGTCTTGGAAAGAAAAATATACTTAAAAATATTTCTCAATTGGGATTTGTAATCGTACCAACTTAATTGATAAACTTGGCAACTGCTTTTATGTTCCGTCTCCTTCCATAAATTTTTCAAAACACTAATTCAACAAAGAAAAAGCTCTAATTTTCATTGGAAATAATTTATATACTTGTTTAGAGCAGAGAAAAATTAAGAAAAACTTTGAAATTGTCTCAAAAAATTGCTAAATATTTTCAATGGAAAACTAAATGTTAGTTTAGCTGATTGTATGGGGTTTCTGAACCTTTCACTTTTTGTTTGTTTTACCTATTTCACAACTGTGTAAATTGCAAATAATTCCTGTCCATGAAAATGCAAATTATCCAGTGTAGATATATTTGACCATCACCCTATGGATATTGGCTAGTTTTGCCTTTATTAAGCAAATTCATTTCAGCATGAATGTCTGCCTATATATTCTCTTTGTATTCTCCTTTGAACCAGTTAAAACATCCTGTGGCACTCTTATTTATTAATCAGTTAAATAAAATCATGAACATATATTCATTTTACATTTGTATGAGAACCATTATTTTTCTTTTCTTTAAAAAAATTAATTATCCTTTGACATTGGGTTGACATTTTCTTAAGAC